>NC_000001.11:112887168-113190198 GCF_000001405.40 Homo sapiens | reverse complement strand
CTCTTCACGTAGGAGAGAAGGTTGGTTTTAGGGGTGAAGTGACTCAGGAAGAGGTGTCTAGAAAGCAACTTGGAATTAGGGTCTGAAATCCAAGGGGAGGTTAGAGCTAGACACAGACTCGGGATGCAGCTGCCCACAGGGAGAGCTGAAATTATGGTAGGAGAAGGGATGACATCAGTTCAAGGACATCACTTTGAGAAATGACCACCTTTAGGATGTGGGAGGAAAATAAAATCCAATAAAGGAAAAGGCAGAATGGTAGGGTTGTGGGAAGTGATGGAATGTTGCTGCATCTCAGAAGGTGACAGGGAGGGGACTGGTTATCAGGACCAGAAGGAGGCAGGACTGAGGAGAGCCTGCCCTGTCTGCCAGCTGAGAAGCCGATGGCAACCTTTGGGACTCTCTCAGTAGAGTGGTAAGAATGGACAAGGCTGTGAAGGACTAAGAAGTGGGGAAACTATGGCAGAGAGTGCAGGTTTCAAGAATTGCAGAAGCGAAGACAAGACGGCAGTCATGTGAAAGGGCGACTTGGCACATAGGAGGCATTCCTAAATAGATCTGTTTGTATAAATGTGTTCTTGATACAAATATTTATTTTTATAAATATATGTTAATATTATAGGAGAGATGGAAACAGTGTTTGGGGACAGTGGGGGAAGGGGGAAGGGAGAAGCCACATTTGCAATGGAATTCTTAACAGAGATTGGCCAGGTCTGGGTAGCAGAGGATGGGTTCCCAGTCCAGGTGGAGGCCTTAGACTTGGAAGGAGAAAGGAAATTCGTGAGAGATGGGAATAAAGGCATGCAGGGAGAGTAAAGAAAAATGGATACTGGGGTGAAAGAATTGCTTCCTTGGCAATTTTACCAGAAACACAAAATGACTCTGGCCCTTCCACATTTATGTATTTAGGTGGCTTCCAGCACCTCCTGAGCCTCATACAGATTGCAGAAATTTTTTTACTGGATTAAAAAAGGCCTTCCCCTAGCATGTTATAGCTCTAGCCTGGACAGGGGGTTTGATGGCAGGCCCAGAAAAAGGGGTTGACACTACCAAAGTCTCCAGAAAACCAAAATGCCTCCTTCATTCCAAGCACAAAGGTCAGTAATAATCCACAGCCTGAATGCTAAGCGTAGATGAAAAAAAAAAAGCAACCTTAAACTATACTATGTGCACTCTTCCATTTTACAGCTCTGGCAAAAACAAGCAGGAGACAAATCCCATTTACAAGGACAGCAAAAGCTTGGTCTCCTACCTGACCCAAGCTCTCTCCATGCACCATAAATATTTCCATAGTCATAAATATTACTGATGAGGAAGCAGAAGGCTCTTAATTGGCTCCAAGTCATTTCATGGTGGAGGAAGCTGGGGAAATGCACTGAATAAAAATAAGACAAAGTGAGGGATCTCCCTGGAGGAAATTAAAATCTAATCTATCTCTGATCATGCTATATCTAAAGAACTAACTGGAGATCTTACAGTATAAGGAGCATCCTCTCCCACCAGCTCAGTGTTTTTTCTCAGGGTTGCCAATTCACTTCTGGTTGAGTTCCATGGCAGTTGATATTGTTCATGATGATCCACTATAAGGAAAGAAGGAAGGTAACCAGTATTTATTAAAAATGAATAGCAAGATAATGGCCAAACAAATGGTGCTATGTTCATACAATAGAATACTAATCAGCAATAAAAAAAAAATGGACCACTAATCACATGAGTTTCAAAAACATGCTGAGTGAAAGGAGCCTTACATAAGAGTACAGACTATATCATGAAAAGTAAGTTCACTGCACACTGCTTGTCTGAGTCTGGTAAGACAGAAGAGCCACACATATGAGTTACATGAAGTGGGTTTATTCCTTACAGATAAGCAGCAAGGGATAACAGAAGCCTAGGATTCGTTGTGACCCAGTCCCGCAAGGCTCAGAAAACTGCCTGGGGTGGATGAGTTTGACTGTGAATACCTCACTTGCACTGCAGCTGAAGGCGGCAAGCAGCGTGCTCTGGGTTTTAGACCCAGGGGTACTGTAACACACTGGGCTAGAGTATTGAAGGAATCCTGTTTCTGGGTAGTGGGGAACAGGCACAAAGCCCAGGTTGTTCTGGCCAGCTTCCCCTTATCTCAAGATGTTGCATTTCCAGCATATTCTACGGTTATCCTTGAGCACTACAAGCAAGAAAAGGGGAATAACTGGCTCAGTCTGAGGCCACCTGCACAACTGTCCTGCATGTGATCCTACTTATATGACGTTCTATAATAAGTACTTTATAGAGGGAAAAAGAATTGGAACAGTGGTCACTTCTAGGGTGAAAGAGGAAAGGACTGGGAAGGATCATGAGGGAACATTCTTTCTTTTTTCCTTTTTACCCAGTCTAGGACATCTTGCTATAGCAGCATGAGGGAACTTTCGGTGGTGATACAAATGTATATGCATGAGGGAACTTTCGGTGGTGATACAAATGTATATATCTCGATGGGTGTTTGGATTACACAGGTGTTTACACTTGTCAAAACTCGGCAAATGTATTCTTAAGATTCATGCATTTCATTGTATCTAAAGTTTACATCAAATGAAAAAGCTAACCAAATACTGAACTCTAGTTTGATATGCATGCTGAAGTATTTAGGGGAAAACGTACTGACGCCTGCAATCTACTTTAAAATGAATCACTAAAATAAGATAGATTAATGGGTAGATAGAAGAATGGAGAGATGGATAGATAAGTGAAGAAGCAATTTTAGTAAAATGCTAATGGTAGAATCTAGGTGGTTAGTGTATAGCTATTCATGGTAAAATTCTTTCTACTTTGCTATGTGTTTGAAAATTTTTACAATAAAATGGAAACAAATGAGTGATGTGATTTTTGAAAAATAGCAACCATTTATTGGGTGCCTATGTATACCAAATGCCTTACATACATTTTCCCAATCCTTGTATTTTCCTGATTTTACAGACCAGAAGGTCAACATTCAGAGAGACTAAGTGACTTGCTCAGAGATGCACTGCTGTAAACAGCAAAGCTAGATTTGCTTGGTTTGTTATATGAATAGAATGTGTAATGATCAAGTCAGGGCATTTGGGATATCCATCACCTTGAGGATTAATCCTTTTTTTATTTTATTTTTATTTTTTTTTAAGACGATGTCTCGCTCTGTCACCCAGGTTGGGGTGCAGTGGCGCAATCTTGGCTCACTGCAACCTCCACCTCCCTGATTCAAGCGATTCTGCTGCCTCAGCCTCCCAAGTAGCTGGGATTACAGGTGCGTGCCATCACGCCCAGCTAATTTTTGTATTTTTTGTAATAGTGAGACAGGGTGTCACCATGTTGGCCAGGCTGATCTGGAACGCCTGACTTCAGGTGATCCGCCCACCTTGGCCTCCCAATATTCTGGGTTTACAGGTGTGAGCCACCATTCCTGGCCTAGCATTAATCATTTCTAGGCGTTAAGAACATTTCAAGTCCTCTCTTCTAGCTACTTTCAAGTATTTAATATATAACACATTGTTGCTAATTACTCTTCTCTGTCATGGAACATTGTAACTGATAACTTCTATCTAATGGTATGTTTGTACCTTTTAACCGACCTCTCTTCTTACCCCTCCCACCCGCATGCCCTTCCTTGCCTCTGGTATCCATCATTCTGCCTTCCACCTCCATGAGATCAACTTTTTTAGCTCCCACATGAGTCAGAACATATGATATCTGTCTTTTTGTGCCTGTCTTATTTCACATAACATCATGACCTCTAGTTCCATCCGTGTTGCTGCAAATGACAGGATTTCATTCTTTTTATGGCGGAGTAGTATTCCACTGTGTATATATACCACATTTTCTTTATCCATTCGTCTGCTCATGGACACTTAGGTTGATTCCATATCTATGCTATTGTGAATAGTGCTGCAATAAACATGTTTGTGCAGGTAACCCTCTGATACACTGATTTATTTTCCTTTGGATAAATACCCGGTAATGGGATTGCTGGATCATATGGTAGTTCTACTTTTAGTTTTTTAATTTAATTTAACTTAATTTTTTTTGTACTGACAGGGTCTCCCTATGTTGCCTGGGCTGGTCTCCAACTCCTGGACTCAAGTGATCCTCCCACTTCAGCCTCCCAAAGTGCTGGGATTATAGGCATGATTATAGGCCATCACACCCAGCCCATTTCTAGTTTTTTGAGACATATCAATACTGTTTCTCATAATGACTATACTAATTTACATACCTACCAACAGTGTATAAGAGTTCTCTTTTCTCCACATCCTCAGCAGCATCTGCTACTTTTTCTAATAATAGCCATTCTAACTGGGGTAAGATGATATCTCACTGTGGTTTGATTTGCATTTCTCTGATGATTAGTAATGTTGAGCATTTTTTCATATACCTGTTGGCCCCTTGTACATCTTTTGAGAAATGTCTATTCATGTCCTTTGCCTACCTTTTAATGAGATTATTTGTTTTTGTTTTTACTGTTGAGTTGTTTGAGTTCCTTGTGTATTCTGGATATTAGTCTCTTGTTGGATGAATAGCTTGCAAATACGTTCTCCCATTCAACAGGTGGTCTCTTCACTCTGTTGATGGTTTCCTTTGCTGTGCAGAATCTCTTTGGTTTAACGTAGTCCCATTTGTATATTTTGTCTGTGTTTTTGAGGTCTTGGCCATAAAATCTTTGCTAGACCAACATCCTGAAGTGTTTTCCCTGTATTTTCTTCTGATAGTTTTATAATTTGAAGTCTTACATTGAAGTCTTTAATTTTTGTATATGGTGAGAGTTAGGAGTGAAATTTCATTCTTCTGCATATAAATATCCAATTTTCTCAGCATCATTTATTGAAGAGGGTGTCCTTTCCTCAGTGTATATTACTGGCACTTTTGTCAAAAATCAGTTGGCTGTAAATACTTGAATGTATTTCTGGATTCTCTGTTCCATTGTCTATGTGTCTCTTTTTATACTAATACCATGCTGTTCTGGTTGTTATAGCCTTGTAATATATTTTGAAGTCAGATACTGTGATGCCTCCAGTTTTGTTCTTTTTGCTCAGGATTGCTTTGGCTATTCAGGCTTTTTTTTTTTTTTTTTTGGTTCCATATGAATTTTAGGATTGTTCATTCTAATTCTGGAAAATTGATGTTGGTATTTTGACAAGAATTGCAGTGAATCTGTAGATTTACTTGAGAAGTATAGTCATTTTAGTGATATTAATTCTTCCAATCCATGCACATGGGATGTCTTACCCTTTGTTTGTGTGCTTTTCAATTTCTTTTTTGTTTTTGGCTTTTTTCTCAACTTTTATATACAGGGGTCCGTATGCAGGTTTGTTACAAAGGTATATTGTGTGCTGCTGAGGTTTGGAGTACAATTGAAGCTTGTCACCCAGGTATCAAGCATATTACTCAATACATAGTTTTTCAGCCTTTGCCTCCCTCCCTCTCTCCCCAATCTAGTAGTCCCCAGTGTCTATTGTTCCCATCTTTATGTCCATGTGTACCCAATGTTTAGCTCCCACTTATAGACAAGAACATGCAGTATTTGATTTTCTCTTTCTGCATTAGTTCACTCAGGATAATGGCCTCCAGCTCCATCCATCTTGCTACAAAAGACATAATTTTGTTATTTCTTCTTCTTCTTCTTCTTTTGTTTACCTCTTTTTTACTTTTTTTATTTTTAATTTTTGTGATACATAGTAGGCATATATATTTATGGGGTACATAGATATTTTGGTACAGGCATGCAATACATAATAATCACATCATTGAAAATTTGGTATCTGTCCCCTCAAGCATTTATCCTTTGTGTTACAAACAATCCAGTTACACTCTTTTGGTTATTTTCAAGTGTACAAGTAAATTATTATTGACTAATAGTTCCCCTATTGTGCTATCAAATCATTCTTTCTTGTGGCTGTGTAGTATTCCACAGTGTATATTTACCACATTTTCTTTAACCAGTCCACCATTGATGGACATCTGGGTTGATTCCATGTCTTTGCTATTATGAATATGTCTGCAGTGAACATATGCGTGCATGTGTCTTTTTGGTAGAACTATTTATTTTCCCTTGGGTATGTACCCAGTAATGAGATTGCTGGATTGAATAATAGTTCTATTTTTAATTCTTTGAGAAATCTCCAAACTTCTTTCCACAGTGACTGAACTAATTTACATTCCTACCAACAGTGTACAAGCATTCCCTTTTCTCTGCAGCACCACCAAAATCTGTTATTTTTTTACTTTTTAATAAAAGCCACTCTGACTGATGTGAGATGGTATATCATTGCGGCTTTGATTTGCATTTCTCTGATGATTAGTGATGATGAGCATTTTTTAATATGTCTGTTGGCCATGTGTATGTCTTCTTTTAAGAAGTGCCTGTTCATGTCCTTTGCCCACTTTTCAGTGGGGTTATTTGCTTTTTGCTTGTTGATTTGTTTAAGTTCCCATTAGATTCTGGATATTAGATTTTTGTTGGATGCATAGTTTGCAAATAATTTCTCCTATTTTGTAGGTTGTCTGTTTACTCTGTTGAAAGTTTCTTTTGCTGTGCAGATGCTCTTTAACTAGGTCCCACTTATCAATTTTTGTTTTTGTTGTGATTGCTTTTGAGGACTTAGCCATACATTATTTGCCAAGACCAGTGTTGAGAAGGATATTTCCTAGGTTTCCTTCTAGGATTTTTATAGTTTGAGGTCTCACATTTAAGTCTTTAATCCATCATAAGTTAATTTTTGTATATGGTGATGGGTAGAGGTCCAGTTTCATTCTTTGCATATGGATAGCCAGTTATCCCAAAACCATTTATTGAATAGGGAGTCCTTTCACCATTGCTTGTTTTTGTTGACTTTGTTGAAGAGCTGATGGCTGTAGGTGTGCAGCTTTATTTCTGGGTTCTCTATTCTGTTCCATTGGTCTATGTGTCTGTTTTCGTACCAGTACCATGCTGTTTTGGTTACTGTAGCCTTGTAGTATATTACCTTGAAGTCAGGTAATATGATGCCTCTGGCTTTGTTCCTTTTGCTTTGGATTGCTTTGGCTATTCAGGCTCTTTTTTTGGTTCCATATGAACGTTAGAATACGGTTTTCTAATTCTGTGAAAAATGATGTTGGTAGTTTGATAGGAATAGTGTTGAATCTATAAATTGCTTTGGGCAGTATGACCATTTTAATGATCTTGATTCTTCCGATCCATGAGCATGAAATGTTTTTGTATTTGTTTGTATCATCTCTGATTTCTTTCAGCGGTGTTTAATAGCTCTCTTTGTAAAGATCTTTCACCTCCTTGGCTAGATATATTTTGGTGTATTTTTTGTGGCTATTGTAAATGGGATTGCATTCTTGATTTGGCTCTTAGCTTAAACATTATTGGTATATAGAGTACTACTGATTTTTAGGCCAGGTGCAGTGGCTCACGCCTGTAATCTCAGCACTTCAGGAGGCCAAGATGGGTGAATCACTTGAGGTCAGGAGTTTGAGACCAGCTTGACCAACATGGCGAAACCCTGTCTCTACAAAAAATACAAAAATTAGCTGGGCATGGTGGTGGGCACCTTTAATCTCAGTTTCTCAGGAGGCTGAGGCAGGAGGATCACCTGAACCTGGGGGGCAGAGTTTGCAGTAAGCCGAGATCACACCACTGCACTCCAGCCTGGGTGACAGAGTGAGACTCCATCAAAAAAATAATAATAATACTGATTTTTTTTGTACATTGATTTAAAGTATCCTAAAACTTTACTGAAGAGGTTTATTAGTTCTAGGAGCCTTTTGGTGGAGCCTTTAGGGTTTTCTAGGTATAAGATCATATCATCGGTAAAGAGAGATGGGTTGGATTTCTTTTCCTAGTTGGATGCCTTTTATTTCTTTCTCTTGCGTGATTGGTCTGGTTAGGACTTTCAGTACTATGTGGTGAGAGTGGGCATCTTTGTCTTGTTCCAGTTCTCAAGGGGAATGCTTCCAGCTTTTGTGCATTCAGTATGATGTTGGCCATGGGTTTGTCATAAATGGCTCTTATTATCTTGTGGTGTGTTCCTTCAGTGCCTAGTTTGTTGAGAGTTTTTATCATAAAAGGGTGCTGGATCTTATCAAAAGCTTTTTGTGTCCATTGAGATGATCATATGGTTTTTGTTTTTAATTCTGTTTATGTGGTGGATCACATTTATTGATTTGTGTATATTGAACCAAACTTGCATCCCAGGAATAAAACCTATTTGATTGTGGTGAATTAACTTTTTGATGTGCTGCTGGATTCGGTTTGCTAGTATTTTGTTAAGGATTTTTGAATCTATGTTCCTCAGGGATATTGGCCTGTAGTTTTATTTTCTCATTGTGTCATTGCCAGATTTTGGTATCAGGATGATGCTGGCTTCATAGAATGAGTTAGGGAGGAGTCCCTCCTCCTTGATTTTTTGGAATAGTTTCTGTAGGATTGGTACCAGCTCTTCTTTGTATGTCTGGTAGAATTCAGCTGTGAATCCATCTGGTGCAGGGCTTTTTTTGGTTGGTAGGTTTTTATTACTGCTTCAATTTTGGAACTCAATATCGGCCTGTTCCAGTTTCTTCCTGGTTCAATCTTGGGAGGTTGTGTATTTCCAGGAATTTATTCATTTCTTCTATATTTTCTAGATTGTTTGCATAGAGGTGTTCAAATAGTCTCTGAAGATCTTTTGTATTTCTGTGGGATTGGTTGTAATGTCATCTTTGTAATTTCTGATTTTCCTTTTTTTAATCTTGTCTCTTTTTTTTCATTGTTAATCTAGCTGGTGGTCTATCAATCTTGTTTATCCTTTCAAAAAACAAACTTTTGGTTTTGTTGGTCCTTTGTATGAATTTTTTTCACCTCAGTTTCATTCAGTTCTGCTCTGATTTAGTTCTGTCTTTTCTTCTGTTTGCTTTGGGGTTAGTTTGTTCTTGTTTTCTAGTTCCTCTAGGTACAATATTAGACTGTTAACCTGAGATCTTTCTAACTTCTTGATGTAGTCATTTAGTGCTATAAACTTTCCTTTTAATGCTACTTTTACTGCATCTCAGTGACTTTGGTGTGTTATGTCTCTGTTTTTATTAATTTCAAAGAATTTTTTTATTTCTGCCTTGATTTCATTATCTGTCATTCAGGAGTAAGTTGTTTAATTTCCATGTGGTTGTGTGGTTCTGAGATATCTTCTTGGTATTGAGTTCTATTTTTATTCTACCATGGTTTGAGAGTATGCTCGGTATGATTTACATTTCTTAAAATTTATTGAGACTTGCTTTATGGCTGACCATGTGGTCAGTCTTAGAGTATGGCTGATGTGCATATGAGGAGAATGTATATTCTATGGTTGTTGGTGGAGTATTCTATAGATGTCTGTTAGGTCCAATTGATCAAGAGTTGAGTTTAAATCCAGAATTTCTTTGTTAGTTTTCTACTTCAGTGATCTGTCTAATACTGTCATTGGGGTGTAGAAGTCCCCCACCATTATTATCTGACTGTCTAAGTCTTTTTGTAGGTTTAGAAGTACTTGTTTTATGAATCTGGGTGCTCCAATGTTGGGTGCATATACACTGAGGATAGTTAAGTTTTCTTGTTGAATTAAACTTTTTATCATTATGTAATGCCCTTCTTTGTCTCTTTAACTGTCGTTGATTTAAAGTCTGTTTTATATGATATAAGAATAATGACCCCTGTTATTTTTTGTTTTCTGTTTGCGTGATAGATCCCTTTACTTTGATCCTGCGGGTGTCATTACATGTGAGACACCCTCTTGAAAAGAGCAGACAGTTGAGTCTTATTTTTTTATCCAACTTGCCACTCCGTGCCTTTTAAGTGGGGTGTTTAGACCATTTACATTCAATATTAATATTGATATTTGAGGTTTTGATCCTGTCATCATGCTGTTAGCTGTTGTTTGGTAAACTTGATTGTGTAGTTAATTGCTTTATAGGGTCTATGGGCTATGTCTTTAAGTGTGCTTTGTGGTAGTAGGTATCATTCTTTCATTTCCTTGTTTAGAACTCCCTTAAAGACCTAAAATTCCTTTAATGTTTGCTTCTCTGGAAAAGATTTTATTTCTCCTTTGCTTATGAAGCTTAGATTGGCAGAATATAAAATTCTTGATGGGAATTTCTTTTCTTTAAGGATGCTGAAAATAATCCCCCAATTTCTTTTGACTTGCAAGGTTTCTGCTGAGAAGTTCGCTGTTAGCCTGTTAGCATTCCCTTTTGTACATGATCTGCCTCTTCTCTATAGTTGTCTTTAAGGTTTTTTTTTTTTTTTTTTTGGAGACAGAGTCTCACTCTGTCACCCAGGCTGGAGTGCAGTGGCACTATCTTGGCTCACTGCAAGCTCTGCCTCCCAGGTTCACGCCATTCTCCTGCCTCAGCCTTCCGAGTAGCTGGGACTACAGGTGCCCGCCACCACGCCTGGCTAATTTTTTGTATTTTTAGTAGAGACGGGGTTTCACCGTGTTACCCAGGATGGTCTCGATCTCCTGACCTCGTGATCTGCCTGCCTCAGCCTCCCAAAGTGCTGGGATTACAGGCGTGAGCCACCATGCCCGGCCTAAGGTATTTTTCTTTCACATTGGAAGGTACAATGACTATGTGTCTTAGGGATGGTCATCTTGCATAGTATTTCACAGGGGTTCTCTGAATTTCTTGAAGTTCATGTCAACCTCTCTAGCAAGGTTGGGGAGAGAAATTTTCATGGACCGTATCCTCAAACGTTTTCTGAGTTGCTTATTCTCTCTTTTTCTCTCTCAGAAATGCCAATGAGTTGTAGGTTTGGTCTCTTTACATAATCTGACGTTTCTCAGTTGTTTTGTTCATTTTGTAAAATTATTTTTGCTTTATTTTTGTCTGACTGGGTTGATCCAAAGCACTGGTCCTCAAGCTCTGAGATTCTTTCCTCAGCTTGGTCTAATCTGTTGTTCATGCCTCTAGCTGAATTTTGAAATTCCTATAGTGAATTTTTCTATTCCAGAAGTTCAGTTTGGTTCTTTCTTAAAATGGCTATTTCAACTCTTGTATCACTTTATTGGCTTCATTGGATTGGGTTTCAACTTTCTCCTGAGTACCACTGAGTTTCTTTGCCATCCAGGTTCTGAATTCTGTATCTGTCAATTCAGCCACATTTCAATCTGGGTAGGGTTCATTGCTGGGGAGCCAGTGCAACCATTTGGAGGTAAGGAAACACTCCTTCTTCTTGATTGCTGGAGTTCTTGTGTTGATTTTTCCTTATCTGAGAGAGCTGGTGTTTATCCTTTTGAAGTTGCTGTTATTTGGATGGGGCTTTTTGTTTTTATATGCTTTTGTTCTCTTGAGGCTTTGACTGTGGTGTGTATTGTGTATAGTTGATTGGCTTCATTTCTGAGTGTTTTCAGAGGGCCAAGGCTCTGTATGGGTTATTGAGTTGTGACTAGATTCCTGTACTGGGTTTCATAGTCAATGTATGCTAAAGGAATTTTTGATTGGTGGTATAATTCAGGCTGCATTCCAGTAGATGGAGCTTAAGAGTAAGGGCCAGCAAATAGGCTGTCACTCAGCTATGTGCCTCTTTTATATTTCAGGGCATTCACAGCAGTGCTTTGTGGAGGGAGAGATGTCGGGCGTGAGAGACGACCCCAAGTTTGCTCCTAGGCCTTGGAGGAGCACCCTCTAATCATTGGCATCATGCCTGCATTTCCTTAGCCCCAAAAGGGCCCCTGGGAGGCTACACTCCCACCTCCCTTGGGTGGCCAGAGTCAATGGTTAGGTTGTCAGGAGACCCACAGCTCCCCTGAGATCCACTGGTCCTCTGTGTTTGACATAGTCAGAGTGAGTTATGGAGTATGTCTGCGGATGGTCTGTAGATGCAGTGGGTCAAGATTGGAGGATCCTCAGGGCAGTGTTGTCATGGGTGCACAGCTGGTGCAGCACCCATGACTCATGACTGGGGGGTTTTGCTCAGCAGAAAACTGTGGGGACTACCCAGCTTGTGCTCCCCTGACTGAATCTCCTTCCGGTGTCTGCCCCCGTAGCAGGCCCAAACAGCTAGTTTTGTTCCAAGCCTTCTGTGCCCAGATTGCTGGGGTGTTAGGTGTTCTGGGCTTAGGGGCTCCCTTGGGCAGAGGCTGTGGGCTGTTAAACAGGGTACACCCTTCCCAGACTGATTTTTGTGGAGGGAGGCATGCCCAAATCCCACACTAGTACATGAACCTGCACCTCACTCTTCTGAGGTGTTCTGAGAGTGGGGGCTCCTCACCTGCTTGAGCTCAGGCCACAGATCTGAGCTCGATACCCCTGAGCTATGTGCTCAAACCCTGGGGAGTTGGGACCTGCCCCATGGCTTTGTCCTTTGGCCCCTTGGGGTTGAGCACTGGCTGTGCTGAGGAATGGGGGAGGCTGAATCTTTCCCAGGCCACCAGCAAAGCAATCAGGTGGGGCAAGTGTGTGCACGCTCTTGCACAAGCAGCCAGGCAGGGGCCTTAGGAGGAGCCAGTGGATAGGGGGGTGTGCAGATCAGATGCACCCTAGTACTGCAGGAAAGACAGCTCTGCTCTCTCCCAGCCTGGCAGTCAGCAAGGGCTAGAGTCACTCAGAGCAAAATGGAGAGCCTTGGAGGATGGACACCTATGGTCACATTTTGCTGCAGTTGTCCCCCATGCAAAACCTTTTGGGCTTAGCACAGGTTCGAGTTCTGCCTCTGCCTACTTTCCAGGCAGTTCCCCTGCAAATTAAAATGTCTATGGGGGTCATGGGATCTCTTGTAGCTGAATCTCTTCCTTAGGACCTGCTTAGGGCCAGGAGCTGGTCCTGGTGCTCAGCAACTCTATGAAGTATTCCCAGCTTCCACCCTGTTCAACCTTATTGTCGGTGTTGCCTCTCTATTGACTTTCTGTATTTTCTCTCAAAAGATCTGTTTGAAATGTGTTGGATTAGTCAATTTTTGGTTTCTCTCAGTGGGAGAGGCATTTCCTGGCTGCATCTAGTCAGCTATCTTGTTCTTCTCAATCCTTTTCAATTTCTTTCATCAGTATTTTGTAGTTTTCCTCGTAGAGATCTTTCGCTTTCTTGGTTAAATGTATTTCTAGGTATTTTTTTAAATTTATTTTTGTAGCTATCATAAATAGAATTGCCTTCTTGATTTCTTCCTTGGCTAGTTCATTAATGTTGTATAGAAATGCTGCTGATTCTTGTGTGTTGATTTTGTATCCTGCAACTTTACTGATTTATCATATCTAAGAGTTTTTTGATGGAGTCTTTATGTTTTTCTAGGTATAAGATCATAGCTTTAGAAAAGAAGGACAATTTGACTTCCCTTTTCCAATTTGGGTGCCTTTTATTTCTTTCTCTTGCCTGATTGCTCTGGCTAGGACTTTCACTCCTATGCTGAATAGGAGTGGTGAGAGTGGGCATCTTTGTCTTGTTCCAGTTCCTAGAGGAAAGGCCTTCAGCTTTTCCCCATTCTGTATAATGTTAGCTGTGAGTTTGTCATATACGGCCTTTAATTTGTTGTGGCATGTTCCTTCTGTGCCTGTTTTGTTGAGAGCTTTTATCATGAAAGGATGTTGAATTTTTATCAAATGCTTTTTCTGTATCTATTGAGATGATCATATGGCTTTTGTCCTTCACTCTGTTGATGTGATGTATCACATTTATTGATTTGCATTTGTTGAACCATACTTGCATGCCTGGGATAAATCCCACTTTGTTATAGTGGGTTTTTAAAATGCGCTTTTGGATTCAATTTGCTAATGTTTTGTTGAGGATTTTTGCATCTGTATTCATCAGATATATTGGCCCAGAGTTTCCTTTCTTTCTTTATTTATTTTGTTTCATCTTTGTCTGGTTTTGGTAACGGGGTAATGCTGGATTCATAGAATTAGTTGGGAGAGGCTTCTCCTTTTCAATTTTCTGAAATAGTTTGGAGAATTGGTGTTAATTTCTTTTCTAAAGTTTAGTAGAATTCAGCAGTGAAGTCATTTAGTCCAGAGCTTTTTCTTTTGTTGGGAGAGTTTTGATTACTGCTTTGACTTCATTACTTGTTATTAATCTTTTCAGGATTTTCTATTTCTTCCTGTTAAAGCAAACTATGGCCTGAGAAGGACTCCGTACTTCTATATTTCAGTCCTTATGGATGAACTGTAACCTAGCTTAATAGGCAGACAAGATCGAAAACCTAACTTAGGAGTATGAGCCTGGAACAATAGCTGAGTCTTGGCCAATCCCAGTGGCCATATTTCAACCACTCATAGACTGCTAAGTGTTCATACTGTGTTCAAATAAGGCAAACGCCAACCTTTAACCAATCCAGGTGTTTCTGTACCTCACTTCCGATTTCTGTACGTCATTTCTCTTTTTGTGTCTGTAAGGTTTTTTTGTTTTTTTTGTTTTTTTTTTTGTTTGTTTGAGACATAGTCTCGCTCTGTTGCCCAGGCTGGAGTGCAGTGGCACAATCTCAGCTCACTGCAACCTCCGCCTCCTGGGTTCAAGTGATTCTCCTGCCTCAGCCTCCTGAGTAGCTGGGATTACAGGTGCCCACCACCATGCCCAGCTAATTTTTTTTTTTTCTTATATTTAGTAGAGATGGGGTTTCACCATGTTGGTCAGGCTGGTCTCAATCTCCTGACCTCAAATGATCCTCCCACCTTGGCCTCCTGAAATGCTAGGATTACAGGCATCAGCCACTGTGTCTGCTCTGTCTATAAATTTGTTCTGACCACAAGGCATCCCTGGAGTCTCCTGAATCTGCTGTGATTATGGAGGCTGCCTCATTTGCAAATCGTTCATTGTTCAATTAAACTCCTTTAAATTTAATTCAGCTGAAGTTTCTCTTTTAACATTTCTGATTCAATCTCGGTAGGCTATATGTGTCCCAGGAATATGTCCATTTACTCTCGCTTTTCCAGTTTGATAGTGTATCATTATTCATAAAGTCTCTGATTATCTTTTGTATTTCTGTCTTATCAGTTGTAATGTCTTCTTTTTCATTTCTGATTTTGTTTATTTGGGTCTTCTGTCTTTTTTCTCAGTCCAGCAAGTGATTTATCAATTTTGTTTATATTTTAAAAAACACAACTTTTGTTTCATTGATCCTTTGGTGTTTTGGGTTTTTTTTTCTTTTTAGTCTCTATTGTGTTTAGTTCTGCTTTGATCTTTATTATTTATTTCCTTCTACTAATTTTGGATTTGGTTTGTCCTTGCTTTTCTAGTTCCTTGAGGTGCATCATAAAATTGTTTATTTGAAATCTTTCTACTTATTTGCTGTAGGCACTTATTTGCTATGAACTTCCCTCTTAGCATTGCTTTTGCTGTATCCCACAGGTTTTGGTATATTGTGTGTGTTTCTATTTTCATTTGTTTCAAGAAATTTTTTTATTTCTTCCCTGGCCCAGTTGTCATTCAGGGGCATATTGTTTAATTTCCATGTATTTGTTCAGTTTCCAAAGTTCCTCTTGTTATTAATTTCTACTTTTATTCCACTGTGGTCTGAGAAGACACTTCATATAATTTTAATGTTTAAAAATTTTTCGATACTTGTTTTGTGTCTTAATATATCATGTATCCTGAAAGAATGTTCTGTGTGCTGATGAGAAGAATATGTATTCTGTAGCTATTGGGGGAAATGTTCTGTAAATATCTGGCAGTCCATTTGGTCTAGTATGTAGTTTAAATTATTTTTTTTTCTGTTAATTGTCTGTCTAGATGATCTGTTTAATGCTGAGAATGAAGTGTTGAAATCCCCGACTATCATTGTATTGGAATCTATCTCTCCCTTTAAATCTAATGTTTGCTTTTATATCTGGGTGCTCCAGTGTTGGGTGCATATATGTTTAGAATTGTTATATATCTTCTTGCTTAACTGATCCCTTTATTATTATATAGTGATCTTCTTTGTCTTTATTAACTGTTTTTGACTTAAAGTCTGTTTTATCTGATGTAAGTATAGCTACTTCTGCTCACTTTTGGTTTCCATTTGTATAGGATATCTTTTTTCATTCCTTTACTTTTAGTCTACATGTGTCTATGTGTGAGATGAATTTCTTTTAGGCAGCATTTAGTTGGGTCATGTTTTTTTCTCCATTCAGTTAGTCTATATCTTTTCAGTGGAAAGTTTAATTCATTTACATTCAAGGTTATTATTGATATGTGGGGACTTATTTCTGTCATTTTATTAATATATTTCTGGTTATTTTTTGTATCCTTTGTTCCTTTATTTCTCTTTTATTGTTTATCACTGTGGTTTGGTGGTTTTCCATAGTGATAATGTTTGAGTATTTTTCTTGTTTTTGAGTTTACTCTATCTGTGGGTTTTATATCTGTATGTGTTTTCATGATGGTAGATATATTTCTTTCACTACTGAGTGTAGAATTTCTTAAGCATTTCTTGTATGACTGATCTAGTTGTGATGAATTCCCTAAACTTTTGCTTGTCTGGGAAAGGCTTTATTTCTCATTCACTAATGAAGGATAACTGTGCTGGTTATAGTATCCTTCACTGACCATTTTTTTTTCTTTCAGCACTTTAAATATATCATCCCATTCTCTCCTGGACTGTAAGGTTTTTGCCAAAAATCTGCTGTTAGTCTGATGGGAGTTCCTTTATAAGTGACTGCCAAGACCAGCTCGGTTGGGGAGACCCTAACTCAGCAGCGCCAGAGGAATTAAAGACACACACACAGAAATATAGAGGTGTGGAGTGGGAAACCAGGGGTCTCACAGCCTTCAGAGATGAGAGCCTCAGACAGAGATTTACCCACATATTTATTAACAGCAAGCCAGTGATTAGCATTGTTTCTATAGATTATAGGTGAACTAAAAGTATTCCTTATGGGAAACAAAGGGATGGGCCGAAATAAAGGGATGGGTTTGGCTAGTTGTCTGCAGCAGGAGCATGTCCTTAAGGCACAGATCGCTCATGCTATTGTTTGTGGTTTAAGAACACCTTTAATAATCCCAGCACTTTGGGAGGCCGAGGCGGGCGGATCACGAGGTCAGGAGATCGAGACCATCCCGGCTAAAACGGTGAAACCCCGTCTCTACTAAAAATACAAAAAATTAGCCGGGCGTAGTGGCGGGCGCCTGTAGTCCCAGCTACTTGGGAGGCTGAGGCAGGAGAATGGCGTGAACCCGGGAGGCGGAGCTTGCAGTGAGCCGAGGTCCCGCCACTGCACTCCAGCCTGGGCGACAGAGCGAGACTCCGTCTCAAAAAAAAAAAAAAAAAAAAAGAACACCTTTAAGTGGTTTTCTGCCCTGGGTGGGCCAGGTGTTCCTTGCCCTCATTTCGGTAAACCCACACCCTTCCAGTGTGGACGTCATGGCCATCATGAAGATGTCACAGTGCTGCAGAGATTTTGTTTATGGCCAGTTTTGGGGCCAGTTTATGGCCAGATTTTGGGGGGCCTGTTCCCAACAAGTGCTAGATGCTTTTGCTGTTTTTAGAACTCTTTGTCTTTGACTTTTGACAGTTTAACTGTAATGTGCTGTGGAGAATACCTTTTTGCATTGTATCTATTTGGGAATTTTTCAGCCTCTTGTATCTGGATGTTTAGCTTTCTTGCTAGACTTGGACAGTTTTCATCTATTATTTTGTTAAATAACTTTCATTTTGTCTTCACCTTCTAGGACTCTGAAATTTTGAATATTTGGTCACCTTATGGTGTCCTAATAGTCACATAAGCTTTGCTCATGTTTTAAAATTATTTTTTCTTTATTTTTGTCTGACTGGTTTATTTCAAAAGACCTGTCTTCAAATTTGAAGCTCTTTTCTTCTCCTTGATGTAGTCTATTGTTGAAGTTTTCAACTGTAGTTTCTATTTCATTCAATGAATTCTGTAGTTTCATAATTTCTGGTTGATTCTTTTTATGATAACTATCTCTTTGGTAAATTTCTCATTCATACCTTGAATTGTTTTTCTGATTTCTTTGTATTTTTCAGGATTCTCTTGTATCTCACTGAGCCTCTTTAAAAATCAATATTTTGAATTCTTTTTTTAGGATTTTATAAATTTCTTTTTTTACTTAGATATGTTACTGGAGAATTATTATGTTCCTTTGGAAGTGTCATACTTTCTTGCTGTTTCATGTTTCCTGTGTACTTATATTGACATCTGTGCATTTGGTGTAACAGTTGCTTCTTCCAGTTTTTGAATTTGCTTTCATAGGGGAGGACTTTTTCCTGAAGATGTATCTATGGTATTGTTTGTGTAGGAAACTTTGGCCTTGATTCTGGGTGTGTACAGTAATGTAGTCTCTGTATGATTTCTATGGCTATAGGCAGTGTTAGTGATGTCTGTGATTTCTTCAATGGCTTAGGATGAGGTCATTAGTGGAGGCTGTGGTGAAGTATTGCTGGGGACTGGGACACCAGGTGGGCCAGTCTTTGGGACCTAATGGTGACAGTGGTAGGCTGAGTGTGTCTGTCCTTAAGCCCGAGGGTGGCATATGCTGGCACCAGTGTTAGCGGGTCCAAGCATGCTGATTCTTGGGCTTCCAGGTGGCTTGTTCATATGCTGGTGGCAGTGGTTGGCTGGCAGGTGGGCAGCTTCTCAGGAACCTGGACAGTAGGCATGTTGTGAGTGATGGCAGTGGCAGTGGTGAGACAATTCTCTGGGTCCCAAGCAGTATGCAGTGGTGTTGGCAGTGGCTGCAATGGGCTAGGCCATCTAGTCTCCAGGTCTGCAGGTGTTGTGTGCAAGTAGGTGCCAGCTGCGGTGGTAGTGGAAGGGTGGGTGGGGCCAACCTCAGGCCCCCAGGAGGAGTTTTCAGGTGCTGACACTAGTGGACTGGGCTGGATGAACCTCAGGCCCACAGACTATATGCTCTGGCATGGATTATGGGAAAGCCAGCCTGAGCAGGCTTGTAGTCAGCTCCCCACAACAATGGTGCATACTGGCACTGGCTGTGGTAGGCAGAAACAGAGTGATCCCCAGGCCCCCAGCAGAATGCTTAGGGTTGTGGCAGCAGAAACTGCATTATGGCCCTGCTCCTGGAGAGGGTGAAGTTGCTTTCAGTGGCAGCAGTTATATGTAGGCGAGCTTGGTTTATGCTTCAGACCTAATGGCAGCAGCCCTTTCACTCACACTGTAGCCCCAGCAGCATAGTAACAACAGCTATGTGCAGAGGATTCTGTCTGGGTGTGTGAAAATGTGCAGTGGCTCTGCTTCTGGAGGGAGTGGGGTTAGTGGCCTGCACTTCAGCCTCAGTGGCAGCAGCCAGCTGTGGTGGTAGCTGCAGGTGGGGAATCTCAGTGGGCGCCAGGGCCATGGAGATGCAGGCACTGCTGGGTCCCAGGGAGAGTGCCGTTCGCATGGTGTTGGGCTCTCAAAATAGCACCTTGCACAGGAGCTGCTGATGCCTTGGGGATGTGTGGGATCCAGTGTGAACTCCCTCTCTGGGGCAGTGCCATTGTGTGGTCTCCAGGAAGCTCTCTGTTTTCGTCTCAGGGCCCCTGTGGGTCAGGGGCTCTACCATGGCTAGGACTGCAGGAGTCCACGCATGGCTGGGACTGCAGGAGTCCACGGTGAGAATGTGGACCACGAGGCATCTCTCACTTCCCTTTTCCCCACAATGGGGAGTCTCTACAGACTCCTAGCTGGTCCTGGCTGAGCAGGCTGCCTTGCTTCCCTTTTATTCCTTGCCTTAGGTGTTTCCTGACACTTCTCCAATGAATTCCAGTGTTTTTTTTGGATGACCTATTTGAAATGTGACTATCTACTCACTATTTAGGTTCTTCTTTGTGGAGGAGGCAAGTACCAGCCATCTTTAAGCCCCTCTGACTTGAACTTCTGAGAACCAGAATCTTCCTAGAGGCCTTAAGTACATGATGAGATGGTATCTGAAGAAGATGAATCTGTTTATTTGCAGTAGTGGAAGAAAACAGTGGCATAAGTAATCACAAATAGCAGATTATTATAAAACGATGTAGCAGGTGCTATAATATCCTCAATCTGTTTTTTTCAAGCTATGAGTTTCAGAATGCTAGGGCTCCTGGGAAAGGCCTTGGGGATGCTAAGTGGGGTGGGTGGATGAGGCAAAGCTGAGGGGAAGCGGGACTCAGCACCCCTCTCCCTTTCCCACCTTAACTGGAACAGCACTGCTTTTATTGTTTTAACACATGGAGTTCCAGATGACGTTTATTTTCAGACAAGAATTTAATAGATCTTAACTGAACAACATCAATTAATTACAGAAATACATAGCCAGACAAATGTGCCAGGAGGGGGTTGTTTGAGGATAAATACTTTGCTGGGCATTCACCTCCCAGGGCTGTTAGAGATTACTTCACATTTTCACCTGTGAGATACCAGCTCTGACGAGGGGAAGATTCTCCCGGAGAAGACAGATTTGGAAGGCTGCTTTGGAAGGCTGCGGATATGCCTGTGCCTCAGGAAACGATTGAACCTGGCTCACTTTATTCAACACACTGTGCCTTTCAACTCTTAGCCCGGGGGTCTGTCTCAGGCCCAGTCAGGCTCTGTCTTCAACTTGATTCCCTCAGCAAGTTCCAAGGCCTACTTTCCTCTTCTGGTAGCTACCCCCTGAGGCAGATTTGGAGTGGGGCAATTCCTCCCTCCCAAACCCTCCCCCCTTCTCTTTGTTACCCCAGACAAACATTCAAGAGCTTTTCACCCTGGATAATTAGACCAGGGCAACAAAAACAACAAACCTAGGGAAGTTACACAGGTTCTAGATTCTTATAAATATATTTTGAATACTGTGGCTTTTGTCTGCTTCACAAGAGATAATAATGGATAAATTCTGCCCTCCACATTTATTTATTTATTTTTATTTTATTTTATTTATTTTTACGAACGAGGCAATTTATTAACCTAGCATGGTTTGTTCTAATGCTTCTTGTTGTCAGCTGCCACCTCTCCGGTGATTCTGTCCACATCTCTCTGTCCCTGAGGTATTAGTTTGTGGCCCCCATCTTGGCCCTTTTCCACCATTTTCAGCCCCTCCAGGGCTTGGAGAACCTGGCGGGCCACACTCTTGGAGCCTCGACTGAAGTGGCTGGGCATGATGCCATCTTTGATGTCCCCCATCGATCTTGGTCATGGAGCCAACCCCAGAGGTACAGGTGCCGCGCTGTGGAAGCAGCTCGTGTGTAGAACCAGTTCTCATAACAGGGAGCAAGCTCTTTATGCTTGGCCACCCATTTGGGGATTTTCAGCTGCCCAGACTTTTTGAGAAAGGCTGCCAGAGCTCTGACGAACTCCTGCTGGTCCACATCTTTTACAGTAACTCCAGGCATCCTGCGGCCTCTGCGCTGCCAGCCGGGGGAAAGGGCCACATTTATTTTTAAATGACCTCACCAATGATCTTTCATTCAGTCCTGACTCTTAGATGTCCCCAAGGAATGATGTGAGCCCGCCCCTTGTCTTAGGAGTTCTCTGATCTTCTGTCCCACATGAAGAGGATCCCCTTTAAGCAGTTTCTCATTGTCATGCTTTTATCCCATTACTTCATACATGACCTTATACTATGTGTTCTGGGTTCTTTTTTTTTTTTTTTTTGAGATGGAGTCTCGCTCTGTCACCCAGGCTGGAGTGCAGTGGCACAATCTTGGCTCACTGCAGGCCTGCCTCCCGGGTCTATGCCATTCTCCTGCCTCAGCCTCCCGAGTAGCTGGGACTACAGGCGCCCACCACCACACCCGGCTAATTTTTTGTATTTTTAGTAGAGATGGGGTTTCACTGTGTTAGCCAGGATGGTCTCTATCTCCTGACCTCGTGATCCGCCCGCCTCTGCCTCCCAGAGCGCTGGGATTACAGGCGTGAGCCACTGCGCCTGGCTGGGTTCTTAAGGATGTGTAACAAATCACCCAAAATTTGACGGCTTAAAATAATGATTTACTATTTCTCATGGTTTCCACTGGTCAGGAATTTAAGGAGGTCTCCACTGGGCAGTTCTGGCTCAAGGTCTCTCATACGCTTGCAATAATATGTCAGCTGAGGCTACAATCATCTGAAGGCTTTACTAGGATAGGAGGATCCACTTCCAAGGTGGCTCATACACATGAATGGCAAATTGGTTGCTGGCCATTGTCCAGGGACTCAGTTCCTCTCCATGTGGGCCTCTCCACATTGCAGCTTGAGTGTTCCCATGGCAGCTGGCCTCCCCCAGGGCAAGAAATCCAAGAGACCAAGATGGGTGCTGGAATGACTTTTATAACTTAGCCTTGAACATCATACACTATCAATTCTACCCTCTTTTACTGGCCACAAAGGTCCAGCCCTGATTCAATGTGAAAGGGGATTACAAAAGGAGGCAAGGGTCATTGGAAGTCATCTTGGAGGCTGGCTCACCATACTATAGAAGGGCTAGAAGAAGACCAGGCTCAAATAAAAAGAAAAGGCAGCTAGTAGATGCCCTGGAATGCAAACTAGGTATTGAGTGAGTAAGAGAGAGTCTCTGCCCTCTTGAAGCTTATAATCTAGTGGGAATGACAAGTTTCATAAGAATAATTGCACTTGGAATAAAACCCAATATCCTGAACCTTGCCCCTACCTATTCTTTTCTTCTCCTCATCTCCTTTCTCACTGAGCGCCAGCCACACTTCATTCCTTCAACAGGCTGAGCTCTTACCTTCCTTAGGGCCTTTGTACTTTCTATTCCCCAGAATGCCCTCCCCTGATCTCTGCATGGCCAGCGCTTTCTCACCATTCAGGTCTCTGACTTAAATGCTACCTGATATTTTCTTGGGTATTTGTTGTCTGCCTCCCCCTACTAGAAAGTAAGCCACATGACAACAGAGACTTGTTAAGTCTCCTTCACTTCTACCTCCCCAGACCTGAAATGGCACTTGTTACATATTAAGTGATGAATATATAGCCTAATGAGCAAACGAAATACCCACTTTCTGACCAAATTGTATAAAATTTTCCTTCTAGAATATTGTAAACTCAAGCTCTATCCCTATTTCTTGGCCATCTTGCAATCTAAAGGTTGGTGAATTACAGACTTATTCTACGATCTAACCTTGCGGATTCCTTGCCGCTGAGCAAATGGGTACCTCTGCCATGCCTGATTTCTAGATCCAGTTACTTCTTCCCAGGCTGACTATATTATTTGTATTTTTCCACAGGACTGAGTCCTCCATTTCTGATTGCCTTTCCTTGGTTTCCTGTCCCAACTTTCCTCCCTCCTCCAAAGGAAGGGCAATTCCAGCCTTGTTTTGCTACACTTGTGTTTTCAGCTTTCTTGGGCTAAAATATTAAAAGCATTGCTCATTAGCAACCCAGATTTCCTGCTTTTCAGGGGAAACGACATGATGAGCAGGGCCCCATGTGTATTTATTTCAAAAATATGTTTTTTAATTTGAAAGCAAATGGAGGCTGCAGGTCTGCAGGTCATTTCACCTGCTGTGGCATGTGATTAGTGAGGCCTTTTCTCTCTGGGTGGTGATGCCAGCTAATGGACTCATGCTCCCTATGTATGTTTATCTTCAGTTAATTAAAATTTTGCCAAATCTTCCTCACAGCGCTTGTGCACAGCAAGGCCAAGCCTTGACTTGTGGCACTGATCCGGGCTGGCAAGGTAGATGGGGGCGGTCATCCTATTAAATATTAATCTAAGAAGGCAATCAAGCCTGTGGGCTTCCACCCCTGAGGTTCTCCCACTGGGAAGTCACAAATCAATGCCAGAGCTCCATGCTTGTGGCAACTTTTCCTGCCAGGCCTGAGTCAGCAAAAGACGCAGTTTTACCGAACAGTTATTTGACAATAAATCTGAGTAGAATTCTGGGAGATCTCTCTTAAATACTGGAATGAATTACACACACATCTACCTGGGAAGGGAATGTTAACTAGCTGGTGAAACTGTACCTTATGAATGATGAATGGGCCACTTTGCCAGGATTTATTTTGAAGTTACAGGTCAGATGAAGACGCTATAGCAAGTATCCTATACTTCAGACGGCAGTTTTGAAAATCTGCCTATGCCAGGGATGGGGGAGGAGATTAAAGGTTCAGTTGGCTCCCAAAGCCTCCATTGCCCCATTTTCAGAAATGTGGACATTGCCTCCTCAGAAGTTCACCTTCCTTCAATCACTTCAGTCACCTTCCTTCTGTCCTAGCTGCCAAGTCATTTCGGCAGATTCTTCTGCTGACAAACACGAAAGATAGAGCACTCTATTGTGGGCTGAATTTTGTTCCCCAAAAAGATACGTTAAAGTCCTAACCCCCAGGACTGTGAATGGGGCTTTAATTGGAAATAGGATCTTTGCAGATGTAATTAATTAAGATGGGTGGGCCCTGATCCAATGATGGTCATCCTTATAAGAAGAGATAACAGACACACACAGGAAGCCTGCCGTGTGACAAGGGAGGCAGAGATAGGGGTCAGGCATCTACAAGCCAAAGAATGCCAAGGAATGTCAGCAGCCATAAGAAGCTAGGAAGAAGCACATACGGATCTCCTAGAGCCTTCAGAGAGAGCACGGCCCTGCCACCATATTGATTTCAGACTTCCAGCCTCCAGAATTGTGAAAGAGTACATTTCTGTTGTTTTAACGCAGCAAGTTTGTGGTACTTTGCTATGGCAGCTCTAGGAAACTAACACACACTCTACTCCTAACCCTGATGCTGACTGCCATGGCCGTTTGCCTCCTCTACAGACCTCGTTGATAGGCTCAGTCACCCTGATCTCCTTCCCTTCCTGGGAGGAAGTGGGAAACTAGGCTAGGAAGAAAGCCTCATCACATCTCAAGTCTTGCCCATGATTTTTGAAACATCTCTGCCCACATTCTTGCCTAAGTAGGGGTCAGTGAACATAATAATATCTCTCTTTAATGAGGGAGAATGTCACTCTTCTTCAGGCGTCATCACTCTAAATTGAAGTCTCATGGGCTGGCATCACAGATACAGAGAGAATAAGAGCGATACATTTGTGCTGACCCTGACACATGTTCTAGAAATCAAATTTTTATTTTCACATTCCTGGCTAATTCTTTGTCTCTTCCAAAAGTTGAATGTTACAGGCCGGGCTTGGTGGATCACCTGAGGCAGGAGTTCGAGACCAGCCTGGCCAACATGGCAAAATCCCGTCTCTACTAAAAATACAAAAATGGCTCACACCTGTTATCCCAGCACTTTGGGAGGCCGAGGAGGGCAGATCACCTGAGGTTGGGAGTTCGAGACCAGCCTGACCAACATGGAGAAACCTGTCTCTACTAAAAATACAAAATTAGCCAAGTGTGGCAGCACATGCCTGTAATCCCAGCTACTCAGGAGGCTGAAGCAGGAGAATCGCTTGAACTCAGGAGGCAGAAGTTGCGGTGGGCAGAGATCATGCCATTGCGCTCCAGCCTGGGCAACAAGAACGAAACTCCATCTCAAAAAAAAAAATTAGCCAGGCGTGGTGGCATGTGCCTGCAGTCCCAGCTACTTGGGAGGCTGAGGCAGGAGAATCACTTGAACCCAGGAGGCGGGGGTTGTAATGAGACAAGATCGCGCCACTGCACTCTGGCCTGGGCAACAGAGTGAGACTCTGTCTCAAAAAGAAAAAAAAAAAAGTTGAATGTTACAAAAATCCAGTTAAATGGAGGGTTTGAGCCAGGGAAATCTCTAAGAATAAAGGCTGTACAATATTTTGTTGTCTTGAGATAGCTAAGGAAAGGGACATTGAACTTGAGGTCAGAAAACTTAGGCCTGAATTCCAGCTCTGTTCATCCTCACAACATCCTTGCAGGTTACATATAATTAGCCCTGTGTACACGTGGCCAGGTGAGCTGAGGCTGCTCCTTGTCCCACTTCAAAACAGACATACTTACAGGAACTGGGAAGGTGGCTTCTGCTTGGTCTTTGTTTTGCTGAGTGGGATACACAAGCTGAGGGTAGAGATGAACTGCTCTGGACAACAGAATGAGTTTTAAGAAGTTGTAGAGGTAAAAAAGAGAAACAAAATTATTAGCAGGGAAAAAAAAATGTGTGAGGCAAGATGAAGAGGAGTGGCTGATGAAGAATTTGGTTTAGTTTCTACTGTGTGGTATACTATATGTATCTTCTTCGCTATGTCTCCAAAAAGATCTAATTAATATGTTATGATTTGGAACTGATTTTGGAGGTGGACATCTGATGAGGAACAGATTGTCCAAGGAGATCCAGCTATCCCAGGGCTACAGAGAAGCTGATGTCCAGAGAAGTTCAGCTAACCATAGGACTATAGAGTGCTGCTGCTTTCCACAGATCTGACTACCACATTACTAGAGGCCTGTTTACTGCGTTTCCTTTTAACTAGTACATCATGTCGACCTTTCAGCAGAAAATTGCAAAGCATACTAAAAGACAAAAAACACAGTTCGAAAAGACAGAGCAAGCATCAGAACCAGAGTCAGATATGGCAGGAACATTGGAACTATCAGAACAGGAATTTTTAACACTATGATTAATATGCTAAGGGCTTTAATGAAAAAATAGATAACATGCAAGAACAGATGGGTAATGTGAACAGAGAGATGAAAACTCTAAGACAGAATAAGAAGGAATAGCTAGAAATTAAAAAAAAAAAAGTAACAGCAATGAATACCTTTGATGGGCACACCAGTAGACTGGACACAGCTAAGGAAAAAATTTCTGAGCTTGAGGATATGACAATAGAAACTCCCTAAATGAAAACCAGTCAGAAAAAAAAGATTTTGAAAAACCCAAAAAAGGATATCGGGAACCATGAGACAAATACAAACGGGGTAGCATAGGTAGAGTGGAAATGCCAGGAGAAGAAAGAGAGAAAGAACCAGAAGCAATATTTAAAGCAATAATGACTGATAATTTTTCACCCAACCACAGATCCAGAAATCTCAGAAAACAGCAAGAAGAATAAATGCCAAAAACAAAACAAAACTATACCTGGGCATATCATATTCAGAATTCAGAAAATTAAAGATTAAAAATAAATCTTAATAGAAGCCGGAAGGAAGAAAATAAACACCTATAGAGGAGCAAAGACAAGAATTATATCAAACTCTTGCCAAGTGCGGTGGCTCACGCCTGTAATCCCAGCACTTTGGAGAAGCTGAGGCAGGTGGATCACTTGAGGCCAGAAGTTTGAGACCAGCCTGGCCAACACAGAGAAACCCCATCTCTACCAAAAAATACAAAAATTAGTCGGGCATAGTGGCACACACCTGCAGTCCCAGCTACTTAGGAGGCTGAGGCAGGAGAATTGCTGAAACCGGGGTGCAAAAGTTGCAGTGAGCCCAGATTGCACCACTGCACTCCAGCCTGGGTGACAGAGCGAGATTCCGTCTCAAAAAAAAAAGAATTATGTCGAACTCTGACTTCTCACCAGAAACCGTGCAAGCATGAAGAGAATGAAGTGAAATATTTAGAGTATTGAGAGAAAAAAATTCACCAACTTAGAATTCTGTCCCTGTGAAATTATCCTTCAAGAGTGAAGGAGAAATAAACTTTCTCAGACAAACAAAAATTGAGGGAATTTGTTGCTGGTTGGTCTGCCTTGCAAGAAATATTAAAGGAAGTTCTTCAGAGGGAAGGACAATTATGTAGGTCAGAAACTCAGATCTATACAAAGAAAACAAGAGTATCAGACAATGAATAGGTGAAGGTAAAAATAAAAACTTTTATTTCCTTATTCTTAATTGGCCTAACAAAGAAGTTTAGTAAAAATTATAATAGCAACAGTGTATTTGATTATGCCTATATTATGTGCATATGTCAAATATATAGGCACACATAAATGAATATATATTATTTATTATATATGCTTATGTATAAGTAAAATGAATAACAGAAATGATATGAGGGATGGAAGAGAGGAATTAGGAATATTCCATTATTATAAGATACTTGCCAGGAAACCACCATGGCACATGTATACCTATGTAATAAACCTGCACATCCTGCACATGTATCCCAGAACCTAAAGTAAAATTTTAAAAAAAAGAAACATTAAAATATTTCTATTTTTATACAGAGGGAAAAAAAGATACTTGCCCTACTCATTTTATTTGAAATTAGACTTGGATTAGTTATAAATAGATATTCCAAACTCTAAGGCAACCAGGAAAACAAGTAAAAAAAGAAGTACAACTGACATGCCAAGAGAGGAGAGAAAATGGAATCACATAAAATGCTCTGTTAAAACTACAAAAGAGCCCGGGCAACATAATGAGACCTCATCTCTACAGAAAAAAAAAAAAAAAAAAAAAGCCAGGTGTTGTGGTACATGCCTATAGTCGCGGCTACTCAGGAGGCTGAGGCAGGAGGATGGCTTGAGCCCAGGAGATTGAGGCTACAGTGAGCTACGATCATGCCACTGCACTCCAGCCAGGGAAACAGAGCAAGACCCTATCTCAAAAGAAAAAAAAAAAAAAAAAAAAGCCAGAAAAAGTGGAAGACAAAAATAGGAACAAAGAACAAGGGCACCCTTCTACTAGAAATGGACAAATCCAGCAGGCAGAAAATCAGTAAGGACATAGATGAGCTCAACAACACCATCAACCAACTGGATATAATTGACATCTGTAGACTACTTTATCTAACAACAGCAGATTACACATTCTTCTCAAGCTTACATGGAACATTCATCAAGATAGACCACATTCTGAACCATAAAATACACCTTAACAAATAGAAAAGAATAGAAATTATGTTTGCTCTCAGACCACAATAAAATTAGAAATTAATAACAAAGATAGCTGGAAAATACCAAAATGCTTGGAGAGTAAGCAACACATTTCAAAATAACACATGGGTTAGAGAATAAATTTCAAAAGAAATTAAAAAATATTTTAAGCCAAATGAAAATACAACTTATCAAAAGTTGTAGGATGTAGCATAAGCACTGCTTGGGGAAAATTTATAGCATTGAATGCATGTATTACCAAAAAAGATATATCTAAAATCAATAATCTAAGTGTCCTCTGCCTGGGTGACAGACTGTGTCTCAAAAAAATATTAAAAAAAAACTAAGTGTCCACCTTTGGAAACTAGAAAAAGAGCAAATTAAGTCCAAAGGAAGCAGAAAAAAAGAAATAATAAAAATTAGACCAAAAATTAAAGAAATTGAAAACAGAAAAGCAATAGAGAAAATAAACAAAGCTAGAAGCTGGTTCTTTGTTTTTGTTTTTGTTTTTGTTTTTGTTTTTTGAGACAGTCTTGCTTTGTCGCCCAGGCTGGAGTGAGGTGGCATGATCTCGGCTCACTTCAACCTCCGCCTCCCATGTTCAAGAGGTTTTCTTGCCTCAGCCTCCTGAGTAGCTGGGACTACAGGCACGTGCCACTGCACCCGGCTAATTTTTATATTTTCAGTAGAGACGGGGTTTCACCATGTTTGCCAGGCTGGTCTTGAACTCCTCACCTCAAGTGATCTGCCTGCCTTGGCCTCCCAAATTGTTGGGATTACAGATGTGAGCCACCCCACCCGGCCTGAAGCTTGTTCTTTGAAATTATCAATAAAATCAGTAAGTATCTAGCCAGACTAAGAAAAAGAGAAGATTCAAACTATTAACATCAGAAATTGAAGATGAAACATCACTATAGATCCCATGGACATTAAAAGAATAATATGAACAATTCTACACCCACAAATCTGATAACCTACATGAAATGGACCAATTTCTTGAAAGAGATAATCTGCCAAAACTTACACTGGAAAAAAATAGACAATCTGAATATATCTATTAAAGAAGTTGAATAAATAATTAATAACCTTCTGAAACAAAACATGACATGCCCAGATGGGTTAATTGGTGAGTTCTACCATACATTTAAGGAAAATTTATACCATTCCTCTATAGTCTCTTTCAAAAGACGGAAGTAGAGAGAATGCTTGCTAACTCATTCAATGAGGCCATTACCCTGATATCAAAACCATCACAAGAAAAAAAAAACTTTGAACCAATATTTCTCATGACATGGATACAAACATTCCCAATAATAATTAGCAAATCAACTCCAACAATGTATAAAACTAATTACACACCATGACCGTCTTAGTCCATTCAGGCCGCTATAACGAAATAACATAAACTGGGTGGCTTAAACAACATTTATTCTTACAGTTCTGGAATTTGGGAAGTCCAAAATCAAAATGAAAGCAGATTTGGTGCCTAGTGAGAGCCAGCTTCCTGGTTCACAGATGGCCATCTTTTTGCTACATCCTTATATGGCAGAAGAGACAATGAAGCCTCTGGGGTTTCTGTTTTAGGGGCACTAATCCCATTCATGGGGGTTCTGCCCACATGCCCTAATCACTTCCCAAAGCCCCATTTCCAAATACCTTCACATTGAGGATGAGGTTTCAACATAGGAATTTTAGGGAACACAAATATTCAGTCTATAGCCATGACCAAGTGGGATTTATTCCATGTATTCAATGCTGATTTAACATTCAAAAATCAATTAATGTAACCCATCACATCAACTGGCTTAAAGGAGAAAAATCACATGATCATATCAATAGATGCAGAAAAAGCATTTGATAAAATCCAATGTCCATGCATAATTAAAAAAATAATAAACCCAGCGCAAACTAGAAATAAAGGGTAATTTCCTCAACTTGATACACATCTATAAAGAAACCTATAGTTAATATCATACTTAATGGTGAAAAACTTAAAGCTGTCCTGCTAAGATCAGGAAGAAGGCAAGGATGTCCCCTCTCACCATTGTGTTTCAGCATTGTACTGGAAGTCCTAACTAACGAGACAATAAAAATAAGTAAAAGATATGCAGATTGGGAAAAAAAAAAACTGCCCACGTTCACAGATGACATGATTGTCTATGTAAGAAATCTGAAAAAATTGACCAAAAAAAAAAGACTCCTGGAACTAATAATTGAGTATAACAAGGCTCCAGGATATAAGGTTAACATACAAAAGTCAGTCACTTTCCTATATACCAACCATTGCTGATATGACAAGTAAAATTTGAAATTAAAAACACATTACCATTGCATTAGCACTCCCCACAACAGACCTATCAGGGGACCTGCCCTGATAATCATGTAGGTTCTTTTCTATTTTTCCTAAGCGTCGACCGGCTTGAGAAATAAAGGGACAGAGTACAAAAGAGAGAAATTTTAAAGCTGGGCATCCAGGGCAGCCATCACATATTGGTAGGATCCGTGATGCCCCACAAGCCACAAAAACCAGCAAGTTTTTATTAGGGATTTTCAGAAGGGGAGAGAGTGTGCGAATAGGTGTGGGTGACAGACATCAAGTACTTAACAGGGTAATAGAATATCACAAGGCTAGTGGAGGCAGGGCAAGATCACAGGACCACAGGACTGAGGCGAAATTAAAATTGCTAATGAAGTTTTGGGCACCATTGTCATGGATAACATCTTATCAGGAGACAGGGTTTTGAGATCAATGGGTCTGACCAAAATTTATTAGGCAGGAATTTCCTCTTCCTAATAAGCCTGGGAGCGCTATGGGAGACTGGAGTGTATTTCATCTCTGCAGACTCGACCATAAGAGACAGGTACGCCCCGGGGGGCCAGTTCAGAGACCTACCCCTAGGTGCAGATTCTCTTTCTCAGGGATATTCCATGCTGAGAAAAAGAATTCAGTGATATTTCTCCCATTTGCTTTTGAAAGAGAAATATGGCTCTGTTCTGCCCAGCTCACCGGCAGTCAGAGTTTAAGGTTATCTCTCTTATTCCCTGGACAATTGCTGTTATCCTGTTCTTTTTTCAAGGTGCTCAGATTTCATATTGCACAAACACACATGCTGTACAATTTGTGCAATTAACGCAATTATCACATGGTCCTGAAGCGACATACATCCTCCTCAACTGACAGGATTAAGAGATTAAATTAAAGACAGGCATAGGAAATCACAAGGGTATTGATTGGGGAAGTGATAAGAACTGACTTCCCGCAACAGAGACCCTTAGATATAAAAATGCTTATGTATAAATTGTATATGTAGGTATTAAAAAATGAAATCAGTATAAATTATATTCAAAATCTATGGAGGAAAACAATGAAATTCTGATGAAAGGTACCAAAAAAAAAACCTAAATAAATGGAAAGATAGACTATGTTCATGGATAAGAAGACTTAATATTGTCAAGATGTCAGTTTTTTACAATTTAATTTGTGGAGTCAACACAATCCAATCAAAATACCAGCAAGTTATTTTGTGGATGTAGATAAACTGAGTCTAAAGTTTATATGGGGAGGCAAAAGACACAGAATTACCAAGTCAATATTGAAATAAAAATCAAAGTCGGCCAGGCACAGTGGCTTACACCTGTCATCCCAGCACTTTGGGAGTCCGAAGCAGGCAGATCACTTGAGGTTAGGAGTTCAAGACCAGCCTGGCCAACGTGGTGAAACCCCATCTCTACTAAAAATACAAAAATTAGCCAGGTGTGGAGGCGGGTGCCTGTAAACCCAGCTACTCAGGAGGCTGAGGCACGAGAATCACTTGAACTCAGGGGGCAGAGGTTGCAGTGAGCCGAGATCCGCCTCTGTACTCCAGCCTGGGTGATAGAGTGAGATTCAGTCTCAAAAAGAGAAAAAAAGAAAAAAAGAAAAAATCAAAGTCAGGGGACTGGCATTACCGAACTTCAAGACATAGTACAAAACTACAGTTGTCAAGACATTGTGGTATTGGTGAAAGACTAGACAAATAGATCAATGGAACAGAAAGACAGCCCAGAAATAAACTCACATAAATGTAGTCAACTGATCTTTGACAAAAGAGCAAAGGCAATACAATAGTGCAGAGACAATCTTTTAAAAATACGTCAGAACAAATGAACATATATATACAAAAAACAATCCATTTTTATTTTTTGAGACAGAGTCTTGCTTAGTTGCCCAGGCTGGAGTGTAGTGGCATGATCATGGCTTACTGCAGCCTTGACCTCCCAGGCTCAAGCAATCCTCCCAATTCAGCCTTCCAAGTAGCTGCGACTATAGGCGTGCACCACCATGCCCAGCTAGTTCTTTAATTTTTTTATAGAGACAGGGTCTCCCTATGTTGTCCAGGCTTAAAAAAAAAAGAATCTAGACACAGCTTACATCTTTCACAACAATTAACTGTAATAGATAATAGACCTAAATGTAAAACACAAAACTATAAATTTTTTAGAAGATAAAAGAAAAAAACCTAGATGACCTTGGGTATGGTGATAACTTTTAAAATACAACATGAAAGACATAATCTATGAAAGAAATAATTGATAAGTTGGACTTTATTAAAATTAAAGACTTATCTTTGAAAGACAATATCAAGAGAATGAGGGGCTGGGCACAGTGGCTCACATTGTAATCCTAGCACTTTGGGAGGCTAAGGCAGGCAGATCACGTGAGGTCAGGAGTTCGAGACCAGCCTGGCCAACATGGCGAAACCCTGTTTCTACTAAAAATACAGAAATTGGCTGGGTGTAGTGGTGCGCACCTGAAATCCCAGTTACTTGGGGGGCTGAGGCAGGAGAATTGCTCAAACCTGGGAGGCAGAGGTTGTAGTGAGCCAAGATCGCACCACTGCACTCCAGCCTGGGTGACAGAGCAAGACTCTGTCTTGAAAAAATAAAAAAACAAAAACAGAATAAGGAAAAAAGTCATAGACTGGGAGAAAATGTTTACAAAAGACACATCAGATAAAAGAACGTAATTCAAAACTTACAAAGAACCCTTAAAACTCAACAATTAAAAAAAAAACAATTTAAACATGGGCAACAGACCTGAACAGACACTTTACCAAAGAAGATATACAGGTGGCAAGTAAGCATATAAAAAATGCTCAAACCAGGTGTGGTGGCACATGCTGTTATAGTTTGAATATTTGTCCCACCTAGATCTCATGTTGAATTGTAATCCCCAATGCTGGAGGTGGGGCCTGGTGGGAGGTGTTTGGATCATAGGGGTGGATCCCTCTTGGCTTGGTGCTGTCTTTGTAATAGTGAGTTCTCATAAGATCTGGTCATTTAAAAATGTGTGGCACCTCCCCAATCACTCACTCTCTCTCTCTTGCTCCTGCTCTGACCATGTGATGTGCCTGGTCCCCCTTTACCTTTCACCATGATTGTAAACTTCTTGAGGCCTCCCCAGATGCTGAGCAGATGCCAGCACCATGCTTCCTGTAAAGCTTGCAGAACTGTGAGCCAATTAAACCTCTTATCTTTATAAATTACCTAGCCTCAGGTATTTCTTTATAGCAATGCAAGAATGGCCTAACACGTGTCTATAGTTCCAGCTACTCAGAGGCTGAGGCAGGAGGATTGCTTGAGGCCAAGAGCTCAAGGCTACAGTGCACTGTGATTGTACCTGTGAATACTGTGAATAGCCACTGCACTACAGCCTGGGCAACACAATGATATTCTGTCTCTAAAGAAAAAAGGGAAGGAAGATGCTCAACAAGGGCATATTTTCATATGCCATTCAAAAATTACAAATTAAAACATAAACAGATAGCATTACACACTTATTAGAATGGCCAACCAAAACACTGACAACATGAAATGCTTATGGGAATGTAAAATGGTACAGCCACTTTGAAAGACAGTTTGGGCTGGGCACAGTGGCTCACGCCTGTAATCCCAGCACTTTGGGAGGCCGAGGCGAGAGGATCACCTGAGGTCAGGAGTTCAAGACCAGCCTGGCCAACGTGGTGAAACCCTGTCTCTACTGAAAATACAAAAATTTGCTGGGTGTGGTAGTACATGCCTGCAATCCCAGCCACTTGGGAGGCTGAGGCAGGAGAATTGTTTGAACCCAGGAGGCAGAGGTTGCAGTGAGCCAAGATCGTGCCACTGTACTACAGCCCAAAAAAAAAAAAGACAGTTTGGCAGTTTTGTACAAAACTAAACATAATCTTACCATATGATCCAGCATTTTGTACTCTGTGATATTTACCCAAAGGAGTTGAAAACTTAAGTACACACAAAACATGCACACAGGTATTTATAGCAGCTTTATTATGATTGTCAAAACTTGGAACCATCTAAGATGTTCTTCAGTAGGTGAATGGATAAACTGTGGTGCATCCAAACAATGGAATATTACTCAGCATTAAAAAGAAATAAACTATCAAGCCATGAAAGGACATGAAGGAAAGTTAAATGCATATTACTAGGTGAAAGAAGCCAATCTGAAAAGGCTACATTCTCTATTATTCCAACTATATGACATTCTGTAAAAGGCAAAACTATGGAGACAATAAAAAGATTAGTGGCTGCCAGAGGTGAGAGGAAGAAGGGGATGAACAGACAGAGCATAGAGGATTCTTAGGGCAGAGAAACGGCTCTGTATGATAACACAGTGGTGGATACATGTCGTTACACTTTCGTCAAAACCCACAGAGTGTACAACACCAAGAGTGAACCCTAATGTAAACTATGAACCTTGGTTGATAATGATGTGCCAATGTAGGTTCATAGATTGTAACAAATGGACCACCCTGGGGCAGAATGTTGATAGTGGGGGAGGTTGTCCGTGTGTGGGGATGGGGGACATGGGACATTTCTGTACTTTCCATTTAATTTTGCTGTGATGTAAAAACTGCTCTAAAAATGTTTATTAATTGAAAGAAATGAAGGAAAAGGCCAACAATGAAAAGAAAGTTTTTCTCTTCCCTATCCCTAAGTGACCCAGTTTCTTCTCCTGCCACCCTCAAGTCACTCACTGTGACCAGTTTCTTGAGTATTCTTTAAAGATATCCTTGGTATTTACATATATGGCCATGTTCTTTTGATACCACAGTTGCCTCCCTTAGGGAAAAAGAATGTTTGGAGTTAACCTGAGGGAACAATTCCTTCCCTCAACCCTCTGTATGCTTCCTTTAAATTTTTGAAGCTCAGATACCAAATGGAATATAATGGAGTATGTTTTTATGTTTCCTGGGAGTTGGTGAGGTGTACTGAAGAGCCTGGCATCTAACATCTGTTGGGACTAAGTTCAAATTCATACCTACGGTGGGTGACTTCACCTTTCTGAACCATTTCCACCTCTGAAAAATGGAGGTAATCATCCCTACCTCCAAGGGCTGCTGTGAGGATAAAATAAGAGAATGAGGGGGAAACATCTGCCACCCTCCTTCCTTTCCCTCCTACAGTTTCTCCAATGCTTTTTAAGAATAGAGAGAAAAGGAAAAGCAAATTCCCAAAATCTACACGCTGTGTAATGATTAGCTTTGACCTAATTCTACTTCAAAATGTTTCCTTCTCTTACCCCCCACTACCTCCCACCCAGATGCCTAGTATAAAGAACTCATGAAAACTTAGGCCAGATGGGAACCTGGAATATTAAAGCCTTTGAGAAAACATCTGTTTGTTCATTTATTACCATGTTTTTGCTTCTGTCTTGTTTGGTCATAAGAGCCTATGGGGAAGTCCTTTGCACTTTAGTCTATACAGGGCTCTTATATCCTTCATTTTACTTCGCAACTCTGTGAAAAAAGGAGAAAACTGAGGTTCAGAAATCAAATGCTTCGGCTAAGAGGCATCTGGCAGAAACGGGGCTAGACCCAAGTTCTTCTCACTGGTTTCCTTGCCTTTTTCTATCTCTAGTTGGCTTTCATGCGTAATCGCTACTGCATCAGTTAGGATGCATTTGGCTGCAAGCAAGAGAAAATCCAAGTCACCCTGGCTCATGTAACTGGAAATCCACAGATTCTGTGGCTTCAGAATGAGCTTAAGGCAGTGGCTCTGCTCTCTTCTCTGCTCCTCCCTTGCTTTCTCCCTCCTCTCTGTGTTGGCTTTTTCCCCCTCATAATCTGGCCCTGCTGTATTACATTTGTCTTTTTGTTAGGTATCCAGCATTCCCCCGAATTCCAACTTCAAATTGTTGCCTTAATTTCTCTTTTGGAGAAATTGTCACTTGTGTAATGCCTCCCTTATGCTGTGGGGCTGAAGTGGTCAGATCATTCATCTCCCTGGCCCCCAGCTTGTGGGGAGAAGGGGAGTGATTCACAGCCTTGGCCAATTGGAGGCTCTCTGCTAGACTTTGAATCTTGGACAAGAGCCAGAAGGGCAGGCTGCAACAGTGCCCAGGCCCAGGCATTTCTATGGGGCGGTGCTGCTTGCAGCTCCATTGCCTGACCACTGAAGTCCTTCTGGCTCTTGCCCCATTTTCCAGGCCCAGCTCTTCAGCTTCTCCCTTGTGGATTCTGGAAGCCTCCACTATTCTGCCAGTAAATTTCCTCTTTGTTCAAGACGGCCAGAGACATTTTCTATTGCTTGCCATCAAGAACCCCAATCATACCATGTACCCAGCAATTCCACTCCTAGGTAGGTACCCAAGAGAAATGACAGCATATCTCCATATAAAATTTTGTACACCAGTGTTCATAGCAGCATTCCTCGTGATGGCAAAAACAAACAAACCACGTGTCCATTAACTGATACATGGGTAAATAAAATGTGGTAGGCTGCAGGTGGTGGCTCACGCCTGTAATCCCAGCACTTTGGGAGGCTGAGGCAGGCAGATCACCTGAGGTGGGGAGTTCAAGACCAGCCTGACCAAAATGGAGAAACCCTGTCTCTACTAAAAATACAAAATTAGCCAGGCGTGGTGGCGCATGCCTGTAATCCCAGCTATTTGGGAGACTGAGGCAGGAGAATTGCTTGAACCCAGGAGGCGGGGGTTGTGGTGAGCCAAGATCACACCATTGCACTCCAGCCTGGGCAACAAGAGTGAAACTCCATCTCAAAAAAAAAAAAAAAAAAAAAATTAAAATTAAATGTGCTATATTCATACAGTGGAATATTATTCTTCCATAATTAAGAAATGAAGTACTGGCCGGGCTCAGTGGCTCAAGCCTGTAATCCCAGCACTTTGGGAGGCCGAGGTGGGTGGATCACGAGGTTGGGAGATTGAGACCATCCTGGCTAACACGATGAAACCCCGTCTCTACTAAAAATACAGAAATTAGCCGGGCATAGTGGTGGGCGCCTGTAGTCCCAGCTACTCGGGAGGCTGAGGCAGGAGAATGGCGTGAACCCGGGAGGCGGAGCTTGCAGTGAGCCGAGATTGCGCCACTGCACTCCAGCCTAGGCAAATCCATAGAGACACAGAATAGATTAATTTTTGCTAGGGGTTTGGCAGGAAGGGGAAGTGATTACTAATTGATATGGGACTTCTTATGAGGCTGATGAAAATGTTCTAAAATTGTGGTTGCCCCACTCTGAATCTATTAAAGCCTGCTGAATTGTACACTTTAAAAGGGTGAATTTTATGATATATGAATTATATATCAATAAAGCTGTTATTTTAAAATAAAAGATCCCTTCTAGCGTAGAGAGCTGAATGGAGAGGCAGCCTGTGTGCTGGGAAGAACACCACCACTGGAGCTCCAGAAGATTTAGTTGTAATCTCAGGTTTATTTCTTGCCAACCTTAAATTTCACCATTTTGGTCCTTGATTTCTTTATTGCTAACATGATGAGACTTAGTAAATCAGTGTTTCTAAAACTTCAGTCATTTGTGTGCCACCTTCATGATTTTTGTCACATCATTGTGCCAACTGAATGGTTATTTACCTGTGTTTTTTTTTTTTTTTTTTTTGAGATGGACTTTTGCTCTTGTCGCCCAGGCTGGAGGTCAGTGGCACGATCTCAGCTCACTGCAAACTCCGCCTCCCAGGTCCAAGTGATTCTCCTGCTGAGCCTCCAGAGTAGCTGGGATTACAGGCATGCGTCACCACGCCCGGCTAATTTTGTATTTTTAGTAGAGACGGGGTTTCTCCATGTTGGTCAGGCTGGTCTCCAACTCCCAACCTCAGGTGATCCGCCCACCTCGGCCTCCCAAAGTGCTGGGATTACAGGCATGAGCCACCGCGCCCGGCCCACCCGGTTATTTCTTTAAATTAGTTCACCTTTTGTAAAACTTTTATTTTAGGTTCAGGGGTACATGTGCAGTTTTGCTCTACAGGTCAACTCGTGTCACAGGAGTTTGTTGTACAGATTATTTCATCACCCAGGTATTAAGCCTAGTACCCATTAGTTATTTTTCTAGATCCTCTCCCTCCTCCCACCCTCCACCCTCCAATAGGCCCCAGTGTGTGTTGTTCCCCTCTGTGTGTCCATGTGTTCTCACCATTTAGCTCCCACTTATAAGTGAGAACATGTGGTATTTGGTTTTCTGTTCCTGCATTAGTTTGCTAAGGATAATGGCCTCTAGCTCCGTCCATGTTCCTGCAAAGGACATGATCTAATTTTTTTTTATATAACTACATAATATTCCATGGTATATATGTACCACATTTTCATTATCCAGTCTACCACTGATGGGCATTTAGGCCGATTCCATGTCTTGGCTATTGCAAATAGTGCTGCAGTAAACATACGTGCGCATGTGTCTTTATGATAGAACAATTTATATTCCTTTGTAATAGGATTGGTGGGTTGAATGGTATTTCTGTTTTCAGGTCTTTGAGGAATCACCACACTGTTTTCCACAATGGTTGAACTGATTTACATTCCCACCAACAGTGTATAAGCATTCCTTTTTCTCCACAACCTCACCAGCATCTGGATGTTGTTGGTTTTTTTACTTTTTAATAGCCATTGTAACAGCCATTCTAACTGGTATGAAATGGTATCTCATTGTGGTTTTGATTTGCATTTCTCTGATGATCAGTGATGTTGAGCTTTGTTTCATACACCTGTTGGCCGCATGTATGTCTTCTTTCGAAAAGTGTCTTTTCATATCCTTTGCCCACGTTTTAACAGCGTTGTTTATTTTCTTGTAAATTTGTTTAAGTTCCTTAATAGATGCTGGATATTAGACTTACACCATATACAACAATCTACTTAAGATGAATTACAAACTTAAATGTAAAACCCCAAACTATAAAAACCATGAAAGACAACCTAGGCAATACCATTCTGGACATAGGAATGAGCAAAGATTTCATGACAATGACACCAAAAGCAATTGCAACAAAAGCAAAAATTGACAAATGAGATCTAATGTGACTAAAGACTTGCAACAGCAAAACAGAGTAAACAGACAACCTACAGAATAGGAGAAAATTTTTGCAAGCTATGCATCTGACAAAGGTCCACGTTTTTTTTGTTTTATTTTGTTTTTTTGCAACAGAGTCTCGCTGTGTTGCCCAGGCTGGAGTGCAGTGATAATCTGAACTCACTGCAACCTCCGCCTCCCGGGTTCAAGCAATTCTCCTGCCTCAGCCTCCCAAGTAGCTGGGATTACAGGCATGCACCACCACCCCTGGCTAATTTTTGTATTTTTAGTAGAGACGGGGTTTCTGCGTGTTGGCCAGGCTGGTCATGAACTCCTGACCTCAAGTGATCTGCCCACCTCGGCCTCCCAAAGTGCTGGGATTGCAGACGTGAGCCACCACGCCCGGCCTCCACCTTGTTTTTTTTTTTAAACCTAGCATCATTCTAAACAAAAATATCTGTAGACTCATGGGTTTGCTGTGCTAGTTGTATTTTCCCCAAACATAATAAAATCAGCCCTAGACAGTAAAATTTAAAATGTCCATCCATCCCCCATGTCACCATTTCTGTTCCTACCGTTTGGGAACCCTGTACTTGAAGATTCCATTCCAAGCACAAGTGTAGCTTGTGCTACAAACTAGCCTAGAGGGTAGGGACAAAAGTCTTCCCTTATTTCTTCCTTCAACTATCACAGATATTTTAATCACAGGCCTCATGTGGCCTTGCCCTGCTCTGAGGGTGGGGTTTCTGGTCTGCTAAAAGAGGAGGGCTTGGCCGGGCACGGTGGCTCATGCCTGTAATCCCAGCACTTTGGGAGGCCGAGGTGGGCAGATCAGGAGTTCAGGAGTTCAAGACCAGCCTGACCAAGATGGTGAAACCCCGTCTCTACTGAAAATACAAAAATTAGCCAGACGTGGTGGCACGTGCCTGTAATCCTAGCTACTCAGGAGGTTGAGGCAGGAGAATCGCTTGAACCCTGGAGGCACAGGCAGTGAGCTGAGATCACACCACTGCACTCCAGCCTGGGCCACAAGAGTGCCCCCCAAAAAAAGAGGGCTGCCACAGGGCCAGCTCCATTCAGTAAGCAGATGGGTGCCTCCTGGGATGCTGGGGATGGTCATTGTTATTCTAATTTTGCTGAGGAGATTGTCTGAGAAACATTAACTAATATACCACAAGAAAACAAAACAGATCTTTTGACAATTCCAGTGCTTGTTTAACTAGTGGGTTGGTGCAAAAGTAATTGTGGCATTTTGCCATCACTTTAATGGCAAAAACTGTAATTACTGTAAAATAATGGCATTTTGCCGTTACTTTAATGGCAAAAACGACAGTTATTTTGCACCAACCTAATATATCATAGTAGGCCCTGAGGCTGGATTTTGGGGTAGATGTAATTGTGGTCTTTATCAAACCGGGCTATACACATGACTGCCACATTTGCCTGTGGGTAGGATCAGCATTGAGGAATGAGACACAAGTGTGGCTCTTTTTAGGGGTAGAAAGGGTATGATACATTTCCTCCATCATAAGGGTCATGGCTAAGACTCCTATAATGAAAGACAGGTTAACAAGAGAAAAACATAAGTGATTTATGTAATCAAAGTTTTACCTGAAGGCTGGGCGTGGTGGCTCACGCCTATAATCCCAGCACTTTGGGAGGCGGATGGATCACGAGGTCAGGAGATCGAGACCATCCTGGCTAACATGGTGAAACCCCGTCTCTACTAAAAATACAAAAAAAAAAAAAATTAGCCGGGCGTGGTAGCGGGCGCCTGTAGTCCCAGCTATTCGGGAGGCTGAGGCAGGAGATGGCGTGAACCCGGGAGGCAGAGCTTGCAGTGAGCCGAGATCGCACCACTGCACTCCAGCCTGGGCGACAGTGAGAGACTCTGTCTAAAAAAAAAAAAAAAAAAAAAAAAAGTTTTACCTGATACAGGAGCCTTCAGAAATGAAGACCAAAGGGAAAACTGTCCATTTTTTAGATTTGATGAAGGGTGGACAGCTATGTAGAGATGTGATTGGACAAAAAGAATGATGTGATAGTAATAGAGTGGGAAACCCGGCAAGGCCTGTCTGTTCAGGTTCTTCTTAGTCTCTCTGTGTGGCATTCCTTCCTCCCAGATATGAAGCAGGATCCTTTTTGGAATGAGGATCTTATTACCTACTATTGAACAAAGATAGGGCTGATAATTTCTTTATGACCAGCTCCTACACAGAAAGGTGGGGGAAGGTGAAAGTAATATTTCTAGGTTGTATGGTTTGCCCTGGGGGAAAGGGGCTGTAGTCTCTATGACCTGCCTTGGGGAGGGGCATTCAGGGTTCTGTGACTTACCTCAGGGGAGAATGAAGGGCGAGAGACAGGAGGGCAGGAGAAAGTCAGAGAGCTCGGTTCTGAGGCTGCTTGCGAGGCCTTCCACTGTCCTTTAATTCAAAGTACTCAGCATGCCAAAGCATTAGGGTAATTTTTCGGAAACAGCTTCTATGATGAAAATTCCATCCATTGAATTTCTAGCATTTCCATAGATCAGTGATGAACAGTAACAAACTCCCCTGTTACTTCTTTCATCACACTATCCCACTTAGAGTTATCAGCTCACAATCTGTATTCTCTGCTAGTCAGAAATCATGTCTTTCTTATTGGTTGCTGTGTCTGCAGCTAATAAGAAGCAGGCATTTAGAAGCAGTCCAGTATTTGCCACATAGTAGGCCCATACTAAATCTCAGTTTAATTAACTAATGGTCCCTTGCCTCGAGGATCATATAGACCAGAGTGTGTGTGGCTGGGAGGTAGAATGGGGTAGTCTGAGACAAGCCCACAGACAAAGGGCAGATTTACTACTGTGTGCACGTGCCTGCACAGTGGGCAGGGGGCTGGTGAGCCCTTCAGCCCTGTGTCCTACATCCTCTGCATGGAGCAGGCTGTTGCCACCACCTGGGTCCATTGGTAAGGGTGGTTTCCATCTGTCCAGATAGGAGACCAGAGCAGAGCAGTGATGCATGTATTCCATCCAACAAATAGCTGTTGACAGCCAGCCCCATGCAGAGCCCCCTGCCAGGCACCATAGAGGAGACAAATGTAACTCAGCCCTGAACTGAGTCCTGTGCAGGACTCCTGAGTACACCCATTCACCAGCCCAGGCCTGCCAATTCCTCGCTCAGTGTTCTTTCTACAACAGCACTGCCTTCCAAAAGTGATCCCCTAGCTGCCAGATTTAGGAGGATTCTTCTAGCAGTGTGCATGAGGAGGCTGTATATAGAGTTTTCTACTGAGATGTACTAACACAGGTGCCTGCAGTGTGCTCAGTGCTAGGGTGCAATGGAAGTAAGACTCATCTTTGCCCCAGGGAGTAGCTGTGTCTGTAGTGGTAGCTGTGTCTGTAGTCCAGGTCAGATGGAGGAGATAAGAGGGGCCTGCTCTCAGTCAGTAGTCTAGACAGGATGTGGGGTTAGTGTCTGGGAAGCTGAGAACAGAGAAGCCATGGGCAGAGGGAGGGAGGAGCGGGTGTGCAGGAGCACATGAAGCACTCGGGATCTGGGGCTTCAGTAACCTATGGCTGTCTGGGTGGTTCTAGTCATGGCATGAGGCACTTACCCTAATGTAACAAGCCCACATGTTCCTTCAGCAGCCCCTGCCCTTCTTTGGACCAGCGATCACGATGGGCATGAAAGCTTTCCGCTTTTTGCTTCCTACTTTCAGCAGTCTTTTCCCATTAGGTTTCCGCTCTTCAGGCTACATGAGCACCAAGGCCTGTTTTCTGAAATGTGTGTGCTCACTTACATTGGGTGGACCAGTGTAGACACAATTGCCTGAGCGATTCTGAGGCATGTCCAGTTGTCCAGGCAGATCAAGGACAGAGAAACAGACTAAAGAGCTTTTGTGAAGCCTAAAGTGGTGATATAATAGTTGGTGTACAGCAGAGTTTCTGAACTTCAGCACTATTGACATTTTGGGCCAGATAATTCTTAGTTATGAGGGGCTGACTTGTGCATTGCAGGGTTTAGCAGTATCCCTGCCCTCCACTCAGTACATAATAGTGAGCAACTCCCAAGCTGTCACAACCATAAATACCTCCAGAAACTTCCTGTGTCCCCAGGGTGTATGTGTAAAATCATCCCCTGTTAAGAACCACCGGTGTACAGGCTTTGAGTCTGAGTCCTGGTTCTACCGTTTGCCAGCTGTATGAACACAGGCAGCTTATTTAACTGACCTGTGGCTCAGTTTCTTTATCTGTAACTTCACTGTGCCTCAGTTTCCTCTTATGTAAAATGGGGATAAAATTGATCTTATGGAGTTATTGTACAGATTAAGAGTTTTATGTAAAGTGCCTAGAGCAATGCCTGACACACAGTAAACATTAACTATTGTTATGGTTAATAATAACACTCAGCCTCTCTTGTGTACATCCTATACTGAAGCAACACATCTCCTTGAGCATAGAGGGTAACAGTAGAGGTTTCTGAACCTTTTAGTCACTGTCTAACCCTCAGCCTAGAGCAAACAATGGGACCAAGCATTCGTTTATGATCTATTGGAGGAGCCCTAAGCATGGGACACTAGTGTCCACTCTGCCACCAAATGATGCCCTTGCCCATGTGGCCTTGGGCAAGTCCTTGCTCCTCTCTGGCCCCAGTCCACTCATCTATAAAATGAATTGGTGGGTCTAAATAATTCCTAAATTTGGCCGGGCACAGTGGCTCACACCTGTGATCCCAGCACTTTGGGAGGCCGAGGCGGGCGGATCACCTGAGGTCAGGAGTTCGAGACCAGCCTGGCCAACATGGTGAAACCCCGTCTCTATTAAAAAATACAAAAATTAGCCAGGCGTGGTGGCAGGCGACTTAATCCCAGCTACCTGGGAGGCAGAGGCAGGAGAATCATTTGAACCCGGGAGGCAGAGGTTGCAGTGAGCTGAGATAGAGCCATTGCACTCAAACCTGGGGGATAAGAGCAAGACTTCTCTTAAAATAATAATAATAATAATTTCTAAATTTGATTATACATTATAATCACTTGAAGACATCACAAAATGCAGATTCCCGGACTCTGCCAATCAAATCCAAGTTTCTGGAAATGGAGGCTGAGAATCTGCATTTTACTAAACTCCTTAGAGGATCATGATGTTAGCCAGGCGTGGTGGCTCACGCCTGTAATCCCAGCACTTTTGGGAGGCTGAGGCCTATGGATCTCCTGAGGTCAGGAGTTCGAGACCAGCCTGGTCAACATAGTGAAACCCCATCTCTACTAAAGATACAAAAAAATTACCTGGGCATGGTGGCAGGCACCTGTAATCCCAGCTACTAGGGAGGCTGAGGCAGGAGAACCACTTGAACCTGGGAGGTGGAGGTTGCAGTGAGCCGAGATTGTGCCATTGCACTCCAGCCTGGGCAACAAGCGAAACACCGTCTCAAAAAAAAAAAAGTGGATCATGATGTTCAGTCAGGTTTGAAAGCAACTGACTAGATCAGCTGTAAGGCCCCTTTCAATATTCAGATTCCTAAGATACATTAATTATAGACTCATGGAGCAGAAAGGAGCTTTGAGTGGTCATGTGCCTTAGAGGACCAGGGCAGATGGCTGCTTTCCTGTGAGAAAGCTATGCTAGTGCTCTGGTGGCTCTTCCAGGGTTTAATTATCCCTAGCATTAGGAAGATATACTTTCTATCTAATCAAATGCTTCATCTCAGCAATTTACCTCCCACTCTGCTGGCTTTGTACTTAAGGGTGTAGAGAAGGGCTGGTCAGTTCCCTGTAGTGTAGCCCTTCATGTACTTGAGTGCTGTTGGAAGTCAGACTAGACCTGACATTATTACTGGTGAAAATGTCTCTTGACTTTGGGCTTTCCTTTCCATTCCCATTGCAACTGCCCAAGTTTAGGCTGCTAGCGTGTCTTGTTTGGACCATATAACACCTTTCTAACTAGTCTTCTGACCTCCAGTCTCTTCTCTATTCAATCTTCATGGTACAGTTATTTTCCTAACCCCCAGCCCTGAATGTATCACTTCTCCTGCCCACAAATCCTCCATGCCTCCCAATCAAAACGAAAGCCCTCATCCTGTCATTCAAGGCCTTTCAGAGCCTGACCCCACCTACACTTTTGCTTTCTTAGCTTATTACATTTCTCTTCCATAACTCCCTCAGGCCAAGAGCCTCCTTGGGCTACAATTTACTTTGCTGAATTTTTTTGACAGGTTTCCCAAACTTGAATAACCATGGAAGTCCCCTCCCCACCACTGCCTATGTTTCATGGCAAAATATTTACAAACATCTCATGGATACTAAGTGATTCACGGTACTCAGTTTGGGAAACACTCTCTCTGCCCTTCCTTCTGGTTGCCAGCGGCTTAACTATCTATTTCAAGAGCTTCCCAGGTCTTGAACTGCAACTCAAAATAACTATCTAATGTTGTCATACCTGCTACCTCTCAATCTGATTTTATTTTATTTATTTTATTTATTTATTTATTTATTTATTTATTTATTTATTTATTTATTTATTTTGAGATGGAGTCTCGCTCTGTCACCCAGGCTGCATCTCAGCTTACTGTAACCTCCCCCTCCCAAGTTCAAGCAATTCTCCTGCCTCAGCTTCCCGAGTTGTTGGGATTACAGGTGCCTGCCACCATGCCAAGCTAATTTTTGTATTTTTAGTAGAGATGGGGTTTTGCCATGTTGGCCAGGATGGTCTCGAACTCCTGACCTCAGGTGATCCGCCTGCCTTGGCCTCCCAAAGTGCTGGGATTACAGGCGTGAGCCATTGTGCCCAGTCCAATCTGACTGTTTTTAAATACTGAGAAGGCTCTACAGAGCTATGGAACGGGAACACTCCACTATCACCACTCTTACTCCTTCTTTTTCTTCTTTCCTGAGCTGATACCACATTTTCCTCAAGAGTTGAATTGCTCAAGGTCTATCATGATTTAATTAAATGAGCATAGTTGACCATTCAACCATCTTTGTTTTCCTAACTCCAAATAGCCTCCTGGAGCAGGTATGTATCTATGCCTCCTGGGGCTACTCCCTATTCCTGCACCTGTGACAGACATTGTTGGTGAATTACAGCACTTGCCTCTGGGGCCTAGATGTGATGATGGAGACTCAGAATCCAACTCAATACAATTCCCCAGGCAGGCTTTATCCATCAATCAGAGTTGGCATGCAGTTGAGACAGTCCTTACCATCAGTGACCTAGTTGATTAGCTAATGTGTTCACTAGAAAAGCTCTGTTTCAACTCCCTTATAGAACATAGAGTAGTTTCTAGTTGCATTCTGTCTACTCTAAGCCTTTCAGGCTAGAGGATTTGGGTTGTGGGTGAGGATCTATTATTAGTCTAATTTGGCATGAAAATTGGAGTAAGACTGCCAAGGTCAGAAAAGTTTCTCCTAAGAACCGCCCTAGAGCATTGTCTGCCTCCCATCTCTATTTCCTGCCAAAACCCACAGAAATGTCTGGTGAGCTAGCTGGTCTTTAGCCATAAGAAAGAGTACCATAGAGGCTACAAAACAAGTGACAAACTACCCCTGGAAGGATGAAACTCTGGGGCAGACAGCAATTGGAGATGCCTTGGATGTCCCAGAGCAGCGGCAAGGTTTTCCACTTGGCCTGAGCTGATGGAACCATTTGCAATGGAAAGCCTGATATCTTCGGTCAGGTAACAGGCTGCTCCAGTTTCTTCTCTCTTCTCCTCCCCCTCCTTCTCCTCTGAGTTGATCGCATTTCCTTGGTGATGTTCATGCTTAGTCAGTAGATCTTAGGGAACAAGTGTATACCCCATTGGGACCTTGTCCGTGTAAACTACTATGTACTAATTAATGTTTTCCTCTGTACTGCATCTTCCTTCCTCTCTTTCTGGCACAAGCATTTATTTAATACCTACTGTGTGTTAAGTGGTAAGCACTGCCGTAGAGAAAAAAGCCCTTGAATTCTGTCTGGAGCCACCTGGGGATGCTGTATATGAAACAAATGCCACAGCCCTCATTAGCAGAAAAATACACTTCAAGTTGCTTCCTGTCTTCTTTAGGCCTCAAGAAAGCTGTAACTGAGTGGGAAAATGTTGAAACCTCACAGCTAAAATGAGAGCATTCCAGGGAATTCTACAAAATCATGAAGTGCCTCCATCAGTTGAACACAAACCAATTCTCAAACCCAGGAAACCGTAACGAGAGATTGGGTGAACACTTCCTAGCTCTGACTTATTGCCAGGCATTGTTCTCATTGTTTTCTATATATTAACTCTCTAAATCCCCACAGTAATGTTATGAGTTAAATACTCTTATCATTTAAAAGATGAGAAATAGAGGCACAAAGAGGTTAAATGACCTACCCAAGCCTCAACAGCTAGGAAGTGGTAGAGCTAGGATTTGAACCTATATAGTCTCATCGCAGAGTCCTAAACTGCCTGAAATATGTACATTTAAGCAAAAAACAAAAAGTGCTGATTCATGGATTGGAATGGAGTGGGATGAGTAATAACTGGGTGGTGCTTTTTATCTCAATATGTTAGATCAGCTAAAGACAGAAGGGTTTTGATAGCTGAGGGGCCCAGTGTCTATCCCATACTTTAAGGAAGGCCTCAGAAAGGCCAGCTGCTCCCCTAGATCCACCCACAGCTCCTAGTGTCCCCTGACAGACAGCAGACTGGTGCCAGAGTAGTTTCATGTGGTTGAGAGCCAGATATGCAAACAGTTCTGCATGGGTCCCTTTATGCACTTACATACTGTATTTTTTACTAGAAAATGGTGACATATTTAGTACCTAGTGCAGCAATGTCGTAGGTCCTACAAGTATGAAGCCTAACTTCTAGAATGGACTCTACCACCTACTGTCCCTTGATTCAGTTCTTTGCAACTATAAATATTTATTCATTCAGTAAATAATTTTGAGACCTCCTCCATGCCAAGCAACATGCACTAATTTGAATTCAATAGTTGCCCTAAGGTACTCACTATTTGCTGGTGGTGACAGTCAGATAACGGGATCTTTATAAGCACTTCCGCACTGTGTCCTCAAAGTGTGCCAGGGAGTGAGGGAGGGCTCAACCTGTCCCTCTTCCCTAGGAGTCTGTGAGCAGCAAATGAGATCATACAGGGGAAAGGGCTTTGTAAATAGCAGAAGGTGAGAATGGGGTGTGTGAGGAGGTGGGGAAGAGGGGGAAGAAGGAGGAAGCAGAGGGAACGGGAGGCAGAAGGGAAGGAGGGGTGAAGGAGAAGAGAGGGAGTGGCAGGGGGAAGGAAGGGGAAGTAAAGTGGGAGGACTTCAACTAGGAGCTGGCTGCCTTTTCTGGAGACCTCGGGCAGGCAGCCGCCAAGCTGAGTGCTCCATCAGGGGCTGTGAGCCTGAGTGAGGCCTCACAGGAGTGAGGGAACCAAGCCTGAAGCTCAGGGCTCACTCTCCTAGCAGGCCAAGTCCAAACCTTGCAACCGTTGCCAGACTACTCTGGACTCCGTCCTAGTGGGGGCCTTAAACTCGTGTTATGTTGCTTGAGACTAGGTGCTTTCGCTGCTCCCCATGCACCCCAACCTCTTCAGGATCCCAGCTTGAAAAGTGACAAAGGCCAAGCTGTCCCTCTATTGTGATGCCCGATTTCTCATGAATCCCCTTATATAATGGTATCTCTGAGAAATGGTGGCTCGAGGTGACGCCAGCCACCACCATTCTCTGTACTGAATCGCCACCTAGAGGCCAGTTCTAGCCCAAACCAATGTGTAGGCCAAGTTTTCAATTTTGCCTCAAGATAGAAAACAAAACAAGAGTTATCTTTGAACAAAAAGATAAAAAGGCAAGAAAATGGCACAAGACCTTTAAAAGGACTCCATCAGTCCCTTCACCAACCCTGTGGTTTGCTGATGAGATATGCAAGGGCTGAAATGTCTCCACTTCTCAATGGGGCAGGATTTCCTCCATGGCTTGGGACCAATGTGAGAATGTCACTGTTTCTCACATATTCTAAAGTCTAGATTTGAAGAACAAATATGCCAAGAAAACCCTCCAGTTTGCCCTGCATGTCAGACCCCAGCCCATCTGCTCCTCTTCTTTCATGCCCAAATTCAGACACGTTGGCTAGCTTGGGAAGACAGCTCAGCAGAAGATAGGATGTCCTTTTTAGGAGAGTTTGCTAATTTGGCTTACATTTCTGGAATTAGATGCCCTACACTGAACATGAATACCCATTAATCCTGGACCATTTATTGGGAAGTAGTTGGATGAGTCTACAAAGGCATCGAAGGTAAGTTGATAGTTCAAAATGAGCATCAAGGCCGGGCATGGTGGCTCAACGCCTGTAATCCCAGCACTTTGGTAGGCCAAAGCGGGCAGATCACCTGAGGTCAGGAGCTCAAAACTAGCCTGGCCAACATGGCAAAACTCCGTCTGTCTACTAAAAATACAAAAATGAGCCGGATGTGGTGACAGGTGCCTGTAATCCCAGCTACTTGGGAGGGTGAGGCACGAGAATCACTTGAACCCGGGAGGCAGAAGCTACAGTGAGCCAAGATCGCACCACTGCACTCCAGCCTGGGCATCAGAGTGAGACTCTGTCTCAAAAAAAAAAAAAAAAAAGAAAAAAAAATGAGCATCGAGGTATTTTGGTCTGAAGAAAATCCAAGCTACATGGTTCCAGATCTTCAGTGCCCCAGCTTGAACAGTATCAGGAACAGCAGAGTACTAAGAAAAGTAAGCCAGGCTCCCAAACTGAGCAAGGACAGTTTTCTTAATCCTCTTTTTAAATTTTTTAGGTTTTTCTGTTCATTCCTTTGCCAGTCTAGTAATTCAGCTTCCCACTACTCAGCTTATTGAATTCTTAAGTATAATTGGAAAACAAGATACATAAAATATTCAAACTCTCATTATCAAAGCATCCTAGTTTGTGACTGCTTGGGGATAGCAGTGTGTGCAGTGTCCAGGGAATGCCCACAGAGGCTGCAATACATTTTTGCAGGCAAGCAGCTGCTGGTCCCTCTTCAGACCAACAACAATTCAAAGAAGGGGCTCCCTTTAGAGTAAACCTGGAGGAACCTTGGGAAAATTAGACTGATGTTTGAATTTATGAAAAAGCCACAGCTGTTCCCCAAGGATAAAGTTCAGTCCATTGATCGGCCAAAGGGCCCAGAGGAAATGAAATTGCCATTTCCTTTACCCATCCACCCAAATAAGTTAGACTTCTAAAAACTGAAGTGTTTCCTTCTCTCCAGCAGAAATGATTCCACTTGGTGCTCACAGTAATCTTGTGAAGTAAGTACTATCATTGCTGTCATGCAGAGAAGGAAACAGAGGCTAAAAGAAATTTAGTAATTTGCCTGTAAGAGGAGTAGTCAAGATTTGAACTCAAGTGCTCTGCTTCCAGAACATCTGCAGTTTTCCCAATACTGCCATTCCCCTTGGCATGAAGCCAACATACTAAGTCCTAAAGAAAATTATCTGAGAAGTAATTCAGTTTGCCATAGATTGTTGCATGAATTCCTACACAACCACTGGAACTACACTATAGGTGGAATCAGTGGGCCAAGGACAACCCTCATTCAGGAATGATGCTCATTGTTGGTCAGTTAACACTATATACTTTCTGGGAGGGTCAAAACTTCTCAATCAAACAAAAAGGTTTCTCTTGACTGTTTCCTACTTCATTCTCTTCATTTAAGCCAGACAGGCTCTTTGTCCCCTATAAAACCTCCTACAAGACTTTGTCATTATTGTTCTCCAGGTAAAGGGAGTCCTCTCCTGGGAAAGTTAAAAAGAACCACCATAAACCAATTGGAAGAAACAAAGACACAATGGGGACAGTGATGGGGAGACATCAGGTGACATCAAGACTTCCCAGGATCACACAGTCAGTGAGGGGCAGAACTGCTCAGAATCCAAGTCCAATAGACTCTAGCTGAATGAAGTTTTCTTTCTTTTTTTTTTTTTTTTGTTGAGACGGAGTCTTGCTCTGTTGCCCAGGCTGGAGTGAAGTGGTGTGATCTTGGCTCACTGCAACCTCCACCTCCTGGGTTCAAGTGATTCTTTTGTCTCAGTCCCCCGAGTAGCTGGGACTACAGGCACAAACCACCATGCCTGGCTAATTTTTGTATTTTTAGTAGAGACGGGGTTTCACCATGTTGGTCAGGCTGGTCTTGAACTCCTGACCTGAGGTGATCTACCCGCCTTGGCCTCCCAAAGTGCTGGGATTACAGGCATAAGCCACCATGCCTGGCCTGCACTTTTCATTTAATCATAGTTTCAGAACATTGTATGTTGTTTCTAAGCAAAATCCAACTAGGAATCCCAGTCTCTAGGGCTAGCCCTAAAATAGCTCACTGGGGTTACTTCTCGCTACTAACATTCCCCATGCCCCATCTTGAATTGTCCCAGATAGAGAAGGGAGTGGGAAGAGGGTGCTCCATTCTGAGTGCCCATAACAATAGCTAATAGCAGCCAAAATGTGTTGAGCACTGTGCTGGGCACTGTGCTTATTACTTTATATGCATCAGCTTATCTAATTATCTCAACAAACATATAAGGTAAGCATGACTATTTCCATTTTACAGATAAGGGGAACGAGGCACAACGCTTCTAAGAAACTGGCTTAAACTCCCACAACTGGTTAAGAAGTGGGGGTAGGACTGGAGTCCAGCTCTGTTCACCGTCAAAGGCAGTGCTCTGAATCACTCACTTTTAAAAACCTTATAGTAAATGCAGGGCCCAAGGACTTTGGCTTACCACAAGGAATCCTCATATATGTAGCCAGCTGTCTCTGCAGTAAATTGGCAGCCCCTGCCTAGCCATGGAACTCCCACCATGGATGGCAAACTGGAGACTTGGGAGTTTAGTTTCTAGTTCTTTTGCCCAAACTCTTTTATTGGGGGTTGGAAGAAAGGTAGGAAGAGCAATGAGAAAGGAAACGTTCTGGCTTAATGGAGAGAGAAAGAAAACAGAACAGGTTTGTTTCTGTAGCCAAAGACCTTCTAAAAGCCACACCCCTGCATTCAAGAGCTGCAGAAGAAATGCTGTTCTTCAATTCTTCCACCAGCCTCAGTAACCATTTCACTAACAAGTCTTACATCAGATAGAACTTAAATTAGACACAGGAAAGGACTTCTGGTCAAAATGAACAGTCATTTCTGTAAATTGGGATTTATCTTTACAAAATCCCTTCACTGAACTAAGAAAAGTCTTAGGGCCTTCTCTAAATAAAGGCTGCCCAAACGCAAAAATACTGCAGCTTTCAACAGGGGAAGACATGAGGTAGTTTTCAAACTTCTCCTCTCCTCCCTGGGTTTTATAGTCTTTTGCACTCAGGGGCACTTCGGGAAATGGTACACATTTGGCGGGTGAGACAAGTGACTGAGGTCTGGAAAAGGTGTGAGAAAGCTGGTGCACGTGCAGGAGTGGGGCCCAAAAGGTAACGCTCCTGCCGACATGATGCACTGCTTTCCCCCAGACCTGCAACTGATGATGATTTTGTGCTTCTCCAAAAGTCAAAACACTCAACCTCACACACCTAAAAAAGAACTTAACCTTAAGTTCCTTTTTAGTAAGAGCCTATCTGTGTGGTCCCTGAGCCACCCCCAGGTTACATGTATAAAGAACAAAACCATGGAGGTAGCAATAATTCACTATTTGATGACAATTGTTTCTTTCTGCACTAGCTGTTTCTGGCATGGAACATATACCCGAGTGCTTGCCTCTGGAGCTTGCCAAGAATAAATAATTCAAACTAGCCTCTATAACTGCTGACCTTAAACCACATACCTACTGTTTTCAAGACAGAGAAATTCACATTGGCTTTGATGGAGCATTTAGAAAAGAGACAAAATTAAACTACTTAATTTTGAGTATAACTCATGAGCAGCCAGTCATTCCACATATGAGATTCTACATATTGATTTCAAAATCCAGTTTGTCCTTGGGAAGAAAGAATAAGACAGGAGCTTAAGAGCATTTACTCTTGAAAGCTCCAAATAACTTGCTTCTTTGTCCCCAGATGCACTCATTTATCTAAAGACATTCCAATTTCTTATTTTGTGGCAAGTATAGTTCAGTGCCGCAGATGCCTTTTGTTTGAACTTTGGTGAGGCTGGGGATGTGCAGTGCATCAGAACTGCTAGCATGCTAGCCTGTGTATTCGTCAATTTCACTTCCAATTTCTCCTCAGAATGTCCAGAAGAATATTAAGTCTCAGGCCCAGTGTGGTGGCTCACCCCATAATCCCAGCACTTTGGGAGGCCAAGGCAGGCGGATCACCTGAGATTGGGAGTTCGAGACCAGCCTGACCAACATGGAGAAACCCCGTCTCTACTAAAAATTCAAAATTAGCTAGGCATGGTGGCACATGCCTGTAGTCCCAGCTACTCGGGAGGCTGAGGCAAGAGAATCGCTTGAACCCAGGAGGTAGAGGTTGCAGTGAGCTGAGATCATGCCATTGCACTCCAGCCTGGGCAACAGAGCAAAACTCTGTCTAAAAAGAAAAAAAAAAGAATATTAAGTGTCTACAGCAGATTTCAGTATACAAAGAACCAGCTGGGGTCTGAGGACAGGGTGGCTCAGTAGAAAGAGCAGGGGCTTTGGAGCACATGACCTCTGGCAAATCACATAGCTTGAGACAATTTTCTTATTTGCAAAATTTGAAGAAAATCCTACCAGCCTGGCTGGGTTGCTGAAGGACCATATTAGTTTGCCTGGGCTACCATAACAAAATTCCACAGACCAGATGGCTTTAAACAATTGATTTTCTCACAGCTCTGGAAGCTAGAAGTCTAAGATCAATATGTCAGCAAGCTTGGTTTCTTTTGACAGCTCTCTCTGTGGTTTCCTTCTTGATGAATCCATACGTGGTCTTTGGTTTTTGCTCTGTGCTCATTTTAACTTAATTACCTCTTTAAAGACCTTATCTGCAAATATGATTATACTCTGAGGTACTGAGGAATAGGACTTTGATGTATTGAATTTTGGAGGGTTGAAAGGACAACAGTTTAGCCAATAACAAAGGCTAAATGACAAAGGAGTTTCATAAAAGCTCACTTTTTCCCTTTCTTAGGCACAGGGAAAGAATGTGTGCTTTGAAATAATGAAGATATAATTTCAACTCCTAGTTGTACTGCTTGCTAATTATGTGATGTGGGCAACTTGCTTATCCAGGATCATCCTCTGTACAATGGGGATGATAGAATTTGGATATTTGTCATCACTCAAATCTCATGTTGAAATGTAATCCCAGTGTTGTGGATGGGGCCTGGTGGGAGGTGATTGCATCGTGGGGGTACAGTTCTTATGAATCAAGTGAGTTCTCCCAAGATCTGGTTGTTTAAAGGTGTGTGGGACCTCCCCACCAATTTCTGTCTTGTTCCTGCTTTCTCCATTTGATATGCCTGCTCCCGCTTTGCCTTCCATGATTTTAAGCTCCCTGAGGCCTCCCCAGAAGCTGAGCAGATGTTGGCACCATGCTTCCTGTAAAGCCTGCAGAACTGTGAGCCAATTAAACCTCTTTTCTTTATAAATTACCCAGTCCCAAGTATTTCTTCATAGCAATGCAAGAACAGCACAATATAGGAGATAAGAATACCTCCCTCAAAGGGATTTTTGTAAGTAAATGTTAAGTATGTAAAATGCTTCACAGTATCTGAAAGGAGTAAGCAGAATGTATTTGCTGTTAGTTACATCATTTCTTCCCAGCAGTAACTGTGATTAAAACTTCCTATTTGCCTCTTTTTGTCAGTGCTTTGATGACTGGCCTTGGGGAGGGTCTGAGAACTAAATGAACAGGGACAAATCTCTATCCTAGAGATTTCAAGAAACATTTCTTGACTGGCTGAACAAAGCAGTAGAGGTGGTGAATGAAACAGCCCAAATGCATGGTGGCGGGCACCTGTAATCCCAGCTATTTGGGAGGCTGAGGCAGGAGAATCGCTTAAACCTGGGAGGCAGAGGTTGCAGTGAGCTGAGATCACGCCATTCCACTTCAGCCTGGGCAACAAGAGCAAAACTCTGTCTAAAAAAAAAAAAGAAAAGAAAAGAAAAGAAAGAAACAGCTCAAATGGAGTATTTGATCACCCACAAGTCCACATCGGACTACATAGCATCAGACCACCTTCCTCCCAGTATAATGACCCATGTACTTCCTTTTCCCTTTCCCTCTCTTGTGATAGAATTTCCTTTATAACAAATCACAGGCAGCCCATCCCTGAGAGCATTGGCCAGAAAAGCAGCAGGCCTGGAAAACAAATAGCATGCTACAAATGCTCTACCCAGCAAGTGATGAGCTGAAGAACAGGAGGAAGTCAGTGAGCTGAAAAGGTGTTTTAATTGTTGCTTCTAGTCAGAGGGGCCTCTAGACAAAAGTCCAGTCCTCAGTTTCAATCATATCATACCAGCAAGACTAAAAGGAATCCCCTAAATAAATAAAACCGATTCCCATCCTGACACATACATGAACTGTTACACAGTTACAGCAACACTACAGAAGTGATCTGCAGACTTGTGCCAATCCACAAACTATTTGCTCTTTGTCCACGATAAACTACAGAAACTGAGAATAAGCATTTAGAAATTTTAATTGCAGTTTGATAGTAATTTTATGTGTTGAATCTGTAATAAAAATTTTGTTTGTATTTTGTCTTAATTTTTCTAGAAATTCATTCTTACTGCATTTTACAAAAGTATTGATCCATGGCAACTAGTCCTTCAGCACAGATAGCTTAAGCACTGTCACAAACCTGTAAATATCTACAAGTGTGAATAAATATCTTTCATAACTCAGCAGGAGGCTACCATATAGGCCCTAGCATGTCCCACTCCAAAACAAAAAATAGAATTAACACTACGGCATTTTTTTTTTTTTTGCATGTCACCTTAAAAGAGAAAAAAAAAGTCTAATTTTTCTATTAGAAATTTAGTAAAAAGCATTTTTTACTAGGGTAAATTCCAGTCCAAACTTTCAGACTGGAAGTGATCAGTGTCCGGAGGGTTTTACCGAAGTGTTTATGCAGACTATAGAGAAGATACTCTGAATTGTAAGGTATCATAGTGGGGAAAACCCTGAATCTGAGTCAGAAAACCTGGATTCAAATTCTGCTGTCTTTCTGGCCAATGCTCTCAGGGATGGGCTGCCTGGGACTTGGTGAAATTATCGCTTACTTAATATCAAAAGTTTTTAAACAAAGAACAAGAGGAAGTGGGTGAGCTGAAACAAAAACTTTTGATATTGGGTAAGTGATACTGTCACCAAGCCAGTTTCCGTAACTATAAAATGTGGAAAGTAAAATTGTCTACCCAATCTATATCATAAGAGTGTTGTGAAATTCAAGTGAGATGTCTGTGGAAAGTGCCTCCTAAAGAATAAAGTGCTTGGCTGGACACGGTGGCTCACGCCTGTAATCCCAGCACTTTGGGAGGTCGAGGCGGGTGGATCACAAGGTCAGGAGTTCGAGACCAGCCTGGCCAATATGGTGAAACCCCGTCTCTAGTAAAAATACAAAAAAAATTAGCCGGGTGTGGTGGCACGTGCCTGTAATCCCAGCTACTCAGGAGGCTGAGGCAGAATTGTTTGAATCCGGGAGGCGAAGGTTGCAGTGAGCTGAGATTGTGCCACTGCACTCCAGCCTGGGTGACAGAGTGAGACTCCGTCTCAAAAAAAATAAAAAATAAAGTGCAGTAGAAGTACACAATGGGGTAAATATTATGAGCTTTCAAAGAGTTGGTAGCCTCAAAGAAAATGGCCCCTGTGATATAGTAACAAAGTTGACCAGAATATTGACATTCTTCAAATATCCTGTTAATCAAAGATTTACCAAATTGGAAAATGCTGCCTTCATATCCTTCTCTGTGCAGAAAACACTCTTATTTTCTAATGAATTATGAAGTGTATTTGTTTCCATACCTGCCAGGCATCTAGCACCACGGTGGATACCACCAGGGAGGAAGCAGGAGAGCACACAGTGCCTGTCCTCACAGCTCACAGCTGCAGGGGCGGCCAGGGGCAGGCTCAAGGCAATATGTGACTTGGCAAGAACTAAAGGAAAACAATTCTGCCCTGTTCTCACTTGTACAGCTACTTGAAGACCCCCTCAAAAGGATACAAACTCATAAATGTACCGTTTCACTGCTGTACGCTAGGCAAAAGAAGACCAGAAAATCAGAATGTTTTTAGCTTTATTAAAGACATATTATAGTAGACAAACAAGTAGACAAACACATGCTCTATAAAATATACATTCTGATGTGTGACAAAATATAAACAGATACTAAGAAATGACTACACTGAACAATGACTTGGCTTGTATCTCTGTTTAGGTACATCTAGTATTAGGGCTGCTCAGACTAGTATTATCCAATAGGGGAAAAAAATAATAGTGGAAAGTAGAGGGTAGAAATAAGTCTCACCATTGTAAAGAGGCCACAGTAAACAGCAAAGAGACATTCCAAGAGTACTCGACCATCTGATGATCAATTTCTCTTTCAAGATAGTTACAGTTTGTAGATCACTTTACTCCTTTATCTGAAAACAGGCACAAGTCAAGCTGTTTCTTCACCTTCACCCTATTCCATCTTCACACACACACACACACACACACACACACACACACACACACAAAACCTACCTTACTACTGACAAAACCTTCAGATGATTCTTGGGTTTTCAGGTGGTGTTAAGTGCAGCTTGTAACATATCTCTTAGTTCCAAACTTGTTACTTTTGTCAATGAACCAGACAATTGTCCAAAAAAGAAAGAAAATCAAGGCTAACTGATGTTGGTTTAGACTGTACTCCAAACAAAAAAGTTTAAGGTAGAAAAAGGGGGAAAAAACATCTGCCAACTGTATGGGCAAAGAGATCACGTAATAGAAAAATGAAACATTACTTGCAGGTTGCCAAAAAAAGAATCTTAGCTCAATCTTCTAAGGTTCAACTGTCTTCACAATTACCTCTATAATCTGTATCAAGAAGCAAAGTAAGAAAAGAGGATGTGGCATAAAATGACAGCAAATTTACCTCTGTTATTCCTTTACACTTCTAGCATTTCTGGGGATATTAAAATGATTAAAAAAGGCCATGACACACTTGGGTAAAATATTGGTATAAAACTGAATGCCACAATCTCAACCCCATTCTAATTGGAGTCCCACAGATAAGAAGAAACAAGAATAAAAATTATCAAGAGGGCTGGGCACAGTGGCTCATGCCTGTAATCCCAGCACTTTGGGAGGCCAAGGTGGGTTGATCACTTGAGGTCAGGAGTTCAAGACCAGCCTAGGCAACACGGTGAAACCCCATCTCTACTAAAAATACAAAAATTAGCCGGGCATGGTGGTGGGCGTCTGTAATTAATTCCAGCTACTTGGGAGGCTGAGGCAGGAGAATCGCTTGAACCTGGGAGGCGGAGATTGCAGTGAGCTGAGACCGTGCCACTGCACTCCAGCCGGGGCAATAAGCGAGACTGTGTCTTAAAAAAATAAAAGTAATCGAGTAAAAAAGAGTTTTAATACATTATAGGCTTTTAAATTTGTTAGTATAGTAATACCATTTATGCCAGTAACTACTTATAGATTTCTTCAGAAGATTAAACCCAGAATTTTGTGTTTCATGTTCCCAGCTACGAACACAGGTCAGACCGCTTTTGTCAACCAAAGTCCAAAATTCTCTAGTTTCCTGAAGAGCTCTAAAATGAATACAAAGGACTTAGAAAGGACAAAGTTTTAAGACTATCAGATTGCTTCTGGGGATTTCCAATGATAAAAGTGAAAAAGACCTTAAAGGTCATCTTGCCCATATTCCATCTCAATGAAGAAATCTCTTAAACACTATTAACAGATGATGATTTAGCTTCTGTATGTACCTTTCCACCAAAAAGGCTGATTATTCCATTATCAGATAAATTTACTAAAGAGCCTACACAAAAATTTATTAGCAAGTATATAATACACCTCCCTGTGTATAACTCTGTCTTCTGGAATAGAATTCTTATTTTTCATGATGACCCTTTAAGTAGTTAAAGACTTTTAACACATCTCTTTTCATAGGGAAATGGGTAACAGAATCTAAATTGCTTGACATCTTAACTTCCTTTTACAACCTCACAATGGGCAATGTGAAGACAGCTGTTTTTAAACATGAAAGTTATTCTGAGTTGGCACTTTAGGGGAGCTTGGACATTGGAATGGGTTCCTGCTATTTTTTTCAGGAGAGTAGCTTGTATACGAGGGAAAGTACTGCGGGGTGCGGTGGCTCATGCCTATAATCCCTGCACTTTGGGAGGCCTAAGTGGGGAGATTGCTTGAGCCCAGGAGTTTGTGATCAGCCTGGGCAACAAGGTGAAACTCCATCTCTACAAAAAATACAAAAATTAGCCGGGTGTGGTGGCACAGCTACTCAGGTGGTTGAGGTGGGAGGATCACTTGGGCTTGAGATATCAAGGCTGCAGTGACGACAGTGAGCCACGTTCACACCATTGCACTCCAGCCTGGCTGACAGGGTGAAACCCTGTCTCAAAAAAAAAAGTACAAGTTGCGGAGTGACAGAAAGCCAATGGCATAAGTGTAGATCCTGTACCAGTAGGTCATGGAGTTCAAGGAATACTGTCTTTTCTTCCAGGTGGAAGTGGAGAATCAGCCTGAAAGGGGACAAACAAATCAAGAGAATGTATGTATTCCTCCTGAAAGTGGTCATTAGGGGGCAGTGGGGAAAGGAGCATTTCAGTTTGCAACATTCCTGATTAGCATTAGGCAGACATGATTCTGCTGGAAGAAATACTCATGGGACACTAATCCTACTTAGAGGGTTAACATATTGCTTGATCAGAAACATATGCAATAATGAAAAGTTTCAGGAATTCCTTTTCCTAGGGGTGTGTGTGTGTGTGTGTGTTTATTTAAAGACCAGAGATAGGCTCTTCACATTTAAATAGATTGCTGACTAGTTATTTAGGCAAGCTAGGAATATCTAAGGACATCTCAACCATCTGAGTTGACACAATGGAAAATGACCTGGCTCTTTAGGAGACCAGACTCTGACAGCACTGTCAGTAGAAGGACCACTGCTAGAGCAGAGAGGCAGTACTCCTACACGGGTTTTTTTTTTTTTTTTTTTGAGACGGAGTCTCACTCTGTCACCAGGCTGGAGTGCAGTGGTGCAATCTCGGCTCACTGCAACCTCTGCCTCCCAGGTTCAAGTGATTCTCCTGCCTTAGCCTCCCGAGCAGCTAGGACTACAGGCGCGCACCACCACGCCCAGCTAATTTTTGTATTTTTAGTAGAGGTGGAATTTCACCATGTTGGCCAGGATGGTCTCGATCTCTTGATCCATCCACCTCGGCCTCCCAAAGTGCTGGGATTACAGGCGTGAGCCACCGTGACCGGCCTCCTACATGATGTTTTCTAGAGCACTGGCTCACAGGCTATCTTCTGCTCTCTCACACATGACGGGTGATGCTCATTGGCACAGTCTCTGGCAGCCTAGCCCTAATTCCACCTATTCCATTCAGGAAATCTATCAGAATTTGAGCGAGAGTAATATAATTATAGGGATAACTTCGAATACATTAGAAAGGTGAGTCACAAACTAGTTACAAATTAGTTGTGGTATACCTGTCAACTCATTCTGATATTCTAGTGTGCTATAAAACCAGCATTCAGACATTCTGCTCTAGAGAGCAATGGGTGGTTTTTCAACTGAGTCAAGATTCTTTGTTTACTAATACTGTTTAGAAGCAGAATTTTTTTCTCCTAATGAGTATTTCTTAGACCATTACTCCTGCTATAAAGGAAATACATCTGGCTCAAGTCAGAATGAGCAGCATCACTCTTGTTCTACTCGAACAAATGTCACCAAAGCAGCTTTTTATTAAAGTAGCATAATCCTCCTTAGCTCCTCGAGGGAATTACAGATTCATAGAATGTTACAGCTGGAAAGGGCTTTACAGCATCTAGAAAAATGTCCTCATTTCATAAATGAGAAAATCTAGCCTAGAGAAGTAAAAAGACTCACCCTTGATTACAAAGCCAGTAATAAGCAGACTCAGGAAGCGTACAAGGTCTTAATGAGTCAGTCTAGTACAAACTACACCATAATCTAGTAAGAAAGGAAGAAGAGGGATCGCAGATTGAAGGGATAGGAAATTGTGATCTTTAGGAAGTTCAAAGTGAAAATGATCAGAGGCTGACATAGTAAAGACATAAAAAGGTGTGGCAGTACTAAACAGCTCAAGAAGTGCTGCTGCCCATGGGAGAACACTTAGGATTGAAAATAAGTATGAATAAATGCTCAACTTTCTGGCAAAAAGTTGAGAAATTATGTGAGTTTGGAACCCTTGAACCAGGACTTAAAAATAGATATTTTTATTTAAGTGGCTGAAATTATCTAGTGAGTAATATTGGATTTAGAAGAGAGAACTGGACAGGAAGTGTAAGGAAATCTGAAAGCACAAAGAAAGAATTACATTGCATTAGAGTGTGAAGTTATTTACCTAAAGCTCTTTGGTATCAGAAATTCAAGAAAATTTTTGGCTTAATCACTTGTATAAAATAAGGACCGGCCGGGCTCGGTGGCTCACGCCTGTAATCCCAGCACTCTAGGAGGCCGAGGCGGGTGGATCACCTGAGGTCAGGAGTTCGAGGCCAGCCTGACCAACATGGAGAAACCCCGTCTCTACTAAAAATACAAATAAAATTAGCCGGGCATGGTGGTGCATGCCTGTAATCCCAGGTACTTGGGAGGCTGAGGCAGAAGAAGGGCTTGAACTCGGGAGGCAGAGGTTGCAGTGAGCCGAGATTGTGCCACTGCACTCCAGTCTGGGTGACAGAGCGAGACTCCGTCTCAAAAAAAAAAAAATAAGGACCACTACAAGGCTTTACAGTATAAGAATTTTGGGGCCAGGCAAGTGGCTCATGCCTGTAATCCCAGCACTTTGGGAGGCCAAGGCAAGCAGATCACCTGAGGTCAGGAGTTCAAGACCAGCCTGGCCAACATGGTGAAACCCCATCTCTACTAAAAATATCAAAAAAAAAAAAAAAAAAAAAGCTGGAAATGGTGGTGTGCCTGTAATCCCAGCTACTTGGGAGGCTGAGGCAAGAGAATTGCTTGAACCTGGGAGGCGGAGGTTGCAGTAAGCCAAGATCATGCCACTGCGCTCCAGCCTGGGTGACCGAGAGGGACTCCATCTCAAATAATAATAAAGAAAAAAGAATGTTTGCATGTTCTTCTACTCCCAAGAGCACTCTTCCCTTCTTAAGATATACTGCACATTGGTAAAAGATTAAAAACAAAACAAACTTGGAAAAGAAGCAATCTTTGGTTTCCTGGTCAATGAAGAACTTTGCTGAAAGAAGATATTCCCATTCAGAGAAAGCACAAAGTGAACACAACTAGAAACAACTGAAACTCAGTCTGGTATTTCAATACTGTGTCATAACAGCCAGACAACTTTCCAGCTGTTCTTCAAGACAGAAAACTCAGATTCTGACAATGAAGAAGATGGATGTGGCCCAGTGCAGAAGTCGGATGGACAAATGGTTCCAGAAGCTTTCTACTTGCAAATAACCTGAGTGATGAAGATTACAGGCTTATGAGTGATAACAATTTGCTAGGCACTATAGGTGAAGTACAGAAGAGTTGCTGAGAAGGTTACAACAAATTAAAGAGGATTCCCCACAAGAATCAGGTGAAAACAGAGGTGGATGACGTCTAGCACTAGTAATGGGTCTGTAATAAAGTGGCTTACCTCTTTTGGGCAAACTGAAAATATGACAGGAAGTAAGCAAAGAGAAAACCAAGCTTGGACAGCAGTGAGCCAGAGTAATCCATATAGTGGTAATTTCAGATTCAATGTAGGGATCAATTTTATCCTTAATAATGGAAGGCTGAATACAGAAAATGAATATGCATCATCTGCAAGATTTCCCAGGGGAGAAAATAGGGAAAACAGAGGAAAGTGGAAAATCCACAATCTGAGTCAACATTTGCAAGGCCACCTAGGTCAGGTACAAAGTGCGACAGAAGTATTAATGAAAGTTCCACTTACCAGAGGTCAGAGAAGACTGAGAAGCAGGAGCCCAGACCAATGGAGAACCAGAGCGAGAAATAAAAGTAGGTTCCCTCCAAATTCATGGTGAGAAATTTCACAAATATTTCATGATAATATACATCTCAGACTTTTGAATGACCCCTGGTAAATGAGACAGAGATTTTCTAGAACTCAGCAACATGAGACATTGAGAGAGCAAATAACTGACCCATAGTTGCAAAGTGGCATGTTTTTGTAGCTTTTGGAACATGGAATGCCTTTCCAGGAAAACGTTCTCCAGACACAATCAGAAATGGTGAATCTGGGGCACTGAGACTGAGAAATCCAGTCATAGTCCTGATTGTGATAGTAGGAAGAGTTCATCATGGGGAATATTTGCCAAGATATAGCACACCTAATAGAACCCAGTTAACATCTCCAACACCAAACAACAGTCACTTTAGAAAGTGAACAAAGAGAACTCAGAAATAATATTTTCACATTCTGAGCAAGCAGGTGTGAGCACCTATTTCACTACCAAAAGAATTCCTGTTCACAGAATTTCAAATACTCATTTAAATAATACACCTGTTGCAACTCAAAGAGCATTAAAGCAGACAATGACAAGATTTGCAGACTCAAATATGGACAGTGATAGTGATTTGTATCCTAGCGGCTCACCCCAGTCAGAACATGGCAAGAGCAAAGTCACAGAATGAAAGAGATGGTTCTGATATCAGCAACTGTTCTGGCTCCAATTCATGTCACAGTACTGCTTATGAGTCTGACTCAAGTTCTGCAATCTTTAAATCAGCCTCCAGTTTTTGAAGCGTTCATTATACATAAAGTAACAACCCGATCTAACTCATTGGTTCCTGAAGGAATGACTGAACCTTCCTCAATCAATTTCTGTTTCAGTAAAAAAAAAGAGGGAAGGAGGGAGAGGGGGAGGAAATGAAAGGAATTTCCAAACAAGTTTTCCTCTAGGTGCATACAGCTGTGACAGGACTGCCAGGCTCTGAAAGAACAAGCTTTTTATGTTAGAAAGGGAGTATCACCTAGCACTTTTAAACAGATGGCAAATGACCAGAAGTATGAACCTCTAGGCATGAAGAAGGCGGTTAATTACACCAAGACTGTGTTTATGTGTATACAATCACTAAGTAGCTGCCTCTATAGATACACTTCTTAACAAGTAAGTTTTTAAAACTTTTTATTTATTTATTTTACTTTTGAGCCAGGGCCTCACTCTGTCACCCAGGCTGGGATGCAGTGGCTTCACACAGCTCACTGCAGCCTTGATTTCCCGGGCTCAAGTGACCCTCCCACCTCAGCCTCCCAAGTAGCTAGGACTACAGCAGCATGCCACAATGTCCACCTATTTTTTTAATTTATTTTTTTGCAGACACAGGGTCTCACCATGTTGCCCAGCCTGGTCTCAAATTCCTGGCCTCAAGCAATCCTCCCACCTTAGCCTCTCAAAATGCTGGGATTACAGGTGTGAGCCACAGTTTTTATACTTTAAATAAAATTTTTAGATCTCACTAAATTGAGTTATTTAAAATCTGTGATCTGAGAAGCTACTTGTCAATATTATAACTGGATATTACATATAATTTTGGCATATCAAAAATATTTACATTGCAGCCAACACATATGGTCAATGAATACAAAAATTATTTATAAATGCACATATATTTACAATGACATCCCTGGGCAATAGGGACAAAAAAAAAAATTCACAAGAATACAAAAATCTTTGACCTGGTACCAGTTGGTCAAGCCTGGGATTCTTGCCAAAGACCTTGAATATCAAAGCCCCAGTCTCAACTATCTGCCTGAAACCACTGAAGAATCCCAGGCACACTTCCCAGAAGGCTCCAAAGTTATTTTTGCTCCTTGGAAAGCAAAGTAGAACATCGAAGTAGTGATGTTTTCTCAGGACCATTCTGAAGACTAGGGCAATCCAGCATGTTAAGCAGCAATGTGACTCTTCCTGACAAGCAGATGCACACCAGGGCACATCCCCATGGAAGCATCAGGAAGCACATTTGCCCCGTATCTTCCCTCTGCCGGTGCTGCACATTTTTGATGAGCTGTACCCATTTCTGTCAGCTGTTGCCATTTCTTCATCAGGTATAAGACCAAACAACGCATGGCCCACCTTGGTGCGGTCAGATGCAATCATAAAGAAAGAGTAAAGCAAATGCTGACTTCGGAGTTTCTTCTGAGCTCTGAGGTAGTAAATGCAAAATTAATTAATAAGTCTCTGCCCAGATTTCATCCTGAAGTGAGTTTCATGTGCCCTCACTACCATCTTGAATGTTCCGAGTCCTACTAAAATCAAAAGCATGATCCTGTAACCTGTGGCAGGACATGGAAGAAGCAGAACAGTCTGGCTCTCTCCCTGCCAGGCCCTCATTTTGATGAAGTTGTGGTGACTCATGGACTGGCTGCTGGGAAAAAGGAGGATGAGGCAGGCCTAGTTCTCTGTTTATGTTCCACACGGGCCGCTGCAATGTTTCTGAGAATGAAAGACAAGAATTATCAGTAGTGACTGGTAAAACTTAATATCCTTTTAGCCAAATCCTCAAAGAAATAAAGATGTTCAATATTCCTGAATAGGGACACTGAAATCACACACACACACACACACACACACACACACACAAAAACCACCACCAGAACATGGTCTTTCAAATCCCTCTACTTCACAAACCTAACCAATTATTTACTGAGATCATACTATATATCGTCTACTGTCACCTGTTATTTTAGCGATTCTGTTGCTACAAAATTTTTTATTTTATTTATTTATTTTTTTGAGATGGAGTTTCGCTCTTGTTGCCCGGGCTGGAGTGCAATGGCGTCATCTCGGCTCACCGCAACCTCCGCCTCCCGGGTTCACACAATTCTACTGCGTCAGCCTCCCAAGTAGCTGGGATTACAGGCATGTGCCACCATGCCCAGCTAATTTTGTATATTTAGTAGAGACAGGAGTTTCACCATGTTGGCCAGGCTAGTTTGAACTCCCAACCTCAGGTGATCCGCCTGCTTCAGCCTCCCAAAGTGCTGGGATTACAGGCGTGAGCCACCGTGCCCGGCCACAAAATTTTTAAATAAAACTCTTTAGACACATGGAAAAGAACTAAAAGACAAAATGGTATCCATATTGTAATGAAAGTTTCATGATAGGTAATAATCATTGATTCAGTGCAGCCATTATATCTTTAAATATGTCACAAAATTGTTTTAAAAATAAACAGCCATTCCCTTCCAACTCCTAGCATGTCAACAATTCTAACAACAAATGATAGTCAAAAGGAGCTGTATTAAATCAGATTATCTGCACACTGGTTTCAAATATGCATTTCTCATTCTTCTTTAATTACAATGGTGAACTATTTTCCCAAAGACTGTTTACTGAAAGTTATATTAACTTCATAGGGTACATTTTAGAAAAAGCTAGCCAAACATTATAAAAACAAATACCCAGAAATAAAAATAAAATCCATGTGAAAAGTAAGCTAGAGCAGGGTTTCTCAAGTTTTAATTAATATGCACACAAATAACTTGAGGATCTTGTTAAAATGTAGACTCTGATTTGCTAGATCTGCTCTGGGGTCATTACTCTGCATTTCTAACAAGCTCTTAGGTAACGGTGATGCTGATAGTCAACAGACCAGACTTCGAGTAAGAAGAAGCTAGGATACCCCACATAAAAAATCGCCAATGGGCCGAAGCACTCTCATTTGCTGATTTCCTTACTTACGGACCAGATTAAAAATGAAGGCATCCCCAAAGTTACAAAAAAGATGGGACTACATTTCTGGTCCTTCTTAAACCCTTTTTGTATTAACTCTTCTAAGACATCCAACAGTAAAAGTGGATTTACTGTTGATGCATTTCTTTCATGAACACTTAATGTAAAAATAAGAGATTAACTTCAGTAATAGTGCTTTCCTCTGACCTGTACCTCTTTAGAAGTCTTTGATCTCTTAAGAACAATAGAGGCTGGGTGCAGTGGCTCATGCCTGTAATCCCAACACTTTGGGAGGCTGAGGTGGGTGGATCACCTGAGGTCAGGAGTTTGAGACCAGCCTGGCCAACATGGTGAAACCCTGTCTCCACTAAAAAAAATACAAAAAATTAGCCAAGCATGGTGGTTGGCACCTGTAATCCCAGCTACTCAGGAGGCTGAGGCAGGAGACTCGCTTGAACCCGGAAAGCGGAGGTTGCAGTGAGCCGAGATCGTGCCACTGCACTCCAGCCTGGGCGACAGAGCGAGACTCTGTATCTCAAAAAAAAAAAAAAAAAAAAAAAGGTGAGCCTAACTCAGATACTTGCAGGGATGGTTCTGGCAGGAGTAAATGATCTAATGTGGGACATGAAGTAGTAAATGCAAAATTAATTAATAAGTCTCTGCCCAGATTTCATCCTGAAGAGTTTCATGTGCCCTCACTACCATCTTGAATGTTCCAAGTCCTACTAAAATTAAAATCAAAAGCATGATCCTGTAACCTGTGGGACATAATCTAACATGGGACATTAGATTATTCACTCCTGCCAGAACCATCCCCGGGAGTATCACAGTATACTTTGCCTTCCTCTGTAAACCTGTAGTTCTCACCTCCTACCCTGTCTTTTTTTTTTTTTGAGACAGAGTCTCACCCTGATGTCTAGGCTGGAGTGCAATCACTCAATCTCAGCTCACTGCAAGCTCCGCCTCCTGGGTTCAAGTGATTCTCCTGCCTCAGCCTCCCAAGTAGCTGGGATTACAGGCGCCCACCACCACGCCCAGCTAATTTTTAATTTTTTTAGAAGAGATGGGGTTTCACCATGTTGGTCAGGCTGGTCTCGAACTCCTGACCTCATGATCCACCCGTGTCAGCCTCCCAAAGTGCTGGGATTACAGGCGTGAGCCACCATGCCCAGCCTGACCTCCTACCCTATTCCACTGCTCTTCCATGTCAGGCTGACAGAAGGATGAAAGCTGATGAAAAGCTTGGATGGACAGGAAGACACACATGCTCAGCATTACTCTTCATGATTTAGAAAGAGTTTTGTTTCAAATGCCAAGTAGGTTATCAAATGCCTAATCTATACAATATAATGTATATTTCTTTTCCTGGGCCATGTGAGACAGGGGACACAAGCCCAAAACTGCGTTCTCACTTATGACCTTGATCATACCTCATAGAAAAAAACACCCGCCAAGTGAAGCTGAAATTAAATGTTTACCTGCTAAAACAGCAACAAAACAAAACATTTAAAACTCTTCTCAGCCAGGCATGGTGGCTCACGCCTGTAATCCCAGCACTTTGGGAGGCCAAGGCAGGCAGATCACGAGGTCAGCAGTTCGAGACCAGCCTGGACAACATGGTGAAACCCCATCTTATAAAGATACAAAAAATTAGCCGGTTGTGGTTGCACATGCCTGTAATCCCAGCTACTCAGGAGGCTGAGGCAGGAAAATCGCTTGAACCTGGGAGGCAGAGGTTGCAGTGAGTTGAGATCACGCCACTGGACTCCAGCCTGGGCAACAGGGCTAGACTCCATCTCAAATAAAAAAAAAAAAACTTCTCAGTAGGCCGGGCACAGTGGCTCATGCCTGTAATCCCAGCACTTTGGGAGGCCAAGGTGGGTGGCTCACCTGAGGTCGGGAGTTTGAGACCAGCCTGACCAACATGGAGAAACCCCATCTCTACTAAAAATAGAAAATCAGCTGGGCATGGTGGCACATGCCTGTAATCCCAGCTACTCAGGAGGCTGAGGCAGGAGAATTGCTTGAACCCGGGAGGCGGAGGTCCTGGTAAGCCGAGATGGCATCATTGCACTCCAGCTTGGGAAACAAGAGCGAACCTCCATTTCCCAAAAAAAAAAAAAAAAAAAATCTTCTCAGTAAAAACCATCACCAAATTATGCCCAAATTTTATTATTACTATTTTTTGGAGACAGAGTCTCACTCTGTTGCCCAGGCTGGAGTGCAGTGGCACGATCTCAGCTCACTGCAACCTCCATCTCGAGCTTAAGTGATTCTCGTGCCTCAGCTTCCCGAGTAGGTGGGACTACAGGCATGCACCACCATGTTAGGCTAATTTTTGTATTTTTAGTGGAGACAGGGTTTCCCTATGTTGGCCAGGCTGGTCTCAAACTCCTGACCTCAAATGATCCACCTGCTTTGGCCTCCGAAAGTGCTAAGATTACAGGCGTGAGCCACTGTGCCCGGCCCCCCATATTTTATTCTTTTATTTAAATAAAGATCGGAGAAAAATTAATACCCTATATGATACCGGGTGCGGTGGCTCACACCTGTAATCTCAGCACTTTGGGAGGCCAAGGCAGGCAATCACATGAGGTCAGGAGTTCATGACCAGCCTGGCCAACATGGTTAAACCCCACCTCTACTAAAAATACAAAAATTAGCTGGGTGTGGTGGTGCACGCCTGTAGTCCCAGCTTCTTGGGAGGCTGAGGCATGAGAATTGCTTGAACCAGGGAGGCAGAGGTTGGCATGAGCCAAGATTGCACCACTACATTCCAACCTGGATGACACAGTGATACTCTGTCTCAAATAAATAAATAAATAGCCTGTATGAAACCTTTTAAAAGCTTTTTGTGTATGGCCTCTGAATTTTCAGTAGTGTGATCCTGTTACCCCCACAAAAGTTGTTTCCATCCTATAGATGAAGACTTCTTTGTAACTCTAGTATGCAGAAATCTCTGGCTATAGTTTATACCATTTAACAATGGCCAGTTACTCCTATATACCCATCTGCTTGCTTCCTGTCAAATGAGAGCACTACCTATATGATAGAAGGAAGAGTCAATTAGACGAAAGTAAAAACAAAATAACAACAAAAATACATCCCTTACCACCGCTCATCTGTGTGGAGGGAAGTTTCTTCTCACTTATCCTCTCATGGTTGGTGGGAAAGGCAGATGGCTCTCTGTTGGCTGACGGTATCAGGCTCTCTAGGGCAGTAGTATCCTGGGGAGGATGTACTAAATATGTCTCTTTAGGCATTTGGACCATGAGGCTGGACAGTGTCTGATCAAGAACGTCCTCCTCAGCAATATAGGTGTATGGACAGTATTCTCGGGTCCTGGAGTAGATGTTGGCATTGTCATAACAATCTGAGCAAATCACCCGGGTACCAGTGCCACCTAATAACAAGAAAAAGAATCTAAATATCTTTCTGTTAAGGAATTATTTTTTGCCAATCGTCAGTTTTCTTCAAAAGTTGTCATCATCATTGCTAGCATGTATTGAGCACTTACTTTATAAAGTAGGTGAAGTTTCAAGCCATTTCTGTGAATTGATTCATTAATCCTCACAACATCCCTATGAGGTAGGTATTATTATTATCCCCACTTTACAGATAGGGTAAACTAAAGCACAGAGAAGTTAAGTAACTTAACCAAAGTCATACCGCTACCGGGTGCGGTGGCTCACGCCTGTAATCCCAGCACTTTGGGAGGCCGAGGCGGGCAGATCACAAGGTAAGGAGATCTAGACCATCCTGGCTAACACGGTGAAACCCCATCTCTACTAAAAATACAAAAAATTAGCCAGGCGTGGTGGCGTGCACCGGTAGTCCCAGCTACTCGGGAGGCTGAGGCAGGAAGATGGCGTGAACCCGGGAGGCGGAGCTTGCAGTGAGCCGAGATCACGCCACTGCACTCCAGCCTGGGCGACACAGCGAGACTCTGTCTCCAAAAAAAAAAAAACAAAGTCATACTGCCAGAGTGAGGAGCAGAAACAGCCATTCTGGCTCCAGAGCCCATGCTCTTGAAAACTACACTGAACCATCTCTGTCTATTGTGGATAGACAGATCATGCCCAAATCAAGGGAGCAAGATAAGGCTGGTACTGTGCTACAAGACACATGCTTGGCTTAAGCAAACTAAGTCAGAGAATAAGGAGTTATGATGACTTCACTTCATGAAAAACCATGTTACTTTAATGAGTCAAGAGGTTAAGTAACACCAATTGCTACAAGCATCCCTAGGGAAAGCTTCTGACAATGAGAAGTCCTGCCTGACAAGTACATGGTTGACAGAAGTATAGGTTTAACAATGAACTCCCTGGATTATTATGTGCTTTGAAAACTGAATGATGAAGGAGAGAAGAGAGAGTGAGAAATAAAGAGTGAGTTACTTATTCAAAATCATGCAACAGGCCAGGAGCAGTGGCTCATGCCTGTAAGCCCAGCACTTGGGGAGGCCGAGGCAGGTGGATCACCTGAGGTCCGAAGTTTGAGACCAGCCTGGCCAATATGGTGAAACCCCATCTCTACTAAAAATACAAAATAAGCCGGGCATGGTGACAGGTGCCTGTAATCCCAGCTACTCAGGAGGCTGAGGCAGGAGAATCGCTTGAACCGGGGAGGCAAAGGTTACAGTGAGCTGAGATGGTGCCATTGCACTCCAGCCTGGGTGACAAGAATGAAACTCTGTCTCAAAAAAACCAAAAAACAAACAAAAAAAAATCATGCAACAGAATGTTAGAATTGGAAGAGAGTGAAAAGTAATTTAGTTTAACCCAGAAAGCAGTGTTATTTCCCACATACTTCAAAGAACAGACTTTTAAGTATTCTTTTAAAAGTCAGAAATGCCAGCCAGGTGCGGTGGCTCATGCCTGTAATCCCAGCACTTTGGGAGGCTGAGGCAGGCAGATCACAAGGTCAGCAGTTCAAGACCAGCCTGACCAACATGGTGAAACCCGTCTCTACTAAAAATACAAAAATTAGCCGGGTATGGTGGCACGCACCTGTAATCCCAGCTACTTAGGAGGCTGAGGCAGAGGAATCGCTTGAACCTGGGAGGTGGAGGTTGCAGTGAGCTGAGATCGTGCCACTGCACTCCAGCCTGGGTAACAGAATGAGACGCTTTCTCAAAAACAAAAAAAAGAGTCAGAACTACTATATTTTTCATGAAAAGCCAAAATCCAATTTATCAATTAGATAAAGTTCTGTTGACACCCAGCCTAAAAAAGTCTCTGAAGAAATGGAATAAATCTTCCATTTGTATAGTATTTGAAGTACCACACAGATTTGCTGAAAAGATCTGTGAGAATCTTGGGGGAAGTGCTTTACAAATTATTGTCTCTTTATTTAAAAATTAGAAAAGTAAAGCTCAGATCTTAAGTAACTAGCTTCATGGTCACAGAGCTGGAAAAAGGAAGAAGTATCAATTAAACCCAATTCTTCTGTCCCTTAATTCATTCAGTTCTGTCACTCCCTATGGGAGCGAGGCTATGAAAAGGGTGGAGGGAGAAGAACTCTGTGTATGGGTACGCATCTCTACGTGTTGGGATGTCAGGTTCATTTAATTAGGGAACTCTTTACATCTCTCTGATGTTCTCCAGTATATGCTGAGAACCATTGCTACCATTTGTTGATTTCTTTTAGAGGTGGGGAGTCTTGCTATGTTGTCCAGGCTAGAGTACAGTGGCTATTCATAGGTGCACTCACAGCACAATACAGCCTCGAACTCCTGGCCTCAAGTAATCCTGCTTCAGCCTCGTGGGTAGATGGGACTACAGGCATGCCACCATGCCTGGCTCCTAGCTACCCTTTAAACTTTACTGAATGTCTACCTGTCAGGAAGAGAAACCAGCCTCCCTTGGATGTGGTCTGAAGGATGCCCACGCCTGAAAAGGGTAAGAAAGAGATACCTGAAAAAAGTTTGCAGAATATCCCTTTCCTATAATTACACAAGTTTGGGAGCCTCTGCTGTGTACTCTGATCTCTTGTTTAATGTGTTTCTCCACTCTGTAAGATGATTTTCATATCCTTTTAAGACTTTAGTCAATTTTCATCCTATTTTGCATGTGGCTAAATGCTTTCATTAGGTATCTTACTTTAAAATATTGCTTCAGATTAATGGAGAAACTACACACTGAAAAGTAAACTCAATAGAATAGGCTGAAATTGTAACCATAAACAACAGAGTCATTACCGTCAGTGCCTTTGTGTATATATCCATTGGCAGGAGGCATAAGTTGCTGATGACTGCCTGCCTCAGAGTTGCTGTAGCCTTCCTGTGGCTCAGACAGCGTTCCTTGGGAAGACAAGTAGCTGGGAATGTCTGCAGGCAGATTGAGCTCCTCTGTAAAAGAGACATTTTTAACTCTCAAAGGTAGGCAGTTGAAGCCAACACTCAGAAGACTATTTTGCAAATGTGTTCCACTTTGATACTATTAGCAAGAAAAACTGTACGTACCTAGGACCGCAACAGCTCTTGGTACTTCCCCTAAAACTATTTCTCACTAGAATTCTTCTCAAAGCTTCACTTTAAAAGTTTCATTGAAAGAAACAAAACCTAAAGGTTGAAATCTTATCTACTGCCACACTTTCATAATCTATCTGCCTAGATTTCTTTTCTTGCAGGATTCCAGGGTGAGAGGTGTAAAAGACTGACCTCAATGATCCAGTTTGATATTCAAGGGAAAAAAAGAGACTGATCTCAATCACAAGGGCTCCACTCTTCCTTACAGCAAAATTATGATGAAAAGGAGCCTTAGACATTAAAAAGAATGCATCTGTAATGCGTTTTTAGAAGTAAAGTTTGGCCGGGCGTGGTGGCTCACGCTTGTAATCCCAGCCCTCTGGGAGGCCAAGGTGGGTGGATCACGAGGTCAAAAGATTGAGACCATCCTGTTCAACATGGTGAAACCCCGTCTCAACTAAAAATACAAAAATTAGCTGGGCATGGTGGCACACGCCTGTAGTCCCAGCTACTCGGGAGGCTGAGTCAGGAGAATCGCTTGAACCCGGGAAGTGGAAGTTGCATTGAGCCAAGATCATGCCGCTGCACTCCAGCCTGGCAACAGAGCGAGACTCTATCTCAAAAAAAAAAAAAAAAATTTACAAATTCTTAAAATTGGTCAGACGCAGTGGCTCATGCCTGTAATCCCAGCACTTTGAGAGGCCAAGGTGGACAAATTGCTAGAGCCCAGGAGTTTGAGACCAGCTTGGGCAACATGGCAAAACCCGACTCTACTAAAAATATAAAAACTTAGGCGCGGTGGCACATGCCTATAGTCCCCGCTTCTCAGAAGGCCGAGATGGGAGAATCACCTGAGCCTGGGAAGTCAACGCTGCAGTGAGCCATGAATGTACCGATACACTCTGACCTGGGCATTACAGTAACACCCTATCTCAAATAAACAAAATTCTTTCCTCAAAGAGGTTCTGTTATGAACCTATTCCTCAAAGAGGTTCTGTTATATCAAAGAAGTTGAACATTTTAACAACAAAAACTCCCTTCTATCACATATCAGGTAATGTATCACAGCTCTTCAGTTTTTTGAGGGGGAAGATGAGGTCTTGCTATGTTGCCCAGGTGGGCCTTGAACTCCTGGGCTCAAGCAGTCCTCCCACCTCATCCTCCTGAGTAGCTGGGAGTACAGGCATGTGCTACTATGACCAGCTCTCAGTTTTTTATATTGTACAATTAATCCTATACTACATTCTTGACTGAAGTACAAGCCATAGGTGTCATGTGGGTACTACTTACCTGTGTTTGTGATACTATAGTCTTCATTTTTCCTTCTCATGTGGTAAATAACAATGACCCAGATCAAAGAAGTGCCAACAACACAGCAGACCACAACAATGATGACAATGCCAACTGTGGTCCAGCCATCATCTTCATGCCCAATGCTACTCTGGGAAGAGTCACAATTGGGGGATGAAATGACATTTAGGTAAATGTGGCCACGTTCTGTCCCAAGGGTGTTAGACATAATGCAGGTATATTTCCCAGCATCTTCTAGCCCGGCATCTACAATGATGAGAAGCTGATTGGCTGCAGCAAAGAAATGTCGTTCTGTCACCAGCAAAGGCCCATCATCTTTAGTCCAGTTGAGACGAGGGGCAGGACTCCCTCCAGCTATGCACTGTAACACCGCAGTTTCACCTCGTGTTACTGTCTTATCCTCCAGGGGTCTAATAAATGAGGGTGTCTCTAACAGGAAAACATTAAAAAAAAAAAAAATGAAAAGTTAGGCAATTTTATTCCCTAATTTCTACTGAATTAGACCAATGGGGGTATAATAAAATGAGTAATTTTATATACTCATGGGAGGATTAGAAGTTAATGTTTCAGAACAAAATCCTGAAAAAAGCCTCAATCTTTTCTCGATAATTCCAGCTTAGGCAAGCTATCCTAAGAAAGAAGTTCAGGGCAGCTGCAATAGCTGGAGGGGGTGAGCAGCGGTGACCCATTAAAAAAGATTAAAAATAACTTAAAAAAAAAGAAATTCAAAGATTTATACGCAAAGATGTTTACTACAAAATGTGTAACTTTAAAGAATAAAGAAAAACATTTTTAAATCTAGCAGAAAAATGATTAAGTAAATTATAGTCACATGATCTTTTACAAAGACTTTAATAACAAGGCAACTTGTGGTACAATATTAAATGAAAAAAATGTAGGTATATTTGACTACATAAAAGTGAGAGGGGAAAGTCTAGAATATGCTAAAATCCTTAAGTATTTGAGTGACTTTCCTCCCCTTTTCCTAATTTTCTGTATATCTTAACATGTTAAAACAATAAATGACTTATTTTTCTAAGGCTGAGGCAGGCGGATCATGAGGTCAGGAGTTCGAGACCAGCCTGACCAACATGGTGAAACCCCGTCTCTAAAAAAAATACAAAAATTAGCTGGGCGCAGTGGTACATGCCTGTAGTACCAGCTACTCAGGAGGCTGAGGCAGGAGAATCACTTGAACCCGGGAAGTGGAGGTTGCTCTGAGCCGAGATTGCGCCACTGCATTCCAGCCTGGGCAACAGAATGAGACTCCGTCTCAAAATAAATAAATAAATAAATAAATAAATAAATAAATAAATAAATAAATAAATGACTTCTTATTTTTCTGGTTATACAAGTAAACAATACAAACCAACAAACTTAAAAAAAATAATAATAATAACTGACATATAGGAAAATAGAGAACTGGAAAGTAGAATTTACCCTGGATTTGAGTTCCACGAAGAAAAGTATTGTAATAAGGAAGAAAAAACAAAACAAACAAACAACAACAACAAAAAAAACCCAGGCCAGCAGGGGAAAATTTTTAGGAAAAAAGGCATTTTACCAGAAATAGGGTTAAGAAGAACACACTGAAAAGGAAAGCAGAAACTCTAACCAGAAAACACATCTTTTTTTTTTTTTTTTGTATTAAATTTTTTTTGAAAATGAACTAGGAGCAAACAGTTAAATAGTCTTAGGTTCCTATCAAGCAATAAGTGAAGCAGCATCAAATGGCTGGGATACTCCTAAAAGAACAGTGGAACTCTCAATGCAAACTCAGTGAATAGTAAACACACCTACATGAAACAGAAACCTTACAGAGAGGGACTTAAAAAGATAAGCTGATAAAGGAATTTGAACTTTCAATTATTGTGACAAGGATGCCTACCTAATTTTGCCCTATGTATTTTCCCACATTTCAGTTATCTGACCCACTAATTCCTAGACTGACATAACCTTGCATAAAATTGTGAAATAAGATAAAGATCTAAGAATCACAGAGGTAATCTCAAACTTATTTTTCTTGCTCATTAAGACCAAGAGTAGCTCCCAAAGACTCCAACAAAAGCAGGGACCCATGGAGCAGTAAACGTACCTAACACTGTTAGGGAAGCATTTGCTGAGAGACCTCCTGCTGTATTTTGTGCCATGCAGCTATAGATTCCCATATCTTCTATTTTCACATTGGCAATAAAGAAGACGTCATCCTCGGGCATGACGTGCATGCGTCTTTCTCGAGCCGCAGGAAAGTCAGTACCACCATCTTTCTGCCAGGAAATCTGAGGTGCAGGGTGTCCCTCTGCAGCACATTCTAATCTGGCCATGGCACCAGTGCGAATAGTCAGATCCATTGGCGTTTTCAGAAAAGATGGCATCTCTGTTTCCAGAAAAATCACCAAGAAAAAGTGGGCAAGGGAACAAAGACACATATATGCATACAAATAGGCATGAAAGAATCTAGTAGGCAAGACACCCCCTAATGTTCCATTTCTTTGTGAAGACAGGCTCTCTGATTGAGAGTGAATATAGTTTTATAAATTTAAAAAAACAAAAACAAACTTTAGAGATAGGGTCTTGCTCTGCTGTCCAGGCGGGAGTACACTGGCGCAATCATAGCTCACTGCAGCTTCAAATTCCAGGCCTCAAGCTATCCTCCCACCTTGGCCTCCCAAAGTGCTGGGACTACAAGCCTGAGCCACAGCACCCAGCCAAGAGTGAATATGGTTTTGAGAACATCTTTTCTTCCAGAACCTCAGAGTATTTGGAGCACACTGATGACTGTGTCTTCTAGGATGCATGATACACTTAATCATCAGCTGGAACTAGGGAAAGCAGAAGGCCACAAACCTTCTTTGAACTTCGTATTTTAGAACCTGGTATTTACTATGACTCTCTCACTTATGAAGCTAAATGATGCTTCCCTGGGAGGCTGAGGCAGGAGAATCACTTGAAACTAGGAGGCGAAGGCTGCAGTGAGCTGAGATCACACCACTGCACTCCAGCCTGCATGACAGAGTGAGAGTCCATCTCAAAAATGTTCCCAAACCAACATCTACAAAGCTATCAAGGAAACTGCATGCTAAAAAAACTTATGCCTTCAAAAGTATCATTAAAAAACACAGAAGCAAAACATAAGTACATCTTTTGGTTGTACAAACCCTAAAATGTTGTAGTTATTCAATTTAATAGGCAATAGATAAATCAAGCTGTTTTTAAGAAGCTTTTGCAGGAAAGAAGAGTATTCATTTTTAAAATGATCCTGTGTGGAGTGAAAAACCAAACACCATATGTTCTCACTTATAAGTGGGAGCTAAGTATGAGTACACAAAGGCATACAGAGTGGTATCATGGACGTTAGAGATTCAGAATGGAGAGGGTGAGCGGGGGCTAGGGATAAAAAACTACACATTAGATACTATGTACGCTACTCAGTGATGGGTGCACTAAATTCTCAGAATGCACCACTATAATTCATCCATGGGAAAAAAACTCACTTGTACCCCAAAAGGTACTGAAATAAGGCTGGGTGCAGTGGTTCATGCCTGTAATCCGAATACTTTGGGAGGCCAAGGCAGGCGGATCACTTGCGCTCAGGAGTCTGAGACCAACCTGGCCAAAATGGTGAAACTTTGTCTCTACTAAAAATACAAAAATTAGATGGGCCTGGTGGCGCACATCTGTAATTCCAGCTACTCGAATTACAGGAGACAGGAGAATCACTTGAACCTGGGAGGCGGAATTTGCAGTGAGCCGAGATCATGCCACTGCATTCCATCCTGGGCGACAGAGCGAGACTCCATCTCAAAACAAAAAACAAGAGAAATTAAAATAAATAAATAAAAATACACACACACACACACACACAAATGATCCTGTGTAACTACATTTAGACAATGATAATGACCATTAGACCCAAAAATGTCCTAAATATTCCCAGTTATTAGAAGGCCCATCAGGAATAAATTTCATAGTTATCAAGAGAGATTTATGGTTCTGGAATGAAAACTGAGAATTTCATAAGAATGTCTTCAAAAGCATAAACAGCAGTGAAAGTAGCACATCTCCTAGGGCCACAGCACTTACCCTTCAACCAAAGACCAATTAGAGACCATAAGTGGGCAGACTGACTAATCCAAAAATCCCACCCACTTGATAAGTTATCACAACTCAAAAGACAATAACAGTAAGAGTCCTACTTAAATGTCAGATTTAGTCTAATTCTCTCAAGTGATTCAAAACTGAACATGAAAAATCCTTCTAAACTAAAAAAAATCAAGGAGCATAATTCCTTACCATTTACAGTCAGTTTGGCTTTCTGAGAATAATTAGAACCAAAGTGATTAGTAACAATACACTGATATTTTCCTTCATCTGTGAAATTCACATTGAAAAGATGTAAGATACTAGTATATTCCAGAGCTTCTCCAGCTTGCTGCCAATAACGAACAAAATTCTCAGTATCCACGTCATACAGGATTTCACTGTCTTTGCGCCACACAGTGGACATGGGTGAATCACTGCTGCTCACTGCAGTGCACGTCAGAGTCACATTCATGCCTCTTAGAGCAATTATGGTTTCAGGATGTGTCCTTATCTGTGGCTTGAGAAAATCATCTAAGGGGAAAAAAATGCATCCGTAGCCAAGTCAGTTATTTATTTTTGCTTTAGATTCAATTTTAAAAAATACTATAAAATTGTGTGTTCTGTTTACAAAGTGGCATATTAAAGTTGAAAGAGACTACAGAGCTACAGTCCAATTCCCTTGTTTAAAGATGGGGGAAATGAGGCCCAGAAAATTCAAATGACTTGCTCAAAGACATGTCAGTCAGTGGCAGAGCCTGGATTGGAACTCAGGTTTCCTGACTTCAGGATCCAGCACTTTTCTACTAGCCCTTACTGTCACCTGTGTGCTCAGAATATATTTCTCAAGCATTATCAGTTATTGGGGAAAAACAGAAACCTTATATTAGGATTTCAAGACAAGTTCTACTTCTATTACCCCTTGTATATATGTATGTGATAGATAAACATGTATATGGCCAGGCACGGTGGCTCACACCTGTAATCCTAGCACTTTCAGAGGTCGAAGTGGGTGGATCAACTCAGGTCAGGAGTTCGAGACCAGCCTGACCAACACGGCGAAACCCCGTCACTTCTAAAAACACAAAAATTACCCAGGCGAGGTGGCGGCCGCCTGTAATCCCAGCTACTTGAGAAGCTGAGGAAGGAGAATCACTTGAACCCGGGGGGTAGAGGTGGCTAGTGAGCCGAGATCACGCCACTTCACTCCAGCCTGGGCAAAAGAGCGAGACTCTGTCTCAAAAAATATATGTATATATATAACCATTATCCTTTCTGTGCCAATATAAAATGGGGGGATTATGAATGATTTATATTTCACAGAGAATACCTAATAAAACAAATTATTTGAAAGCATTTTGTATGTGCACGGGTTTCACCTGAAGTAGTGAAAAAATCCAAATAGGTCAAATGTCCAGCTGAAGATTGGCTTAGGACTGGCTAATAAAATATGGATTCATAATTAATAATGTTATTGGACTGATTGAGAGAAGCAGGTATATAAATTCTTAACCAGTATCTCCACTGGATAACATTTCATTGTGCCATAAAAGCAGTTAAGTGGAAGGGGAGGAAGAAATATATGGTATGTCTATATTTAAAACTAAGTAAAAAGGGAATGTGCGGCAATGTCAGCAGAATTTAACCTTTACTAGATTCTGTTTTCTTCTTTAAACTTTGTAAAAAACAATGGATGTATTTTGTGAGCCCGAACTTCCAAGTGTGTGTTCTGTTCCAACCATCTTTAAGTACATTGTGAAAACAGATTTGGCAATATATAGGTACTCAAATGATCAGAGATACTAGGGATATCCAACATAGATACACTGATCTAAAAGTTCTCCTATGTAAAGCTAAGAATCAGTCATTCCACTTTAAAGAAAAAAAAAATTGTTTTTTTGAGACAGAGTCTCACTCTGTTGCCCAGACTGGAATGCAGTGGCACAATCTTGCCTCACTGCAACCTCCAACTCTCGGTTCAAGCGATTCTCCTGCCTCAGCCTCCAGAGAAGCTGGGATTACAGGCGTGTGCCACCACGCCCAGCTAATTTTTGTATTTTTAGTAGAGTCAGGGTTTCGCCATGCTGGCCAGGCCGGTCTCGAACTCCAGACCCCAGATGACCCACCTGCCTCAGCCTCCCAAAGTGCTGGGATTACAGGTGTGAGCCACAGTGCCCGGCCTAAAGGACATTTAAGTGTAAAGGAAAATTTTCCAAATTGAGAAAGAATAATATAGAAGTATACTTGAAATTGTCTGGGCACGGTGGCTCACACCTGTAATCCCAGCACTTTGGGAGGCAGAGGCAGGCAGATCACCTGAGGTCAGGAGTTCAAGACCAGCCTGGCCAACATGGCAAAACCCCGTCTCTACTAAACATACAAAAATTAGCCAGGTATGGTGGCACACGCCTGTAATCCCAGCTACTCAGGAGGCTGAGACAGGAGAATCGCTTGAACCCGGGAGGCAGAGGTTGCAGTGAGCTGAGATCGCACCACTGCACTCCAGCCTGGGTGACGCAGCAAGACTCCATTAGAAAAAAAAAAAAAAAAGTATATTTGAAATTATAAGTGCTAGAATCAGGACAACTTGTCTATGACTATCTCTCTCCCCTCAAGGAAAAAACAAAACTCTGCCACTTTAATGTTATGAAACCACACAAAAAATATGAAACACACAGAATCAGTATATTCATACATTGCTGGTGACAACTTTAAACTAGTGCTATCTTTTTGGAAAGTACCTGGTGGCACTTTTCAAGATCTACTAAAAATGTTCATATAAAAAAACTCATATTGCTTGATTCAGGAATCTGACTACCAAATACCTAACCTAAGGTTAACAGTCCCTCTAAAAGAGAAAAGCCTTCATTCATTAAAATGCCTGTGATCATTTTTAATGGCAATTAAAACTGTATGATTACAAAAATTCCTAGTGGAAAACCATTCTGGTTTAATTTTTTTAATTCTGTTAAGATTATAAGTGTGTAATATATAAAATTTTAAAACAAAAATACAAACCACAGACAAAATCTTTCAGATCCACATTCAGGATGCTTTGCCCTGCTAGCCATTCAGGGTGTGCACAGCTTACATTCACAGAATGTTGAAAGTTATTATCAACCAACCATTGAAGTAGCCACTTCAAATGGCAGTCACAGAGCAAACTGCTTGTGTTCAGAATCCTGCAGGAAAGAAAAGAGGAAAAGCATCCTTTGTTTTACTTTTCATTCTAAACGTCTTCAGTATTAAAACCTTACCACACACCTATCCATTATTCTTGCCAAAAACATTTAACATAAATCATGAGAAAACAAATTGAGACTGTCAGCCAAAATTCTTTAAATATATCAACCTCATGAAAGACACTAAAAAAAGAGAGGGGAAGAAGGGTGGCCAGGGATCTGTTTTGAAGACGACTAAAGAATCATTACAATAAAATGAAATGTGTGATCCTTGATTGAAAAAAAAATCTGCAAATGACTTTTTTTAACATTGGGGAAATTTGAGTATGGACTCTGTATTAGTTAATATTACCTTATCGATGTTAATTTCTTTGGGTGTGGTAATGGTGATGTCTTCGTTAGAAAATGTACTTGTTCTTAAAAAATACATGCTGAGATATTTAGAGGTGAAGTGTCACCATGGCTGCAACTTTTAAATGGTCAGCAAAAAAACTGTGCATATATGTATATATATATTTGTGTGTATGTGGAGAGAGAGCAAGAGATAAAATGAGAGAGGAGGAGGGAGGGAAATAGAACAAATTCAGCAAAAAGTTAACAATTGGTGAATCTAGATAAAGGGTATGGGGTGTTAATTGTACCTTCCTTTAAATTTTTGAGGTTTAAATTTTTCCCATGAAAGTATGGGGAAACACTTACTATATATTGGAGCATTGAGAGATCTTTGTTGTAGACAACATATAATTATTGTCAAATTATTTCATCAACACTAAAAACACTTCAGCACTAGGCCAGGCTCAGTGGCTCACACCTGTAATCCTAGCACTTTGGGAGGCAGAGGCGGGCGGATCACCTGTGGTCAGGAGTTCCAGACCAGCCTGGCCAACATGGCGAAACCCTATCTCTACTAAAAATACAAAAATTAGCTGGGCGTGGTGGATGGCACCTATAATCCCAGCTACTTGGTAGGCTGAGGCAGGAGAACTGCTTGAACCCGGGAGGCAGAAGTTGCAGTGAGCCGAGATCACGCCACTGCACATCAGCCTGGGCAACAGAGTGAGACTGTCTCCCAAAAACAAAACAAAAAGAAAACCCACTTCAACACCGTGCAATGTGTAATGCAATCTAAACTAAGAGCACTGAAAAAGTATTTGTGGTTTATAACCCTGTAAAACATATCTGAAAAATCAGTATTTTCTCTCAATGACCCCTTAAATGTCCCATCCACTTAGAAGCAGGGAAAGTAAATGATTTTGAGAACTTGCTTTATGTGCATGATCAAATCCTTATCAAGTTTAATGTTTGGCATAAAGTATCTAAGATCTGATTCCACAGAAATTTCAATTTTAACTCTTTTTTTTTTTTTGAGACAGAGTCTCGCTCTGTTGCCCAGGCTGGAGTGCAGTGGCGCAATCTCGGCCCACTGCAACCTCCGCCTCCCGGGTTCAAGCGATTCTCCTGCCTCAGCCTCCCAAGTAGCTGGGACTACAGGTGCGTGCCACCATGCCCAGCTCATTTTTGTATTTTTAGTAGAGACGGGGTTTCACCATATTGGCCAGGATGGTCTTGATCTCTTGACCTCGTGATCCACCTGCCTTGGCCTCCCAGAGTGCTGGGATTACAGGCGTGAGCCACCATGCCTGGCAAAGTTTCAATTTTAAGAATGAAAAAAATTGACTTACATTGTTCAACTGTTCAAAGTTGACATATTGTTATTAAACAAGAGGGGCACTGGCAAAGATTACTATGCTTTTATAATGCTTTAACAAGTTTCATTGAGTAATTTTTTCTCTAACAGTTGGTTTGAACAAACTGCTATTGCAGGAACTTTAACGCAACTGTGTTTTGAGACAGGAACTTGCTGTGTTGCCCAGACTGGTCTCTAACTCCTGGACTCAGAGGATCCTCCCACCTGAGCTTTCTGAGTATCTGGGATTACAGGCATGAGCCACCACACCTGGCTCTAATGCAACTTTTTTACTGAGAATTGTTGGTTGCTTTTGGTTACTTTAAAAGTCATATTTATAATACTTTTTAGGTCAACATTTATTAAAATCCCTCTATACTTTTTGGTATTCCCCACAAGGCTTTGCATCAATAACAGGAGGTGTATGAAAAACTTGCATATAAATTTTAAAATACTTTCCATTAAAGTTATATAATTATAGTAGAAAATTAGAAAGTACCACTAAACCAAGAGGGAGAGAAAGCTCCTCAAATCCTCACTACTCAAAGACAACCACTAGCAATATTTTAGTATAATCTATCCACACATTTGTTGAGAGAATACCGTATACTCTGTTAAGTACTTGTGCTCAGGATTTGGTTAGTATATGAAGAATGGAAAGAAGCAAAAGACACAGAAGTGAAGGAAGCTACTGTGAATTAAGTTTTGTCTGTGGCCAGGCACGGGGCTAAATACTTTATTTATTTATTTATTTATTTTTTGAGACAGAGTCTTGCTCTGTCACCCAGGCTGGAGTGCAGTGGTGAGATCTCAGCTCACCGCAACCTCCACCTCCCAGGTTCAAGCAATTCTCCTGCCTCAGCCACCTGAGTAGCTGGGATTACAGGCACATGCCACCACGCCTGGTTAATTTTTGTATTTTTAGTAGAGACAGGGTTTCACCATATTGGCCAGGCTGGTCTCGAACTCATGACCTCGTGATCTGCCCGCCTCGGCCTCCCAAAGTACTGGGATTACAGACATGAGCCATCGTGCCCGGTTGAGGTAGGCATTTTCAATTCCATTTTCTAGAAATGGAAACTGAGATTTTGGAGGCATTCAGTATCACGTCTAAAATAAATGGTAGAGTTAGGATATGGGCCCAGGTCTTTTGAGTCCAGCTTATATTATACCTAAGAAAACATAAATTGGATGAGGTCACTCCTCTTTTCTAAAGATACAAAAATTAGCTGGGTGTGGTGGTGGGTGCCTGTAATCCCAGCTATTCAGGAGGCTGAGGCAGAACTGCTTGAACCCGGAAGGCAGAGGCTGCAGTGAGCTGAGATCGTGCCACTGCACTCCAGCCTATGTGACAGAGGGAGACTCCATCTCAAAAAAAAAAAAAGACTTTTATTTTGCCATGATGTGTAATCTCATGGAGGCTGAAGAGACATCTAGGGGCTGTCTGGATATCTCCAAAGCCCATCTGAGTGTAGATAAAATACTTAGGCTATTTCCAATTGTTCTTTTTCCTTTTCAACCCAAGTCATTACTTTTGGGAGTCCCCAAGTCCCCTGAGAGATCCCCAGGAAGGGTGGGGGGCCTACAGTCCCAGTGACAAAGAGTCCAGAATGAGAAGGAAAAAGTCTAGCAGTGGGTGGACAGATGGATGGAGGATGTAAGAATTTGAAGGGAGTCATATCAAAGGGCTCAAGGGAACTGGAAGGAACATTAAAGGTGGTAAGAGGAGGAATAAGGAGCAGTAGCAATGGGAAGAAAGACAGCTTACAGGATGCAGTCTGGGGAGATCTTAAGTATTCCAAACAGGCCAATAAAGGTCCAACAAGGAGGAGGTGGACAGAACCAGTGGTGGAGCAATATAGTTAGCAGGGGCTCAAACAGAGGGGATTCAGATGCCAGAGAAATTGCCATGGGAGAAGTAGGATCCATTAGAGACAACAGAGTAGCCTCACAGAGTTCCAAGGACTTTTAGTCCAGGGAGTCAGGGAATAAACCCCACTCAGGAAAGAGAGCCAGGAAGAAGACCTTCAAGCCCAGGAGGTACCTTTCAAAAGAAGTCTGGCCTCTAGCCCAACTCCAGAGAATATATTCACAATCTTGAGAATCGAAATCTTTCCTTACCAGCTTCAACAGATGTTTGTCCGGAGCAATGGTTCGTTAGTCTGACTCACCATTGGATCCCCGATCTATCAGTCAGGAGTGAAGACAATGGCTTCAAAGGTGCACACTTGGGGTCCTGGGTGAGAGGTCTGGGGGTCCAATGATGAATCTGATCCTATCGGAGTCACAGCACCGTAACTGTTAAATAAAAAATTACTCAGTGATACTTGTTAAAGCATGGTAAGGTAGACGTTATTCAGGATCATCTCAATAGATATAGGGACCACGGCAATGTGATGTTGCAGCTGGGGAGAGAGACTGGGTTCGACTCAGTGAGGGAGAGACAGTAGGGAAACAGCAAGGGCAAGTATAGCCAAGGAGCAAGGTGGGTTTGCTTTCATCCCACTCAGTGGATGTGAAATTACTAAAAAATAACATCCAGAGTAAGGAAGACTCTGGCTAAACCCTAACAGGATTCTTGCTGAAGACAGGCCAGGGTGATCAGACATCACCTGGGAATGGTCTACAATGAGGAAGAGTTCTTGCTAAACTGGTTTTACAGGGTTTGTGCTAAAATTGGATTTTACACAGCTAGGCCTAGGAGAAGGTTTAAGGGCTTGCCTACGGGTTGGTCAAGCAAAGAATCTTTGTGACAACTCTCAAATTACTAAATGACTCTCTGAAGATTGAGACTGCAATATTTGCTTTGACCTACTGTTTAAATTTTATGTTAAACTGAGTTCTTGTAACAGTTAAAACTTTCTTGCCAGCTCTCAGGTTATCACTGGCAAAAAAAAAGGAGGGGGGCGGAGTATACTAATTTGTAGTAAGTCACAACTTATAATTAAACTAAGCCTATGAGAAATAACTCAAAATATCTCAACAGATCAAAATATCTACTTTAAAAATCTGGCAGAAAATAACTATGATGATTTTCATAACATTTTAATTTTAGTTTTTATTGTTAACATTACTCAGCTTCTACTCTGTGCCAAGCTCTGTGCTGAGCATTTTCTCAAAACCCTCCAGTTTCCTAATGCATACAAGAAAGCAAAAATCCTAATTCCTCATGGTCTATTATGATCTGCCTCCTAACTCTCTCTTTAAAAAGAAAAATATGAACATAATTTTATTGTTGGACCTATTAAAACTGTAAATTCGATATGCTTTTCAAGAACAACAAAAAAGGTAAGTTAGAACAAAGCAGTTTGGGGTAAAAAAAAAAAATATCTTGACAGGCCAGGCGCGGTGGCTCATGCCTGTAATCCCAGCACTTTGGGAGGCCGAGGCGGGCGGATCATGAGGTCAGGAGATTGAGACCATCCTGGCTAACACAGTGAAACCTCATCTCAACTAAAAATACAAAAAAATTAACCGGGCGTGGTTGGGGGGCACCTGTAGTCCCAGCTACTCAGGGGGCTGAGGCAGGAGAATCACTTGAACCCGGGAGGCAGAGGTTGCAGTGAGCTGAGATGGCACCACTGGACTCCTGCCTGGGCAAGAGCGAGATTGCATCTCAAAAAAAAAATAAATTAAAAAAAAAAATACTGGAACAAATGAAGAGAACGACTAATGAGAAATAAGATGATTAATATCAAAAAAATTGTAGATATTTAATTATTCTACTCTGCTTAACTCTCTAAACTCATTTTACTTCCTACTCCTTGTGCCTGGAAAGCCATTCACCCAGTGTTCACATGGTTTGCCATTTCATTAAGGTCCTGGTTCAAATGCTGTATCTTCAAAAGAGTTTCCCCTCACTGCTTTATCTAAAATAGCAATCCCCACCACTCTTCATACCTTTGACTTAGTTTTTTTTTTCTTCAGTTGTTACCTGATGAGATATTATATATCTACTGGTCTATTATTTATCTTCCTCACTAGGATTTACTGTAATATGCTATGAGTACAGAGACTCTGTCTTGTGCACTAATGTTTTCATCATCCAGAACAGTATCCTACATAGCAGATGATGAATAAATATTTGAGTAAACAAGTTATCTCACTTTATCTTCACATAACCCTGAGGGAGGTGCTATTCCCATTCTGGGAAAAGAAACTGAGTCATAGGCTAACAGTTTGCCCATTATCACACAGTTGTAAGGAATGGAGTAAGGATTTGAACCTAGGCAGTTTGAAAACTCACACATTTCCAGTGCATCTCAAATTATCCATGGTAAGGACCAGTCTTTTAAATTTCCAATCCACTGCAGACTAATACTTTTATAAACTACAACAAAAGTGTCACAGTAATGTAAAATTGTTCTAAAAGTTTCTAAAGGCTTATTCTGCATTTCTATCCTTATCTTCTCATCAACCAGTTCTGCTCCACAGAGTATCCTTTGAGTAGCTTCCCAGGCAAGGCAAAATAATTTCTATAATCTAGTGGTTCTTACCCCTGACTGCATATTTGAATCAATAGAGTTTAAAAATAATACCAGGCGGGACCGGTGGCTCACGCCTGTAATCCCAACACTTTGGGAGGCTGAAGCAGACAGATCACCTGAGGTCAGGAGTTCGAGACCAGCTGGCCAACATGGCGAAACCCTGTCTCTACTAAAAATACAAACATTAGCCGGGTGTGGTGGCAGGCGCCTGTAATCCCAGCTACTCAGGAGGCTGAGGTGAGAACCGCTTGAACCCAGGAGGCAGAGGTTGCAGTGGGCCGAGATCGCACCACTGCACTCCAGCCTAGGGGATAGAGTAAGACTGTCTCCAAAAATATATAAAAATATATAAATATAAATAATACCAATGCCCAACTAACCTCCAATCCCCTAGGGAAATCTCGAAACCAGTAAGAACAATTTTTAAAACTCATCAATGAAAAAGGGTATAAAATGATACATACACACACTTGTCTATTTTGACATTTTAGTAGTTTGAACAGGTTAGAGAACCGTCTCTGACAATTATACTAACTGTTAAATCACCTCGGAAACTATAAAACAAAATCACATAATACCTTTATTGTAACCCACACAAGGTGTTAAGAACTGGTAACACATGTTTCTGATAATCCAAAAAGGAACAGTAGGGTATACATAAAGCATAAGGAGCAGTGCTGAGGTCTCCTAATTATAAGCATTGGTAGAACAGGCAAAACAGAAGGTCTTGGTGCCACACACTCTGGGCTTTTCAATGTTGGCTATTTTAAAATTACCTCTAGCCGCTTAAATAACTGAGTATTAATACTTTCTTTTTTCCTGCCTGAACTGTGTGCTTTTGGAAATAACTTGGGTCACTCCCATCACACTTTAAGCACAACAAGCAGGAACAATGATCCAACTGGTGATTTTAAAAAGACAAGTTACTTACAGTTCTTTTAAATGAGTCTGAGAAAAAGCATTTTCTTGGATAGACATTATAGCATTATTGTTCAAATCTCTGAAATAAAGAGAAATGAAACATTATCAGTCACCATTTCTATATCAAGTTACATAAACACTTTACATGGTCATGAAAACCTCTGCTAATAGCAAAGATTATTTATAGAGTAAGCAAAATGTATGCAAAATACTTACAGATGCTCAAGGGATTCAAGACCAATGAATGCTTTCTTTGTAATTGACTTAATCTGGTTTCCTTGTAAGATTCTGAAATATAAACAGATCTTTCTAAGAAAGCTCTCCACTAAACAAAATTAAATTCATTAAACATTTACCTATAAAAAGTGAAAATAAGCGTAGCGTACTTTTTTATATACTTAACAGCTTTACTGAGGTACAATTGATATACTAAAAACTACACATATTTAATGTGTACAATTTGATGAGAACGTGCATTTTTAAGAAAGTTATGAAATTTAATTATTAATCAATGCAAAACATAGCATAAAAGTGTCTATCAAGATGTTAAAGCTCAATGAGGTGAACAACCATCTTGACCACTGATAAACTGGTAATTTTCAGATGTTAAATTCATTATATTCCTCATGTCTCCATTCAGAGCAAAAGATTGTCAGATGAAAGAAATTCAGACAAGTGTGAACCTTTGGAGAAATTCTTCTCATGGGAAAAGATCTAAAATCTTATGTGAGAGAATGCTCTACTTCTGCTAGATAAATTACTCACAAATCTCCTACAATTAAACAAACTACAAATTAAACAGATTACCAACACATTACTCTACTTTCTCAATGCATTCCTTTTACTTGAATAGAAATTCTACTTCCATAAATAACTTCTCTTTAAGTGTCCACAGGAATGCTTTTTCAATAAAAAGTGCCCCGACAACAACAACAAAAAAACACAAAAACAAAAAAACTAGCTGGGCATGGGGGCTCATGCCTATAATCCCAGCACTTTGGGAGGCCAAGGTGGGAGGATCACTTGAGCCCAGGAGTTCAACACCAGCCTGGGCAATATAGTGAGACTCTGTCTCTACAAAAAAAAAAATTTTAATTAGCTAGGCATGGTGATACACACCTTTAGTCCTAGCTCCTTAGGAGGCCAAGGTGGGAGATCACTTGAGCCTAGGAGGTTGAAGCTGCTGTGAGCTGTGATTGCACCACAGCACTCCAGCCTGGGTGACAGAGCAAGACCCTGTCTCAAAAAAAAAAAGAAAAAAACCAGCCAAGTTCAGTGGCTCATACCTATAATCCGGGCACTTTGGGAGGCTGAAGCAGGCAGATCACGAGGTCAGGAGTTCAAGACCAGCCTGGCCAAGATGGTGAAACCCTGTCTCTACTAAAAATACAAAAATTAGCTGGGCATGGTGGCATGCGCTTGTAATCCAAGCTACTCAGGAGGCTGAGGCAGGAGAATTGCTTGAACCAGGACCTAGGAGGCAGAGGTTGTAGTGAGCCGAGATCGTGCCACTGCATCCCAGCCTGGGATACAGAGTGAGACTCAGTCTCAAAAAAACGAACAAACAAACAAACAAAGAAACCCCACAGAGCTCCCAGAGTGTCAGAAAGCTCAGACTTTGTAGCCATATGAAATAAACATAATTCAATCATATTTACAGCCGGTTCTTGAAAACATGCCTATGTAGACATACATAAATATTATAATACATACAGTTTAGTGAGACTTGTGAGTCCAGCAAAGGCTTCACTAGCATCTTCTATGGCCCATGAAATTTCATTGTTTCTTAAGTCTCTACAAAAATGTCAGAGAAAGACAGGTGCTATTAGTCAATACAACCATCACAACATTGAGCAGTATCCTGGTATGGTGATGTCAAGGTACACATGCTAATTCTGATCCTTACTTTAACAGTTATTTATGATGAAGGCTCAACTCTGCTTCTTAAGAAATATCTGTAATAAACACGTAAGAAATATCTGTAATAAACACGTAAGAACTGATTCTTATAAGCTAACAATTAAGCTGGCCTTGGTAAATAAAGCAACCTGCTAAAAGTATTACTCTTCCAAGCAAAGAGCCCTTCATTATGTTAGCATATTAAAAATTATAAACAGGGTCCTGAAAAGAGCAGGAGGGTTTCAAGATGCAGGGTATATGGCTTATAAATCTGATTTCAGATTAATGGGATTTCTGGGTGACCCAAGCCTTCCTCTGGGACCTTGAACTTACAATGGCTGACAGAGAGTAATATCAATACAGTTTCATTGCTCAAGAGCAATTAAAGATGCCCCATGGGAAGCAAAAATGATAAACCCATGTGTTAGCGTGTCATCAGATTTTCTTTCAAAGGGAAAGTATGGATCTCCTAAAATTCACTGTTCCATTCTCAGAGGAAATGCAATTGTACCACATCATGTTATGATAAAAGAATTATTTCCATATAATTAAAAATATTTAATCGCTTTTGCTTCCTTAAGTCATCTCATAATAAAGCACAAAGCTTTCTACTTTATAAGGGACATGTAGAGTTGTGTGATTAGCAGTAAAGAGGAGATCCCTGTTTTCACTTAGCTTTCTTTAAGTGAAAAGCTAATAAAGCTCATTTTATTTTACTAAGGAATAAATAATGAAAGAACCAATGGCTCAACTCTTCAGGATTTTCCCCCTCCTCCACAGCACAGCATAAATAGAAACCATTCAACAAATTAAGAACTGTATCTACCCTGGCAAGAGCATGAGGCTAAAGCCAGAATTCCCCAGATTTGATCCTAACTCTGTCTTAACTATCTCTGTGGCACTACACAACCATTTACTTCTGCTATTACTTCCCAAAACTTTAATTCTAAAAGTAATAATCAGTGGTATACTAAAATAACCTATTTGCCATCCCTTCAACTGCCAAAAGGCTGCAGCTACATCTAAGTTTCTGAGATTGCATTGATCCAGTTTCACTTCTGATAATATAGGAAAAGGAAAAATACAATCACTTTTAATTTTTCAAGGCCAAATCTAAAGGAATTTTTTAAAAAATCAAATACACACCTGTGCATGTATATACCCTTCACAAAATTATCTTGTTTTCCCTCTCATTGATGGTTATGTCTCCAAGTTGGGAACCTGCCTCTTCTCTGAACCATTTCAACTCGAAACCTAATGACCACAAAGTCCTCTATTCAGGAAGCTTAAGAATCTACAAATTCTACTAATTACTCTTTGTTTTCTTTTATTCTGCTCTGTGTTTGAGATTACTATATTTCATTAAAATACCTCTTCATTTAATAAAATTATATTCTAAAATTAGATATATTTATATATAAATATATAAAGTTCACAAAAACACATTCTTATATTCTGTAAATTGAATAACTTACAGAACCACAGAATTTTAGCGTGGAAACTGCCTTTAGCAACCATCTAATCCTATATCCTTCCTTCACCGTATAAAGGAGAAAAAAAAATGATGGCCAGGAAAAGCTAAGTGATTTTGTTCTTCTGTTGGTATGATAAAATGGACATGAGCTTTAGCATCAAACAGACCTGGGATCTGATTCTGGCCCAACATTTACAAGCTATGTGACTTAGAGAAAATTATTTAAATTTCTCTGAACCTCAGCCTCCTAATATGGAAAACAGCAGTATCATCCTAGTATTTGAAAGTACCTGGCACATATCAGATAATAAGTATTAGTTTCTTCTGTCCAAAGTCATGTAGCAAACCAGTAACAGTGAACTGGTCTCCTACCACGGCAGTTCCCACTACACAACCTGCATCCTTTCGAATGAGAACTAGTAGCTCTGGTGTATTGTCAAAGTCAAAGGAACAAGAAAATGACTGCTCTCCTGACACTAGCAACTGTGTTTTATTCCACAGCAACTAACACAATAAGACATGCTTTGATGCTTATGGGATTAACTCAGAATTAAACTACAAACTGAATTGCCTACGACAGGCTTGGGATTTTTATGGGGATGGAGACAAATAAGACTGCCTTGCTCTGAGGCATAGGACAGAAGAACCACAAAATGTTAGCATACAGAATTTGCAGACTGATTAGTTGTTTTAATTAATTTGCTTTATTGTACTAAAAAAATCAGTAACAACAACCAAAAAGGAGAATGGATATACTTACAATGTCTGAAGATTGGAAAGAAATCTAAATACACCATCAGCAATATGAGTGACTCTGTTGTCTCCTAAATTCAATCTCTCCAATAAGCTCAGACCCACAAAGGCAGATTCATCCAGGCGGGTCAGCTGGTTATAGGACAAATCACTGAAAACAAGAAATGTGGAAGGTAAGGAATTCATTGTATTTGGTTCAACTTACAATTCTTATTATATCTACATGGTAAATTTAGAGCTTTCTACAAATTTCTAGTAAAGAGGGATGTTACATCTCATTACTGCCCATGGGAATGATTTATTCCAATCTGCTCTAGTCTTAACTGCCTCCAGTGAAATGCTATCCAACACTTACAGTTCGGATAGTCTTTGGCAGAACTCCCATGCATCAGGGCTGATTCTTTCAATAGCATTCTGGCTCACATAGAGCTGCTGTAACATTCGCAAGCCATACAACCACCCCTTGTTTACTCGTGTAAGGTTGTTGTGTTCCAGTTCTCTGCAGAATTAGAGAAAGAGAAGAAAATACGTTCCAAAACAAGGCAGTTCAATAACTAGCTTTAAATCTTAAGTTTTTCCCAGAGAAGCATATACCTTTGTTCAACCCAACTGAGCTGACCAATTCTATTCAATAAAAATGAATATCTTATTTAAGATTTAGTGCTTGGCCGGGCACAGTGGCTCATGCCTGTAATCCCAGCACTTTGGGAGGCCGAGGTGGGCGGATCACAAGGTCAAAAGATCAAGACCACCCTGACCAACATGGTAAAACCCCATCTCTACTAAAAATACAAAAATTAACTGGGCACGGTGGCGCGCGCCTGTAGTCCCAGCTACTCGGGAGGCTGAGGCAGGAGAATCGCTTGAACCCATGAGGCAGAGGTTGCAGTGAGCCGAGACTGTGCCACTGCACTCCAGCCTGGCAACAGAGCAAGACTCTATCTCAACAACGACAACAAAAAAAGAGATTTAGTGCTAGAAGGTAGTAAGACTGTCTAAAATAGGAGCTCTACAAAACCAACAGGCCAAGTGGTATAGTATACCTGTTTGGATAAATTCTGGTAATTTTCATTAGCCAAAACATTAAGAATATAAACTTTTTGGCCGGGCACGGTGGCTCATGCCTGTAATCACAGCACTTTGGGAGGCCAAGGTGGGTGGATCATGAGGTCAGGAGTTCGAGATCAGCCTGACCAACATGGTGAAACCCCATCTCTACTAAAAATACAAAAATCAGCCGGGCCTGGTGGCACACGCCTGTAATCCCAGCTACTCAGAAGGCTGAGACAGGAGAGTCACTTGAACCTGGAGGCAGAGGTTGCAGGAGCTGAGATCACGCCATTGCACTCCAGCCTGGGCAACAGAGTGAGACTCCATCTCAAAAAAAATATATATATATATATAAACTTTTTAGATGAGAAGTTTGTAAGAATTATTTCAAAATTGATCAGTTAGCTAACAAAACTTTAAAGGTTTTATGTACGCTTACTTCACATCAGTGACCAGGGAATGAATGAATGTATCTCTATAATCAGAACAACTACCCTAGCCATTCGACACTGAAAAGTCCCAAACAGACTACTTTCCTAATAATCACCTCTAGTCCCGAGTACTTACAGTTCTTCCATGTTATTCAAGCCAAAAAATGCTCCATCCTTAAGTTTGCTAATTCCATTCCGCTGCATTTTCAAAGATCTTAAGGAGTCAAGCCCTTGGAATGTAAGACCTTCCACAATTTTAATTCTGTTTCTTTTAAGTTCCCTTTAACAAAAATAGTTTTACAGTCAGGAAATTGGTTTGCTAAAATGTTCTAACAGTAATTAAATTAAAAAGAAAAAGACCCTGTAAGAAAAAACTATCTTCTTATAATCCGTCTATTTCGTTACTCACAAGAATTGGAGGTGAGGCAGCTTGAAGATCTTAGGTGGAATCATGCTCATTCGGTTACGGTTTAACTTTACCACTAATAAGGAACTTGATAAATTATCGAAGCAACCAGCCTCCAAGGTGGTTATTCTGTTATTACTTAAATTCCTAAAATAAACAAGATAATAGCAAAAGAAAAAATTTAGTAAAATAAAAATTCTACCACTAGAAAGCTGCCAAAAATCTATGTCTAAGCCCCCAGCTCTATCACTTAATGCCCATCCACAACTTTATAAATCATTTAACTGCTCTGTTTCTTCATCTACAAAATTAAGAAGCTACCTACTTCATTTAGGTTGTTACAAAACAGCATGTGTGAATATGCTTTGTAAACTGGAAAACACTGGCACACATGCTAATTATCATTATATACAGTAAGCCATTGTTTAACAAATCTCTATTTACCTTTTAGAAAGCTTGGTTCAAAAAAAAACAAACAAAATTGAATCTCAAAATTACCCTTGATATCTACCAATATTTTCTGACAATAGTGCGATCTTTCTTTAGGGGGCTTGTGGGGTGAGTGGCAAAGCCAACCACCCAACACACCAACTCTAGGTTTGTCTCACATATGCATATAAAAAGCACAATAAATAACCAAATATTTTTGGATAGGTACTGATGAATAATAAACATGTGCTTTATTTTATTTTATTTTTATTTATTTATTATTATTATACTTTAAGTTTTAGGGTACATGTGCACAATGTGCAGGTTAGTTACATATGTATACATGTGCCATGCTGGTGCGCTGCACCCACTAACTCGTCATCTAGCATTAGGTATATCTCCCAGTGCTATCCCTGCCCCCTCCCCCCACCCCACAACAGTCCCCATAAACATGTGCTTTAAAGTAAATCTAATTTAATCTGTGTTACTTACAGGTATTTAAGCTGCATGCGAGGAAATGAAGATGTCTTGATTTCTGATATTATATTTGAGCTGAGGTCTAAACTCTCCAGAGCAGGGTAAAACTGGAGTGCCTGTGCATTTATTTCTGGGATTATATTATGGACTCTGTAAAACAAAGATTATAATGAAGCTGCTGCCACTGATCCACCCCAGGCCACAAAAATGTTAATTAGAATCAACAATATATGTGCTTTAAAAAAAAAATGTATACTTTTCATAATTTAAGTAAAAAACCTGAAAACTTACTAACTTACAATGAAAGTAGAGTAATATTAGATGTAGGTTCTCCAAAATACGGGATTTCTGTTAGTTCATTGTAATTCATTTTCCTAGGCAAGAGGAAAAACAGATTTAAATGTTTAGTGAGGGAAATATTACCTCTTGGATTCTACCTTCTGGCTAACACATATTCTTTAGAATAGGTGCCAAATTTGAAAAAGAATATGACTCAGAATGAGTTAGACGAAAATAAAAATGTATTTATTGAGAAATTAGAGGTTTTAATGAGAAATGTATTTTCTTTCTTTTTTTTTTCTTTTTTTTTTGAAACAGAGTTTCATTCTTTTTGCCCAGGCTGGAGTGCAATGGTGCAATCTTGGCTCACTGCAACCTCTGCCTCCTGGGTTCAAGTGATTCTCCTACCTCAGTCTCCTGAGTATCTGGGATTACAGGCATGCACCACCACGCCCGGCTAATTTTGTATTTTTAGTAGAGACAGGTTTCACCATGTTGGCCAAGCTGATCTCAAACTCCTGACCTCAGGTGATCTGCCCACCTTGGCCTCCCAAAGTACTGGGATTACCGGCGTAAGCCACCATGCCTGGCCAAGAAATGTATTTTCATAGTGTTGATCTACTATTGATATTAATATCAGAAAGGTTATGAAGTATTTTGCACATTAAATATTGTTAGTTCAAGCAAAGTTCTTTGAATAAGTTGGGTTTATGGCAGCTAATTTGAGTCCTTAAAGAAGGCATAATCAGTCCATCCAGATCTCTCTTTCTCTAAATATATATAAACACACAACACACAAATGTATATATATTTTTTCTAAAGCTATACAAATGTTAGAGAGTGTTACTTGAGACCACAGATGAAATTTATCAGCCCACCCAGAGATGGAACCTATGACTAATTTTACAGATAACATAACATGTTGCATCTGATCCCAGCAGCCCTTTAAACAGTTTGTCTCAAATGTTTTAGTAGCAAATCTAATACAATCACATTTCATTAACCTGGTTTTTAGTCACTGAACAACCTCAACAATCTAGAACACAGAAAAGAAACCAGAAGTAAAGACCTTCAGGAAACCAACCAAAGTTACAAAGTCCATGCAATAAAGCTCATGCACTTCCCACTGAAGCATTTTCAGGCCTTTCCTCAGTGCCTACTCTTTCAGCTAACAAACTTGTCAACTGTGTACTCATCCACAACGTATTAGAAGCAGTGAATCTGGGGCCAGGAGGAGAGAATGCAGAGACAATGAGCATGAAGAAGTTATCCCTGTTAGCAAAGAATTAAAAAGGAAAGTAAATCTCAGGGTTCTGATGGTGTTAATTGTAGAGGCAAATAGGCCTATATACCTTAACGGTTGTGCCTCTAGGAATGTAACAATGCAAAAACTAATATTAATAATATCTTAGAAAACTCCCTCCAAAATTACATAATACATCTCAGTATTAAAGGAAAAACTTTAGTTAAGAGAAAAACTTAATTCTATCAATCATTACATTCTCATATGATATCAAGAATACTCTATTTCATATAAATCTACTTTAGACATGATGCTCCCAATCTTAGATAACATGTCAAGACATTTAAAAAGGTTATACAACAGAGTTTCACTGGCTGAAAACTTGGCCAAAATCAAAACACATTTACTCTGAAGAGGCGTAAATCTTACTTTTAGCCCCAGGAAGGTAGAATATTTCCCCCACAGCCTGCAACTTGAAATCACCAACCCAATGCCAAGACAGTCTGATAATAACAAAGCCAAAGAAAACATTTTAGGTTTTCAAATAATTTCTTTTAACTAATTTTTTCCTTCAATTTTTTTATGGCATCTCTGGATTAAACATCCCACAAATCACAATTTATTAAGTTCCCTCAGGAATTTAACATAACTTTAAATAAATAAAAATAACTTACACTTCCTGTAATGTTTGTGATTCCAAGCTGATGTTCCAGTTAGACAACCGATTATGACTGAAATCCCTGAAAGAGGACAAAATATCATTCTTAGTTTAGTCCTGGAAAGTAGACCTAAAGAAAAAAAAAGAAACTAAATAGAAATACAAAAAGTCCTCTTGGCCAGGTACAGTGGCTCATGCCTGTAATCCTGGCACTTGGGGAGGCTGAGGCAGGCAGATCACCTGAGGTCAGAAGTTCAAGACTCACCTGGCAAACACCATCTCTACTAAAAATACAAATATTTGCCAGGTGTGGCAGATCACCTGAGGTCAGGAGTTCAAGAATCACCTGGTGAAACCCCATCTCTACTAAAAATACAAATATCATCCAGGTGTGGTGGCACACGCCTGTAATCCCAGCTACTCAGGAGGCTGAGGCAGGAGAATTACTTGAACCCGGGAGGCAGAGGTTGCAGTGAGCCAAGTTCACGTCACTGTACTCCAGCGTAGGTGACAGAGCAAGATTCTGTCTCAAAAAAAAAAAAAATTTTTTTGTTTTCTTTTTGAGACGGAGTCTCGCTCTGTCGCCCAGGCTGGAGTACAGTGGCGCAATCTCGGCTCACTGCAAGCTCCGCCTCCCGGGTTCACGCCATTCTCCTGCCTCAGCCTCCCTAGTAGCTGGGACTACAGGCGCCCGCCACCACGCCCGGCTAATTTTTTTGTATTTTTAGTAGAGACGGGGTTTCACCATGTTAGCCAGGATGGTCTCGATCTCCTGACCTCGTGATCTGCCCATCTCAGCCTCTCAAAATGCTGGGTATACAGGCGTGAGACACCACACCCAGCCAAAAAAATTTTTTTAATAAAAAAAAAAAGTCCTCTTAAATGTCAATTTGAGTAGTATAGACAAGAATGTTTATAAAGGATGAATAAAAATGTATCTGAATTTCAAAATAGCTATTTTACTTTACGTGTGTGTATTTATATATGTGTGTGTAGCTTCTGAGTTTGGGAATATATTCACATGGTCCAATTATCAAAAAGTGTAAAAAGTCTCCCACTTTTGTTTCCAGCCACCCAATTCCCCTTCCCAGTAACAACAAATGAAAATATGCCATTTATTGTGCAGACTTCTGGATATTTTATGCATGTACAGCAAATTTTTACAGAAATGACACAACAATTTACACATTTTGCCCCTTGCTTTTTTCACTCAATAATACATCTTAGGTCATTCCATTGCAGTATTTAAAGAGTTTCTTTATTCCCTGTAGTGATTATGTATTATGCCTTAACTGTAAATACATCTGAAGACATATTTCACAAGTCAAAATGGTGAGCTTCTAAATTAAAATTGAAGTTGACCACATCCTTGATAGGGATGTGGTCTTCCTTTAAAAAAAAAAAAGGCCAGGCATAGTGGCTCACGCCTGTAATCCCAGCACTTTGGGAGGCCAAGGCGGGTGGATCACCCGGGGTCAGGAGTTCAAGACCAGCCTGGCCAACATAGTGAAATCCATCTCTACTAAAAATACAAAAAAAATTAGCCAGGCATGGTGGCACGCACCTGTAATCCCAGCTACTCGGGAGGCTGAGGCAGGAGAATCACTTGAACCCTTGAGGCGGAGGTTGTAGTGAGGTTGTAGTGAGCCAAGATTGCACCACTGCACTCCAGCCTCGGTGACAAAGCAAGACTCTGTCTCCAAAAAAAAAAAAAAAAAAAAAAGCAATCCACCTTCAGTAAGAGGAAATTAATCTCACCCCAAATTATGTTAATAATAATGACGGCATTGGTGGCCAGCATTTATAAAGGCAGACAGGCATTCTTCTATGCACCTGACACATATTAACTGGCTAAATCCACACAACAATCTTATGAGGCAAATACTTTTAAAATACTTTCCTAATATGGAAACAGGCATAGAAAGATCACTGATTGGCCAATCTAAGGTCACACAACTAATAAAAGTTATAAATTTGAAATTTCATCTCACTTCTAGCAAATACTTTATTAGATACAGTAGAGATTTCACTGAAATTAGTCAAGTCTAAATAGTTAAATAGGCTTTAAAAATTCACCTTGATGCTTCTGGCATCTTTACAAGGCTGAGGTGGAATGCAGCCCACACAAGCTGTCTGCCTAAAAGATGTGCTGTATGTTACAATATGGCTAGCAACAGGGACACATTACAGAAACATTACAGATCACTTTATCTCACTATGCCACCATAGGCAGTTGACAGATGCATGCAGGTTTGAATAATGTCTCTATCACATTAGAACAATTTGTTCTCAGCTAGATTCATGCCGGCCTATCAGTAAAAGCTAGCCACTTTCATTTAAGAGCTTAATTTACACCATGACATAACTAAAGCTGTGTGTTAAACCATCACTTTTCCACAACAGTTCTAAAATATTCCAAGATGTCTGGCACAAGGTATCAGCTCAAGGACACTCATGAATGGAGGAGGGTGTCAGAAAATATAAAAGATAAAAATATGAATTCACTACACATAAAAATCTCATATTCAGATACTTCATCCAATTCACTCTTGCTACTAAACAATAAACACATACACTCGTATAAAAATATAAGTGAAAAGATGTTTTTTGTTGTTGTTTTGTGGTGTTTTGACTCAAGGAGAAATTCAACTGTTTTAATTTAAGTTAGATATTCTATATTCTACTCCAAGCTGGTTAGTCTGGCAAATGAAGAGCTAATATCATCTGTGTAGCAGGCTAGCATAATATGATCTAATTTTGTATCTGGTGACTACTATAACTTAGCAGTTTTCCCCTTCCAGATTAAGGGCTTTCATTTTAATCCTAACAGTGTTCATAATGCCTTTCCCAACCCTAAATCTTCCTGGCAATGTAACTCTTGACTGTATTCATCCCCTAGAGTTCTCCTATGATTGTCAATAATCATTGACCCACATAATCATTTTTAAAGAAAATAATTATTAAAGAAATCTAAAGCAATAAAATGAAACTCAATTTATACGTTATAAATAACTTAGTATTTGGTATTAGTGAAAACTGTCCAGTGTCCTCTGTTTTGGGAAAGAGTAATTTTCTCCTATCTTTGAAGAACCTATAGGCTTTTCAATGCAACCCAAAGGATACCTGAAATGCTTTGCAGCCTCTGTACCGGAAAATGTTGTTGAAAGGATATATGCTTTCAAACAGCCATTATAGGTCAGAGCCCCATATAATGAGGCTCTCTGGACCCTCTAAAACAAACCCACATTTATTAAGATTAAAAAACACTAAAGGTGAACTGAAATATATTCCCAAAGCAGTACTATCATAGAAAGCAACTAATATACATCAGCATCAGTACAACTGTTTTAAGTTATCAAGTGTCTAACTAGAATTACATGGATTGATCTGATCAGTCATGCATACAATAAACACTTATTGGACCATGTGCCAGGCAGTGGACTAAGCGCTAGGGTTGTAAGCACTGTCAACTTTAGTAACCTTTTTCTTTTTCCAAAAGCAACACTTAACAATTCTCAGAGGTGCAGTCACTCCAAAACTGTAAGAAAATTCAACATCAACTCTACTATTCTCCTTTACTGCAAATGGGTAAATTAGCTTTTACGCCTAATTTCACTCTGGAATTTGATCAAATGACACGTGCACACAGGAGTGCACAGGCATACTCGTGTTCCCCGTAAGCATGCCTTTCCTATTTCTTTTTTTAAAAGTACCTCCCAAAAGACAGAAGACTAAAATATGAAGACTTCGGGGCCAGGCGCAGTGGCTCACACCTGTAATCCCAGCACTTTGGGAGGCCGAGGTGGGTGGATCGCCTGAGGTCAGGAGTTCGAGACAAGCCTGGCCAGCATGGTGAAACCCCGTCTCTACAAAAAATACAAAAATTAGCCAGGCATGGTGGCAAGCACCTGTAATCCCAGGTACTCGGGAGGCTGAGGCAGGAGAATCGCTTGAACCCAGGAGGTGGAGGTTGCAGTGAGCTGCGATCGTGCCACTGCACTCCAGCCTGGATGACTGAGCTAGACTCCATCCCCCAAAAAATTAAAAAATTAAAAATAAACAAATAAATGAAGACTTCAAATATCAGATTTAAAACTCTTGGAATATGGATTTGGATGATTTTAAAAATTGAAGTCTCTCACTGTTCTTCCCAATGTCCATTAATTCCAGGTGGTTTGCATAATTTTTTTTTAAAAAGCAGGAGTCCTGAAATGGAGAACTCTCTTTCAAATATCCCTAAAATGTACTTAAGAACTTGAAGTAATCTAAAGCTCTGTTGCCTAGGCTGAAATGCAGTGGTGACATCACACCTCACTACAGCCTTCACCTCCCAGGCTCAAGCAATGCTCCTACCTCAGTCTCCTTACAGCTGGGACCACAGGCAAATGCCACCAAGCCCAGCTAATTTATTCTGTTTTGTAGAAATGGGGTCTCCCTATGTTGCCCAGGCTGTAAACCTAATGCTTAATAAACTTAAACCTAAAGTCTAGCTCTGTAACAGTCCTTCCTTTATTTTCTAACACCACTAATATCTGAATATTTATAGATATGATGACAGAGGAGTAAAGGTCTCTCAGAGGGCCTGATCTCAATGTTGTAAACTCAGTTCCCACTCATGCTAATCTACAAGGATGTAGCTGTAATAAATGATGAATTATTAATGTCCTTGATATCATGTGGAGCCAGAGGTGCCATTAATGTAGTCGTTTAGTACCATCAGGGGTAAATTATTTATAGGATGTACAAAGCAATCACAACAGTTCAAAGAGAAAATCAAGTTCAGCAAGCTAATTGCAACAAAGTCCTACAGCAACAGAAATGGAGGGGTTTTCTTCGCACAGTCACACATACATCTGAATCATCAACAATTTTGTTTTCAAGAATATGCAGCAATAATAGGCTGAACCGGGAACTTCAGCAACTTCTGACAAAGAGGCCCTTTGTAAAAGTTAAATCATAAGAAAATATTGTATCTAATATTTTGGGTATGACAGTGCTTCATTTAGCCTGCATAATTTACGCTTCCTTTTGTGAATGGAAATCCTTGCCTTGTTAAGAGTGTACCTAGCATAATTTAGTTTTAAAAATAATACTCGGCCGGGCACAGTGGCTCATGCCTGTAATCACAGCACTTTGGGAGACCGAGGCGTGTGGATCACCTGAGGTCAGGAGTTCAAGACCAGCCTTGCCAACATGGTGAAACCCCATTTCTACTAAAAATATAAAAAATTAGCCAGGTGTGGTGGCGTGTGGCTGTAATCCCAGCTACTCAGAGGCTGAGATAGGAGAATCGCTTGAACAGGAGGCGGAAGTTGCCATGAGCCAAGATGGTGCCACTGCACACCAGCCTGAGCAACAAGAGTGAAACTATCTCAAAAAAAAAAAAAAAAAAAAAAAAACCTCAGGGTTACCATTATAATCAATTACCATATTGTGATTTAACGTGCTTATGATCTTGAATATTCTTGGCGTAAACTGAACTAAACACAAGAATTCTAAAACAACTCTGAAAATTGTCTGCTCTTGTAAGTTGGCTTTCCCTCTACAACTAACAGCTTTACACTAAAAGCTCTCACTTCTTGGAACTTTCAGTCTTCCTTTCTGTAACAGGCTACTTAACTTTTTACAAAATTTGTTTCTAATCAATTGCCATAGGCTAGGAGACCCCACCTCCTGTTAGAACTATCTGAATTAGGAGTAAATGAGATCTGAGTCTTTTCTGTGAATAAATGCTTCCTGGAAGCATTTTTGCTTTGTGGTTGAACTAGAAATGGCTAGCTATATTGGATAAACATTAGGTAAAGATCTTCAGGATAGACCGCGCACAGTGGTTCACGCCTGTAATCCCAGCACTTTGGGAAGCCAAGGCGGGCGGATCACCTGAGGTCAGAAGTGCGGGACCAGCCTGACCAACATGGAGAAACCCCGTCTCTACTAAAAATACAAAATTAGCCAGGCATGGTGGCGCATGCCTGTTAATCCCAGGTACTTGGGAGGCCGAAGCAGGAGAATCACTTGAACCCGGGAGGCGGAGGTTGCGGTGAGCAGAGATCCCACCATTGCACTCCAGCCTGGGCAACAAGAATGAAACTCTGTCTCAAAAAAACAAACAAACAAAAAAACAAGAATTTAGTTACAAGTTGATTTACACCACACTTCACTACTGTTCCTCTGTTAATGGTTTAACTTTAAAACTGCTAATCACCCACTAGTTATTCTGGCAATTATTCTGCCAGTTATTTGTTACAAATAACGTAATTACAGTCTTTTTTGGGAAAGGCTGAGGAAGGCAAAAGGAGAAGAGATAGAGAATACAAATACCTTAAAAAACTGGTTTACAACAAAGTAAAGTTCAATTAACTATTCCATTCTCCAGGTTTTTCCGCCAAACATGAAATCAATAATTTGGATAGAGTGTAATTACTTAAATTGCTTTTATTTTTTATTTGCACCAACTGAATATTGTAACATTTTTCATGACTGAAATAATACAGAATAAATGTGTTGAGTCATTTTCTCTAGCATAGGAAATATAAGAATGCTTTCAGAGTATTTCTAAAAAACATTTTGCTAAGCCTTTACTTAATATGATGTGATCTTTTCTCAACTGGTTAAATGCCAGTTTTCCATCAGGATTGAAAGACCTTTAAAGAATAAAGCATATAAAATGTCATCCATCTAAGATGAAGGAAATGTATTTTCTAGCATTAGGAAACCAAGTGATTATCTTAATATACAAGTAATCCTTTGATTACTCATGTGCTGATTTTGTTTTAATTGGAAAATGCAAAACATTTTTAATATAATGAAACATAATTAGGACGTTAATCTCTACAAAAATAAACAGGTCCTTCAAAGCAGAAAATAATTTTAAAGAATTAAGTATGCCGGGCGCGGTGGCTCATGCCTGTAATCCCAGTACTTTGGGAGGCCGAGGCGGGCGGATCACAAGGTCAGGAGATCGAGACCATCTTGGCTAACACGGTGAAACCCCGTCTCTACTAAAAATATAAAAAATCAGCCGGGCATGGTGGCGGGTGCCTGTAGTCCCAGCTACTCGGGAGGCTGAGGCAGGAGAATGGCGTGAACCCGGGAGGCAGAGGTTGCAGTGAGCCGAGATTGCGCCACTGCACTCTAGCCTGGGTGACAGAACAAGACTCTGTCTCAGAAAAAAAAAAAAAAAAAAGAATTAAGTAAAGCACAGATTTCCTCAACTAACATTCAATAAGCAAAAATTGCTTATGGTTCAGTGGTTCTCCATCACGGCTGCACATTAGCCTCACTAGGGAAGATTAATATTGATAGTTAAGTCCCACCCCAGACCAAACAAATCAGAGAATCACTGGGATAAGGCCAATATTATTATTATTATTATTATTATTATTATTATTATTATTATTATACTTTAAGTTCTAGGGTACATGTGCACAACGTGCAGGTTTGTTACATATGTATAGATGTGCCACATTGGTGTGCTGCATCCATTAACTCATCATTTACATTAGGTATATCTCCTAATGCCATCCCTCCCCCCTCCCCCCACCCCACAACAGGCCCTGGCATGTGATGTTCCCCACCCTGTGTCCAAGTGTTCTCAACAATGGTATTTTGTAAAAGCTCTCCAAGCAACAGTCTAAGGTACAGGTGGGGCTGAGAACGTTACCAGTCCAGAAATCCATCTAATAACCCAAAGCCTGATGGGCAGAGGATGTTCTGAGTTCACATGAGATCTGGTGGCTTAAAAGTGTGCAGCTGGCCGGGCACAGTGGCTCACGTCTGTAATCCCAGCACTTTGGATAGCCAGGGCAGGTGGATCACCTGAGGTCTGGAGTTCGAGACCAGCCTGGCCAACATGGAGAAACCCCGTCCCTACTAAAAATACAAAAATTAGCCGGGTGTGGTGGCACGTGCCTGTAATCCCAGCTACTCGGGAGGCTGAGGCAGGAGAATCGCTTAAACCCAGGAGGCAGAGGTTGCAGTGAGCCAAGATGGCACCACTACACTCAAGCCTGGGCAACAGAACAAGACTCCGTCTCAAAAAAAAAAAAAAAAAAGTGAGCAGCCAGGTGTGGTGGCTCATGCCTGTAATCCCAGCTCTTTGGGAGGCTGAGGTGGGCAGATTACTAGAGTTCAGGAGTTCCAGACCTGGGAGACTCCATATCAAAAAAAAAAAAAAAAAAAGTGTGCAGTAGCCAAGCATGGTGCCTCATATCTATAATGCCAGCAATTAGAAGGCTGAAGCAGGCAGACTGCTTGAGATTCAGAGTTCAAGACCAGCCTGGGCAACATGGCGAGACCCTGTCTCTATAAAATCTACACAAAATTAGCCAGGCATGGTGGCACACATCTGTAGTCCTAGCTACTTGGAAGGCTGAGGTGGGAGGATCCTCAAAGCCCAGGGAGGTTGAGGCTGCACTGAGCCATGATTGCAACACTGAACTCCAGCCTGGGCGTGGTGGCTCATGCCTGTAATCCCATCACTTTGGGAAGCCAAGGTGGGTGGATCACCTGAGGTCAGGAGTTTGAGACCAGTCTGGCCAACATGGCAAAACCCCATCTCTACTAAAAATATAAAATCATTAGTCAGGCATGGTGGCAAGCACCTGTAATCCCAGCTATTCAGGAGGCTGAGGCAGGAGAATTGCTTGAAACTGGGAGGTGGAGGTTGCAGTGAGCTGAGATCTCACCACTGCACTCCAGCCTGGGCAACAGAGAGAGACTTCGTCTCAAATAAATAAATAAATAAGAGAGACCCTGTCTCTAAATAAATAAATAATAGCGTGACACCTCCCCTACACAACTCTCTCTCTCACTCCTGCTTTTGCCATGTGAATTGCCTGCTCCCGCTTTGCCTTTGGCCACGAGTAAAAGCTCCCTGAGGCCTCACCAGAAGCCAAGCTGATGCCAGTGCCATACTTCCTGTACAGCCTACAGAACTGTGAGCCAGTTAAACTTCTTTTCTTTATAAATTACCCAGTCTGATTTAATTGTATATAGCAGTGCAAGAGACTAATACACCAGGGTATAATTGTGTAACAACCAAGCCCAGGTGATCTGTATCAGATCTGTATTAGATCAGATTTCTTTAGGCTCTCTTGTTGCAGATTTTCTTGTTCAGATATCTTATAAACTAACAAAAATGTCTTGAAGATATCACTAGATTTTAAAGGCTCACATTTGCTGTTTACCACTTCCCCAGATATACCAGGATAAAGAAGACAAAATATGTTAAAATCCTTAATACAGTGAAAGCATCGTATATGCTTTGAAATGACTGTTGCAAGTGAAACAGTTCATTGTAACAGTATCATGCAAGCCAGGGGCAAAGTATATTGGATTCTGGAAACATAGCAGCTTTTCCCACGCCTCATGCCCAATTTGGTTTAGGGATTTACTACGTCTTTTATTTACTTAATTTTTTTACTTGGCCACTAATATCCAGTTAAAGTGTTTCTTTTGCAAACTAAAACTGCTGTTTCTGCTACTGTCTAAAAAAGATAATCTTTCTATTACATGAGATTATGTGAGAGACATCCATAATACTTTTGAAGTATCTCAACTTTAGAAATGGGTGGCTGGAGGCCGAGCACAGTGGCTCATGCCTGTAATCCAGCACTTAGGGAGGCTGAGGTGGGCGGATCACCTGAGGTCAGGAGTTTGAGACCAGCCTGGCCAACATGGTAAAACCCCATCTCTACTAAAAATACAAAAATCAGTCAGGCCTCGTGGCGGGTGCCTGTAATCCCAGCTACTCGGGAGGCTGAGGCAGGAGAATTGCTTGAACCCAGGAGACAGAGGCTGCACTGAGCTGAAATCACCCCACTGCATTCCAGCCAATCACGAGGTCAAGAGATCGAGACTATCCTGGCCAATATGGTGAAACCCCGTCTCTACTAAAAATACAAAAATTAGCTGGGTATGGTGGCGCGTGCCTGTAGTCCCAGCTACTTGGGCGACAGAGCAGGACTCTGTCTCAAAAAACTAAAAAAAAAAAAATAGAAATGGGTGACCAGTATACAGTTTCAGACCACTAAAAACACCTCCATCTACAGCTGTCAGCCATCATGACACTCCATGCAACTACTTACTCATTAATATTTAGTAACTATCTAATGGATGCTGCAAGGCTCTATAAAAACAAAGATAAGGGAAAAAATGAAAGATTACTTGTGGATACGTTTTTCCGAATTTTGAGGCAATTAGACGAAACATCCCAGATGCAGAGTCAGATGGGAACCAGAGTTAGTAATAACTTTTTGGGCCAGGCGCGGTGGCTCATGCGTGGAATCCCAGCACTTTGGGAGGCCAAGGTAGGCAGATCACGAGGTCAGGAGTTTGAGGCCAGCCTGGCCAACATGGTGAAACCTCGTCTCTAGTAAAAATACAAAAATTAGCCAGGCGTGTGGTGCATGCCTGTAATCCCAGCTACTCAGGAGGCTGAGGCAGGAGAATCCCTTGAACCCAGGAAGCACAGGTTGCAGTGAGCCAACATTGTGCCATTGCACTCCAGCCTGGGCAACAAGAGCAAAATTCCGTCTCAAAAAAAAAAAAAAAAAAAAAAAACTTTTAGTGTTCCCATATTTAGAATTTTTCTTTGTTTAAAAAGATGATTTTGAAATAATTAGCTAAGATAATGCCCTGATTCATTCACAACATTTACTATGGATAATGAGGTACCTTGAAAAGAAACCATATAGTAAGATAGTTAAAAGACCAGAAGCAGGCCGGGCACAGTGGCTCACGCCTGTAATCCCAGCACTTTGGGAGGCCGAGACGGGTGGATCATGAGGTCAGGAGACCAAGACCATCCTGGCTAACACGGTGAAACCACGTCCTACTGAAAATACAAAAAATTAGCCGGGCGTGGTGGTAGGTGCCTGTAGTCCCAGCTACTCCAGAGGCTGAGGCAGGAGAATGGCGTGAACCTGGAAGGCGGAGCTTGCAGTGAGCCGAGATTGCGCCACTGCACTCCAGCCTGGGCAACAGAGCGAGACTCCGTCTCCAAAAAAATAAATAAATAAAAAAGACCAGAAGCAAATTAGAATGGGTTGCTTTAACTTGTTTTAAAATTTCTCCTGATAGGCTGGGGGCAGTGGCTCACGCCTGTAATCCCAGCACTTTGGAAGGCCAAAGTGGGCCAATCACGAGGTCAGGAGTTGGAGACCAGCCTGGCCAACATGGTGAAACCCCGTCTCTACTAAAAATACAAAAATTAGCTGGGTGAGGTGGTACGTGCCTGTAGTCCCAGCTACTTGGGAGGCTGAGGCAGGAGAATCGCTTGAACCTGGGAGGCGGAGGTTGCAGTGAGCCGAGATTGTGCCACTGCACTCCAGCCTGGCGACAGAGCAAGATTCCGTCTCAAAAAAAAAAAAAAAAAAAATTCGGGCCAGGCGCAGTGGCTCCCAGCACTTTGGGAGACTGAGGCAGGCGGATCACGAGGTAAGGAGTTTGAGATCAGTCTGGCCAACATGGTGAAGCCCCGTCTTGACTAAAAATACAAAAATTAGCTAGGCATGGTGGTGGGCGCCTGTAATCCCAGCTACTTGGGAGGCTGAAGCAGAATCGCTTGAACTCGGGTGGCAGTGAGCCGAGATTGTGCCACTCCACTCTAGCCTGGGCAACAGAGCAAGACTCCGCCTCAAAAAAAAAAAAAAAAAAAGATTTCTCCTGATTTCCCTCCAAAGGTATAACCTTTCTTTTTTCTTTTCTTTTTTTCTTTTTTTTTTTTGAGATGGAGTCTTGCTCTGTTGCTAGAGTGCAGTGGTCTCAGCTCACTACAACCTCTGCCTCCCGGGCTCAAGCGATTCTCCTGCCTCAGCCTCCAGAGTAACTGGGATTACAGGCGCCCGCCACCACGGCTGGCTAATTTTTGTATTTTTAGTAGAGATGGGGTTTCACCATCTTAGCCAGGCTGATCTCAAACTCCTGACCTCGTGATGTACCCGCCTCTGCCTCCCAAAGTGCTGGGATTACAGGTGTGAGCACTGTGCCCGGCCATCTGTACCTTTTTTAAAGGGGCTCATTTTCTTTCTCTTCTTTTTTTTTTTTTTTTTAAATAGGATCTTGCTCTGTCTCCCAGGCTGGAGTACAGCGGCATGATTTCGGCTCATTACAACCTCTGCCTCCCAGGCTCAAGCAATCCTCCTACCTCAGCCCCCCAAGTAACTGGGACTAGAGGTGTGTACCAGCATACCTGGCTAACTGTTGCACTTTTTTTGACAGACAGTGGGTTTTGCCACGTTGCCCAGCCTAATCTTGAACTCCTAGGCTCCAGTGATCAGCCGGCCTCAGCTTCCGAAAGTGCTGGGATTACAGGCGTGAGCCACCGCACCAGGTCACAGGGCTCATTTTCAATTTACCAACTTGTGGTTTAAAGCTATTAAAGTAGATTACTTTCACATTTCAGCTAGATTATCCAACCGCAAGTTACAAAGTTATCTCAAAAAATATTGCCTCCTCTGGCCGGTTGTGGTGGCTCACAACTGTAATCCCAACACTTTGGGAGGCCGAGGTGGGCAGATCACCTGAGGTTGGGAGTTTGAGACCAGCCTGACCAACATGAAGAAACCCCATCTCTACTAAAAATACAAAATTAGCTGGGCGTGGTGGTGCATGCCTGTAATCCCAGCTACTCGGGAGGCTGAGGCAGGAGAAGCGTTTGAACCTGGGAAGTGGAGGTTGCAGTGAGCTGAGACTGGACCATTGCACTCCAGCCTAAGCAACAAGAATGAAACTATTCCGTCTCAAAAAAAAAAAAAAAATGTAGAAAGGAACTGCAAATGATCTGCCCCTTTAGGAAGGAAATATGAAATACAGGTAAAGCTATGAAGTTTTTGCTTGACATCACACAAGTCACTGCTAGTGAGCTCATACTCTTTTAAGGGATCAAGACTAAATCCATGGGAGGCCGAGGTGGGTGGATCACCTGAGGTCAGGAGTTCAAGACCAGCCTGGCCAACATGGTGAAACCCCGTCTCTACTAAAAATACAAAAATTAGCCTGGCGTGGTGGTGGGCACCGGTAATCCCAGCTACTTGGGAGACTAAGGCAGGAGAATCGCTCAAACCCAGGAGGCGGGGGTTGCAGTGAACCAAGATCCCACCACTACACTCCAGCCTGGGCAACACAGCAAGACTCCATCTGAAAAAAAAAAAAGACTAAATCCACATGTTAATAGTGAAAACATAAAGACACATGCACACATATGTTTACTGTGGCACTATTCACAATAGCAAAGACTTTGAACCAACCCAAATGTCCATCAATGATAGACTGGATTAAGAAAATGTGGCACATATATACCATGGAATACTATGCAGCCATAAAAAAGGGTGAGTTCATATCCTTTGAAGGGACATGGATGAAGCTGGAAACCATCATTCTCAGCAAACTATTGCAAGGACAAAAAACCAAACACCACATGTTCTCACTCATAGGTGGGAAATGAACAATGAGAACACATGGACACAGGAAGGGGAACATCACACATCGGAGCCTGTCATGGGGTGGGGGGAGGGGGGAGGGATAGCATTAGGAGATATACCTAATGTAAATGATGAGTTAATGGGTGCAGCACACCAACATGGCACATGTATACATATGTAACAAACCTGCAAGTTGTGCACATGTACCCTAGAACTTAAAGTAGAATAAATAAATAAATAAATAGTGAAAACATTTTGCCAGGGTTACTAAAATAGCTACAGAGGTTGAAGCTCAAGTCACACATGGAAAGACTTCCCTAGAGCTATTCAACATAAGCTTATGTCCTCTATGCTAAAAAACGAATCTGTTCACAACTATTATAAAGAAACAAATGCAAACAAATTTTAAACAATTATAATGAAAATAGAAAGAACTAAAAAACTATAGGTAACTAAGTATATATATAATTCAATAAATTAATCAAGTACAGCACTGGTTCCCAATACTGATCCAAGACAAAATTTTTAGCAGCTGGCCAGGCACAGTGGCTAATGCCTGTAATCCTGGCACTTTGGGAGGCCAAGGTGGGCGGATCACCTGAGGTCAGGAGTTCGACACCAGCCTGGCCAACATGGCAAAACCCCTTCTCTACTAAAAATACAAAAATTAGCTGGGCATGGTGGAGGGCACCTATAATCCCTACTCGGGAAGCTGAGGCAGGAGAATCACTTGAACCCGGGCGACAGAGGTTGCAGTGAGCCGAGATCAGGCTGCTTCACTCCAGCCTGGGCGAAAGTGAGAAACTCCATCTCAAAAAAAAAAAGAAAAAAAATTTAACAGTCTACAGTGAAATAAAACAGTAAGGAAAAGGTTACTTTTATTTCATAAAGCTAAATCTATATAATCTATAGAAGCGTCCTTAACCCTAAAAATACATACTTCTTAATGTTTTGGTACTATCATGAAATGACCAAGACAACACATCATTGGGGGAAAGGGGTTCTAACAAAGTTACTTTGCAAAATAAGAAGTTGAGTCATAAACCTAGTCTTTCAATGCTGTGTATGTGTGTGTAATCAGAATAATGTGAAACAGAGCTCTATACCCACAGAGAACCCAGTCAAGCTCTGAATGATCAAATAATATTCTAGAGAGTTTCTCATACAGAGAAGCATAAAGACAGTATCTGAGTATGTTTCCAAAAATCAGTATTAATGAATTTTGTCCATAATCATTTTGATGGTCACAAGTTTGAGCATATATTTGAATCCCTAATATATTTAAAGCATTACATGTATTTCAACATTCAAAATTACATAAAGAAACCCAAATGTACTGGGTGGTTTTATAGCTAAAGGCAACTGCTGAAGAATGTTTCATTTCTCAATTTAAAATAGTACGGTACTATCTTTTAATATTCTAAGAGTTCTACCAATGTAAGACTTCCATCCAATTACATTTCTACAACTGAATTGTTCTCTAAGTCATTTCACTTCAACTGAAAATGTCATTTCATTATAGGACATTAAAAATTCTGAATGTCACTTGGCTCTAGGCAATTGGTCTTGATTAAACAAAAATCAAACCTTAACACAAAAATATATCTTACATAAAATTACTTCTAAATGTTTACCAACCAACGGAGAATCTTAAATGTAGGCCCGGCTGTGGCCAAGCGCAGTGGCTCGTGCCTGTAATCCTAGCACTTTGGGAGGCCAAGGTGGGCAGATCACCTGAGGTCAGGAGTTCAAGACCAGCCTGGCCAACATGGTGAAACCCCGTCTCTACTGAAAATACAAAAATTAGGTGGGCATACTGGCTCAAGTCTGTAATCCCAGCTACCTGGGAGTCTGAGGCAGGAGAATCACTGGAACCCAGGAGGCAGAGGCTGCACTGAGCCGAGATCGTGCCACTGCACTCCAGCCTGGGTGACAGAGCAAGACTCTCTCTTAAATAAAAAAAAAAAAAAAGTAGGCCAGGCCGGGCTTGGTGGCTCATGCTTGTAACCCCAGCACTTTGGGAGGCTGAGGTGGGTGGATCACCTGACATCAGGAGTTTAAGACCAGACTGGCCAACATGGTGAAACCCCACCTCTACTAAAAATATGAAAAATTAGCCAGGCATGGTAGCGCACGCCTGTAATCCCAGCTACTTGGGAGGCTGAGGCAGGAGAATCGCTTGAACCTGGGAAGCAGAGGTTGCAGGGAGCCGAGGTCACACCATTGCACTCCAGCCTGGGCAACAAGAGCGCGACTCCATCTCAAAAAAAAAAAAAAAAAAAAGTATAGGCCACATTCATTCCAATTACAGCTAAATGAAGCTGTTTTGTCAAATCTGTGCCAGACTTATTGTTATAATCAGGTAGCTCTTCCAAGAATGTCTTAGAAAAAGGCACTTGCTGCATAACAAAGAGGCTGTGCTAGGTTTAACTGACACTACACTGCACACTGATAGGAGTTTTTAAATTTGGGTCAATAAAACCAGAAGTGACTACAGGTGTCACTACCATGAAAGAGAAAGCATCTTACTACACTGCAGTTCTATGTTTACTAAAAGATTTGATTATTTATGTTAATTTTTTCAATGACTACATGAGGTAGCTTTCTTTCCTATCTGTGCTAACCTATTTGCAAATATATAAATACTTCTTAAACTCCGCAACACCTCTTATTTGTATTCTATTTCCAATAAAAATCCAAGCAGCCTCTCATATTTTAATTGCACTTCAACCTATTTTTTTAGTGATGACTCTTTTTTTTTTTGAGACAGAGTTTCACTCTTGTTGCCCAGGCTGGAGTGCAATGGCACGATCTCGGCTCACTCCAACCTCGCCCTCCCGGGTTCAAGTGATTCTCCTGCCTCAGGGTGTAGCTAGTATTACAGGCACGCGCCACCACACCCAGCTAACTTTGCATTTTTAGTAGAGATGGGGTTTCTCCATGTTGGTCAGGTTGGTCTCGAACTCCCAACCTTAGGTGATCAGCCCGCCTCAGCCTCCCAGAGTGCTGGGATTACAAGCGTGAGCCACCGCACCCGGCCCCTCTTCCTCCCCGACCCTCCCTCCCCCCAGACGGAGTCTCGCTCTGTTTTCAGGCTGGAGTGCAGTGGCGTGATCTCAGCTCACTGCAACCTCCACCTCCCGGGTTCAAGCGATTCTCCTGCCTCAGCCTCCCGAGTAGCTGGGACTACAGGCGCACACCACCACACCCAGCTAATTTTTTTGTATTTTTAGTAGAGACGGGGTTTCACCATGTTGGCCAGGATGGTCTCGATCTCTTGACCTCGTGATCGGCCCGCCTCGGCCTCCCAAAGTGCTGGGATTACAGGCGTGAGCCACCGCGCCTGGCCCATTGATGACTCTTTCTTAACGACTCCATCAGAAATCTGTCAGTTAATAAACGTGCTGCTCAGTTAGTGACGAGAAATAACTGTATGTTAGTGGTTAAGAAGCCCCATAATTGCAGCATTTAATACCTGCTGTTGTTCCTAATACCACCAGGCTGACTCAGACTAAGGAGCCCTCCAAGTTCCACTGTCTAATAAAGACCTGTCAAAGTGAAAACTCAACAGTGGAAACTCCAGAATTCATTCAACCGTTGTACCTGCTTTACCTACATAAATAAGCAGAACTGATTTTTGGGTTCTTTGCCACAAGAAGATGCGCTGAAAACAAAGCATCAAATGGTTCTGCAAAAAATACTCCTCCTCTTTACAGTGAAGTTTAAATTAGATCAAGAATGCTACTTACAAAGATATTCTGAATTACAGGATCTCCTGATTCATCATAATGAACTTTTCAACCCTGTTAAGTATCAAAACTGCAGCACAAAATCAGCCAACATGCGAACTAAGGACTAAAGACAGTTCATAGGTCTTTGGCGATTGTGATTATAAAATCACGTGCCTGAGGACCACTAAGTCTGAGGTACACACCAAATCATGCAGCTCAAGATAAGCAGAAAGCACTGTTCCGTGCTCAACCCACCCCCCGCCCCACCAACCATCCAAAGTCAATGCTGGTGCCCAGGACCCGTGAGTCCTTACCATTAAATATGCCCGCCCCATTTCCTCCCCAGTTGAGGAAATCACAGACTCCTTGGCCCCAAGAATCTTAACCCTCGTCTTCATACAATTCTCCAGAAACCTTAACACCGGCTTTTTTAGGCTCCCACCACCTAAAACAAAGTTCATAAAATCCTGACGGCAGTTTCCTTCAGAGCTTAGGCTCTCGACCACACCCTCCGACCAGGCCTGTCTCCCTCCTGCCTGCCCCCTGTAGAGGGAAGGCTCCCCCTCCTTTTGGTCACTCTGCCTGGCCGCTCTACTCACAGGATAGCGGTGTCGGGGGGCAGCAAGCCCGACAGCGCCCTCCAGCTCGGTGCGGGCAATTTCCTGCGACTGCAGTCCAGGAGAGGAATGCGGCAGGAGCAGGGCGCGGGGCAGAGACCTGCTCCGGCGGCGGGCAACAGGAGGAGAGCGGTCTGGGCAATGAAGAGTAACCGAGAAAGCACTCTAGATCGACACCCCAGCAACTGCTCCTCCGGGACGCCTAGGGGCGCCGGCGCCATTTTCCCCCTCGACCTGGACGTGGCCTAGAAGAGCTGCCTGCTAGAAAAGGAGGATCGGCGGAGAAGCTCAGCAGAGATGCTCGGTGGCTGCACTGTCTCCCGAAGCCCCGGCTGAAGGCTGTACCATCTAAAGGCATGCAAGGAGCAGACGCAGCGCGACAGCGGGGTCGACGGCCTGGGACACACGGCCTGACGGACACCTCTCGTCCGCCCCTCCCCACGGCGCAACGTCCTCACGCACAGGGGCCAGCCAATCGGTGCCATAAGATGAGGTTGCGCCCGGGGCGGAACTCAGTGAGGGGCGGGGCCAGACGCAGCCGAGTATCTTGAGGAGAAGGACTTTAAAGCGTTCAGGGATTTTAGCTGCCGCTGTGGAGTTCCGCCGCTGTTCTTCCGCTGGAGGGCGCAGTAGTTCCTTAAGAGGGAATGGTGCGGCGAATAGCTGTGAGTTCAAAGTCCTGACTACAGGTATATCTACTGTAGTAGAAAAGGATCTTTTATTTGCTCTGGGCTTTAAGAAAGGGGAGTGGCAGAAGGGCTGCCTTCCAAGTCGCACACACGAATGGGTCACGGGAGCTTCTATCCTGGCTTTGGCCAGATCGGCCTCCAGAGCCGAGCTCGAGCCTCTTCTGCCCCCTGCTGCTTGGCTGTAGCCCCTGCTCTTCTGCAAGTAGGCGGCAACTGCCATTTGCATAAGATCAATATCACTCTCTGTTAATGGCCTTGTAAGCTCCTGAAGGCAGAGGCCCTGTTTCTTCATCGGTGCACCTCCACCTTTTGTTCTAGCTTGGAGTTCAATAAATTTTGGTGGGACTGCACCTGCATGTCTATATAAAGGAAATACCCTTCTCTTTGGAGGGATGCTGTCAAGGTCACTCTCAGAAAAGCAAGCGAGACAAGAGGGTGTTGAGCAGTCAACAAAGCAAAGACTGGATGTGAGGAAATTTATTTCTCCTAAAGCAGAGGCTATGGAAAACTTACTAGGAACAGTGAAGTCTGGCCATCTTATGCTCATTCAGCCATCCAAGGTTGTAAATAAGACTTTGAGAATAATAGTGATGGTTCACTTATACGTAGTGAACTTTTCAAAGGGCGTTTGCATCTGTTATCTTGTTTGCTCCTTCAGTGACTGTGACATTGGCAAGACAATTATTGCTGATGATGCAACAAGCCCCAAGAGGTTAAACCAAGTTACTCTTGAGGCAGGGGCAGGTTCGACATTAACATGGGTTTTCTGACATAAATTGAAAATCTGAGCAGGTTAAAAAGAATGATAATGCCTAGGTTAGGGTTCTCATAGAAAGTAACTGAAAGCAATCTTTCCCATGGCAGATTATGGAGTCATAATTATGTTTTTAAAAACCTTTTTCTGTTTTTTTTTTTTAATATTGAAGTATATATTGGAAACAAGGCCATATCCAATGCTACAGTCCAAACCAAACTTTTAAAGCCAAGACAGCGGAATGAAACTTACTCTTAGCCTTCTTCCCTTAGCTGTTGAGCAGACTTAACAAACTCTGGTAAGAAATCCGGCATAGGCAGGAACCTTACAAAAAAAAAAAGGAGGCAGTTTAGTTCCTTTCTACATTATAGTTTCAGAGCTTTCCTATGAAACTATACCAAATGGGGCCATTAGAAATTAATGCTCTCTAACCTGTATCCTCCGCAGTAAGTGGCTCACTGCAATCTCTGCCTGCCGTATTCAAGCGATTCTCCTGCCTCAGCCTGCCTAGTAGCTGGGACTACAGGTGTGCACCACCATGCCCGGCTAATTTTTGTATTTTTAGTAGAGACGGGGTTTTGCCTTTTTGGCCAGGCTGGTCTCGAACTCCTGACCTCAGGTGATCCACCCACCTCGGGCTCTCAAAGTGCTGGGATTACAGGCATGAGCCACTGTGACTGGCCACAAATACACGTTTTTTTTGTTTTTTTTGTTTTTTTTGTTTTTTTTTTGAGACAAAATTTCATTATTGTTGCCCAGGCTGGAGTGCAATGGCACAATCTCGGCTCACCGCAACCTCCGCCTCCTGGATTCAAGCGATTCTCCTGCCTCAGCCTCCTGAGTAGCTGGGATTACAGTCATGCGCCACCACGCCCAGCTAATTTTGTAGTTTTAGTAGAGATGGGGTTTCTCCATGTTGGTCAGGCTGGTCTCGAACTCCCAACCTTAGGTGATCCGCCCGCCTCGGCCTCCCAGAGTGCTGGGATTTCAAGCATGAGCCACCACACCCAGCCGCAAATATGTGTTTTTTTTTTTTTTTTTTAATTTATTTTTTTATTGATAATTCTTGGGTGTTTCTCACAGAGGGGGATTTGGCAGGGTCATGGGACAATAGTGGAGGGAAGGTCAGCAGATAAACAAGTGAACAAAGGTCTCTGGTTTTCCTAGGCAGAGGACCCTGCGGCCTTCCGCAGTGTTTGTGTCCCTGGGTACTTGAGATTAGGGAGTGGTGATGACTCTTAACGAGCATGCTGCCTTCAAGCATCTGTTTAACAAAGCACATCTTGCACCGCCCTTAATCCATTTAACCCTGAGTGGACACAGCACATGTTTCAGAGAGCACAGGGTTGGGGGTAAGGTCACAGATCAACAGGATCCCAAGGCAGAGGAATTTTTCTTAGTGCAGAACAAAATGAAAAGTCTCCCATGTCTACTTCTTTCTACACAGACACGGCAACCATCCGATTTCTCAATCTTTTCCCCACCTTTCCCGCCTTTCTATTCCACAAAGCCGCCATTGTCATCCTGGCCCGTTCTCAATGAGCTGTTGGGCACACCTCCCAGACGGGGTGGTGGCCGGGCAGAGGGGCTCCTCACTTCCCAGTAGGGGCGGCCGGGCAGAGGCGCCCCTCACCTCCCGGACGGGGCGGCTGGCCGGGCAGGGGGGCTGACCCCCCCCACCTCCCTCCCGGACGGGGCGGCTGGCCGGGCGGGGGGCTGACCCCCCAACCTCCCTCCCGGACGGGGCGGCTGGCCGGGCGGGGGGCTGACCCCCCCACCTCCCTCCCGGACGGGGCGGCTGGCCGGGCAGAGGCGCCCCTCACCTCCCGGACGGGGCGGCTGGCCGGGCAGGGGGGCCGACCCCCCCCACCTCCCTCCCGGACGGGGCGGCTGGCCGGGCGGGGGGCCGACCCCCCCACCTCCCTCCCGGACGGGGCGGCTGGCCGGGCAGAGGGGCTCCTCACTTCCCAGTAGGGGCGGCCGGGCAGAGGCGCCCCTCACCTCCCGGACAGGGCGGCTGGCTGGGCGGGGGGGCTGACCCCCCCCACCTCCCTCCCGGACGGGGCGGCTGGCCGGGCGGGGGGCCGACCCCCCCACCTCCCTCCCGGACGGGGCGGCTGGCCGGGCGGGGGGCCGACCCCCCCACCTCCCTCCCGGACGGGGCGGCTGGCCGGGCAGAGGGGCTCCTCACTTCCCAGTAGGGGCGGCCGGGCAGAGGCGCCCCTCACCTCCCAGACGGGGCGGCTGGCCGGGCGGAGGGCTGACCCCCCCACCTCCCTCCCGGACATGGCGGCTGGCCGGGCGGGGGGCTGACCCCCCCCACCTCCCTCCCGGACGGGGCGGCTGGCCGGGCAGAGGGGCTCCTCACTTCCCAGTAGGGGCGGCTGGGCAGAGGCGCCCCTCACCTCCCAGACGGGGCGGCTGGCTGGGCGGAGGGCTGACCCCCCCACCTCCCTCCCGGACGGGGCGGCTGGCCAGGCGGGGGGCTGACCCCCCTACCTCCCTACCGGACGGGGCGGCTGGCCGGGTGGGGGGGCTGACCCCCCCATCTCCCTCCCGGACGGGTTGGCTGGCTGGGCTGAGGAGCTCCTCACTTCCCAGTAGGGGCGGCCGGGCAGAGGCGCCCCTCACCTCCCGGACGGGGCAGCTGGCCGGGCGGGGGGCTGACCCCCCCACCTCCCTCCCGGATGGCACGGCTGGCCAGGCGGGGGGCTGACCCCCCCACCTCCCTCCCGGATGGCACGGCTGGCCGGGCGTGGGGGCTGACCCCCCACCTCCCTCCCGGATGGGGCGGCTGGCCGGGCGGGGGGCTGACCCCCCCCCACCTCCTTCCCGGACGGGGTGGCTGCCGGGCGGAGACGCTCCTCACTTCCCAGATGGGGTGGCTGCCGGGCGGAGAGGCTCCTCACTTCTCAGACGGGGCAGCTGCCGGGTGGAGGGGCTCCTCACTTCTCAGACGGGGTGGTTGCCAGGCAGAGGGTCTCCTCACTTCTCAGACGGGGCGGCCGGGCAGAGACGCTCCTCACCTCCCAGACGGGGTCTCGGCCGGGCAGAGGCGCTCCTCACATCCCAGATGGGGCGGCGGGGCAGAGGCGCTCCCCACATCTCAGACGATGGGCGGCCGGGCAGAGACGCTCCTCACTTCCTAGATGTGATGGCGGCTGGGAAGAGGCGCTCCTCACTTCCTAGATGGGATGGCGGCCGGGCGGAGACGCTCCTCACTTTCCAGACTGGGCAGCCAGGCAGAGGGGCTCCTCACATCCCAGACGATGGGCGGCCAGGCAGAGACACTCCTCACTTCCCAGACGGGGTGGCAGCCGGGCAGAGGCTGCAATCTCGGCACTTTGGGAGGCCAAGGCAGGCGGCTGCTCCTTGCCCTCGGGCCCCGCGGGGCCCGTCCGCTCCTCCAGCCGCTGCCTCCCGGGCGGCGCTCGCCGGCGCCGACTCCCATAATTTACTTTTTCTAGCGCAAATATGTGTTTTTAACAGAATTTAATGATTCATTTCTGATTAACAATGGAATATAGAGCTTTTATATTCATTGCCCTAAATTGTCTAATTAATTCGTGGGTGCTAAAGTACCTGGGCTGAGATTTTAGAGTTCAGTGGAATCCATAAGCACAGAATACCCCAGCTCCAGATTACTTAAAAAAAAAAAAACTACTCACTTGATATCCCTTGTTCCACACCTTAACATAAACCCCAATCCCTTACAATTTAGCTGCCCTATATCTCCTTACCTCGGGACTTTACTCTTTGCAAAGTCATAGCTAACTAACCTGATCAATTCTATTCTTTCAAACTAGAAGTCTCAGGATTGCCTGTGCTTTCCCCCCATTCTTTCCTGTCACATCTAATCACTAGACTCTCTTGATTCCCCCTCAGGAATGTCTCACATCTTTCCCCAGCTCTCCATCCCCACTGCTACTTAGTTCAGACCTTCATCTCATATGACTACTATTTCAATAACCTTTGCACCCATCTCCTGTCCTCCAGTCTCTCCTGTCTCCAAGTCTCTAAGCTGTCACTAGAATTATCTTTCCAAAGCATAATGTTACAGATATGTTTTCTCATTTTATATCTCCATTGCTAAGAGCAGTGTCTGGAATATAGGCAATGCTGAATAAATATTTATTGTTGACTAAATTACTGTTAATTTGGCCGGATGCAGTGGCTCATGCCTGTAATCCCAGCACTTTTGGAGGCCGAGGCCGGCAGATTACTTGAACTCAGGAGTTCGAGACAAGCCTGGCTAACATGGCAAAATCCCGTCTTTATTAAAAATACAAAAATTAGGCTTGGTGCTGCACACCTGTAATCCCAGCTGGGGAGGCTGAGGCACGAGGATTGCTTGAACCTGAGAGGCGGAGGTTGCAGTGAGCCGAGATTGCACCACTGCACTCCAGCATGGGCAACAGAGAAAGACTCCATTTCAAAAAAAAAAAAAAATTACTGTTAATTTCACTGCTTCTCTGTAAATATGCCCAAATCTAGTGAGAATGCATTTTTGTCTCCTTCCATCTCTTCCTTCCCATTTCCTTTTCCCACTAAAGCAAAGAAGGAATAATGATAACAATTGTAACTACTATTTATTGAAGTGAAACATAAAGCCAGAAAAAATAGATAAATTGTACTTCATCAAAATTAAAAACAGTTCATTAAAGGACACTATCTACAGAGTGAAAAGGCACGCCATGTGATGGAAGATTTGCAAATCATATATCAGATAAGGGATTAGTATCCAGAAAAACATAAAGAACTCCTACAACTTAACAACAAAAAAGCAACCTAATTTAAAAATAGGCAGAGGACTTGAATTCCTCCAAAGATACACAAATGACCAATAAGCACAAGTAAAAGATGCTCAAGATCACTAATCATCAAGGAAATCCACATTAAAACCACAATGTGATACTACTTCACAACTAGTAGGATGGGTATTATATATATATTATATGTATATGTATATGTATAGAAACCAGAAAATAACAAGTTTGGTGACGATGTAGAGAAACTTGTAATTCTTGTACATTCCTGGTAGGAATATAAAATGGTGTAGCTGGCTAGGTATGGTGGATCACACCTGTAATCCCAGCACTTTGGGAGGCCAAGGCGGCAGATCGCTGAGGTCAGGAGTTTGAGAGCAGCCTGGTCAACATGGTGAAACCCCATCACTGCTAAAAATACAAAAATTAGCTGGGCCTCGTGGTGCATGCCTATAATCCCAGCTACTCAGGAGGCTGAGGCAGAATTGCTTGAACTCAGGAGGCGGAGGTTGCAGTGAGCTGAGACCGCGCCATTGCACTTCAGCCTGGGCAACAGAGCAAGACTCCATCTCAAAAAGAAAGGAGAGGAGAGGAGGGGGAGCAGAGGGGAAGGGAGGGGAGGGGAGGGGAAGGGAGGGGAAGGGAGGGGAAGGGAAGGGAGGGGAGGCTGTGGAAAATGGGACAGCATTTCCTCAAAAAATTAAACATAAAATAATTGAAACAGCTTGAAGAAATATGGGTATACCCATGTTCCATAGCAGTATTATTCACAATAGCCAAAACGTGGAAGCAACCCAAGTGTCTTATCAATGGATGAATAAACAAGCAAAATTTGGTATATATGTGTGTGTATGTATATATATATATGTATATGATTCAGCCTTTGAAAGGAAGGGAATCCTGGCTGGGCATAGTGGCTCACACCTGTAATCCCAGCGCTTTGGGAGGCCGAGGTGGGTGGATCACCTCAGGTCAGGAGTTCGAGACCAGCCTGGCAAACATGGTGAAACCCCGTCTCTACTAAAAATACAGAAAATTAGCCGGGCGTGGTGGCACATGCCTGTAATCCCAGGTATTCGGGAGGCTGAGGCAGGAGAATCGCTTGAACCTGGGAAGCGGAGTTTGCAGTAAACCGAGATTGCGCCATTGCACTCCAGCCTGGGCAACAAGAGCGAAACTCCATCTCAAAAATAAAAAAGGAAGGGAATCCTGATACTTGCTACAACATAAATAAACCTTGAAAACATTATGCTAAGTGAAATAAATCAATTATAAAAGGACAAATAGTGTGATTGCACTTATATGAGGTACTTAGAGTAGTCAAATTCATACAGACAGAAAATAGATTGGTGATTGTCTGGGCTGGGAGGGGCTAGGAGGAGGAGAGAATGGGGAGTTATTGTTTAATGCATAGTGAGTTTCAGTTTGGGAAAATGAAAAAAGTTCTGGAGATAGATGGTGGCAATGGTTGCACAATAATGTGAATGTACTTACTACCACAGAACTGTATACTTAAAAATAGTTCCAAATTGTTACATTTTATGTTATATATTTTTTACCACAATTTTTAAAGAAAAATCTCCAGAAATTTAGAACTCATCTTTGAGTCTTTTCTTTCCTTTCCCTTTATTCTCCATCTACTCCTTACCTTACTGCAACCCATCAGCAAATCCAAAATATATTTTTAAACTGACTACTTCTTTCCATCTCTCTTACCTCCACACCAATCCAAGACACAATAATCTCTCATCTATACAACCTTAGTAGCCTCGTAACTGTAACTGAACTCTTCTTTCCATCTTGTTCCCATCAAAACCACCCACACAGCAAATGGGCCTATAAATGGCCTCTTTAATAGGTAAACTAGAAAGTGCTAGCAATCCACTACATTATCAGAGTAAAGGAGAAAAAGCATAACTATTTTAGTATATGAAAAAATATGACTTTTTATATGATATATGTGATATGTCATATATATATATAGCATATATTTGTACATCCTGAAATAGTATGGTTTTTCCTCTTTAACACATATGTACTATTTGATATATAATATATATCACATATATATGGAAAATATGTAAATATGTAATGTATGATATATAATATATCACCAAGATTTGGCCGGGTGTGGTGGCTCACACCTGTAATCCCAGCACTTTGGGAGGCCGAGGCGGGTGGATCACCTGAGGTCAGGAGTTCAAGACCAGCCTGGCCAACATGGTGAAACCCCATCTCTACTACAAATACAAAACTTAGCTGGGCGTGGTGGCAGGCATCTGTAATCCCAGCTACTCAGGAGGCTGAGGCAGGAGAATCATTTGAACCTGGGAGGCGGAGGTTGCAGTGAGCCGAGATCGCACCATTGCATTCCAGCCTGGGCAACAGGGTGAGACTCCATCTCAAAACAAACAAACAAACAAACAAACAAAAACTCTTAGCCAACTTGGAATAGAATGAACTTCTTCTTGCTAATAAAAGGTGTTTACCAAAACCTATAGCAACTTTTACTTAACAGTGAAACATTAAAAAAACTCCTTTTACATTAGGATCAAGACAATGATGCCTATCATTGCTTCTACTGGACACTATTCTAGAGTTCCTAACCAGTACAAGATAAGAAAAAGATATTAAAGATATAAAATCATAAGGGAGCAAACAAAACTGCCCTTACTTACACAGGATATGATTCTCTGCAGAAAAAAATCCAAAAGAATTTCAAGTAAACTATTTAAACTAACAAAAAATTTCAACAAGGATGTGACTACAAGATCAATATACTAAAATCAATTTTATCATAATAAATCAGCAATTATAAAATATTTTTAAGATGGCATATGCAATAGCAATAAAAACTAAAAGATACGTAGATCAAAGAAAGAAATACAAGAGAAAAAGTATATAGAGAACATTATAAAACTTTACTGGAAAGTATAAAAGAGGATCTAGCTGCTTCTGCCTCCTGCCTCCTGCCTCCTGCCTCCTGCCTCCTGCCTCCTGCCTCCTGCTTCTGCCTCTGCCTCTCCCCACGGTCTCCCTCTCCCTCTCTCTCCACGGTCTCCCTCTGATGCCAAGCCGAAGCTGGACTGTACTGCCGCCATCTCGGCTCACTGCAACCTCCCTGCCTGATTCTCCTGCCTCAGCCTGCCTAGTGATTGGGATTGCAGGCGTGCACCGCCACGCCTGACTGGTTTTCGTATTTTTTTGTTGGAGACGTGGTTTCGCTGTGTTGGCCGGGCTGGTCTCCAGCTCCTAACCGCAAGTGATCTGCCAGCCTCGGCCTCCCGAGGTGCCGGGATTGCAGACGGAGTCTGGTTCACTCAGTGCTCAATGTTGCCCAGGCTGGAGTGCAGTGGCGTGATCTCAGCTCGCTACAACCTCCACCTCCCAGCTGCCTGCCTTGGCCTCCCAAAGTGCTGAGATTGCAGCCTCTGCCCGGCCGCCACCCCGTCTGGGAAGTGAGGAGCGTCTCTGCCTGGCCGCCCATCGTCTGGGATGTGAGGAGCCCCTCTGCCCGGCTGCCCAGTCTGGGAAGTGAGGAGCGCCTCTTCCCCGCCGCCATCCGTCTAGGAAGTGAGGAGCATCTCTGCCCGGCCGCCCATCGTCTGAGATGTGGGGAGCGCCTCTGCCCCGCCGCCCCGTCTGGGATGTGAGGAGTGCCTCTGCCCGGCCGCGACCCCGTCTGGGAGGTGAGGAGCGCCTCTGCCCAGCCGCCCCGTCTGAGAAGTGAGGAGCCCCTCTGCCTGGCAGCCACCCCGTCTGAGAAGTGAGGAGCCCCTCCGCCCGGCAGCCGCCCCGTCTAGGATGTGAGGAGCGTCTCCGCCCGGCAGCTGCCCCGTCCGGGAGGGAGGTGGGGGGCAGCCCCCGCCCGGCCGCCTCCCCGTCCAGGAGGTGGGGGGCGCCTCTGCCCGGCCGCCCCTTCTGGGAAGTGAGGAGCCCCTCTGCCCGGCCGCCACCCCGTCTGGGAGGTGTACCCAACAGCTCATTGAGAACGGGCCATGATGACGATGGCAGTTTTGTCGAATAGAAAAGGGGGAAATGTGGGGAAAAGATAGAGAAATCAGATTGTTGCTGTGTCTGTGTAGAAAGAAGTAGACATAGGAGATTCCATTTTGTTCTGTACTAAGAAAAATTCTTCTGCCTTGGGATGCTGTTAATCTATAACCTTACCCCCAACCCCGTGCTCTCTGAAACATGTGCTGTGCCTACTCAGGGTTAAATGGATTAAGGGCGGTGCAAGATGTGCTTTGTTAAACAGATGCTTGAAGGCAGCATGCTCCTTAAGAGTCATCACCACTCCCTAATCTCAAGTACCCAGGGACACAAACACTGTGGAAGGCCGCAGGGTCCTCTGCCTAGGAAAAACAGAGACCCTTGTTCACTTGTTTATCTGCTGACCTTCCCTCCACTATTGTCCTATGACCCTGCCAAATCCCCCTCCTCGAGAAACACCCAAGAATGATCAATAAATACTAAAAAATAAAAAAATAAATAAAAATAAATAAATAAATAAATAAAAGAGGATCTAAATAGATGGAGAAAAATACTATGCTCTCAGACTGAAAGAATCAATATTATAATCCAGGCAAAATGGCTCATGCCTGTAATCCCAGCACTTTGGGAGGCTGAAGCAGGTAGATTACTTGATGTCAGCAGTTCAACATCAGCTTGGCGAACATGGTGAAATATCGTCTCTACTAAAAATGCAAAAATTGGCTGAGTGTTGTGGCAGGTCCCTGTAATCTCAGCTACTCCGGAGGCTGAGGCAGGAGAATCAATCAAACCCAGGAGGCATACATTGCAGCAAGCCAAGACTGTGCCACGGCACTCCAGCGTGGGCAACAGAGTGAGACTCTGTCTCAAAAAAAAAAAAAAAAAATCACTATTATAAAGATGATGACCAGGTGTGGTGGTGTGGGCCTGTAATCTCAATTATTTGGAAGGCTGAGGCAGGGGGATTGCTTGAGCCTAGGAGTTCAAGGCCAGCTTAAGCAACACAGCAAGGCCCTTTCTCTAAAAATAAAAATAAATTAAAAATAAACAAATAAAAGATGTCAATTCTCTCAGACTGATTTATAGATTGAATGCATTCCCAGTAAAAATCCCAAATGTGCATGGTGTTCTAAGGTGAAAATAATCACAAAGACACTCTCAGGGTTAAAAAAGTAGAAATGGCCAGGCACGGTGGCTCACGCCTGTAATCCCAGCACTTTGGGAGGCTGAGGCGGGCAGATCATGAGGTCAGGAATTCTAGACCAGCCCGGCCAACATGGTGAAACCCCGTCTCTACTAAAAATACAAAAATCAGCCGGTGTGGTGGCGCAGGCTTGTAATCCCAGCTACTTGGGAGGCTGAGGCGGGAGAATTGCTTGAAATCGGGAGGCGGAGATTGCAGTGAGCTGAGAGCATGCCACTGCACTCCAGCCTGGGCAACAGAGCAAGAAGCCATCTCAAAAAAAAAAAAAAAAAAAAGGTAGATGTAGTAGGATCACAGATAAATCTAAAAACAGTGTCAAATGGGAAAAAAGCAAACTGCTAACAAATATGTACAATATATCTAAAATATACAATGTTCAAAATATGTGGAAAATACTAGGTAGAGCCAGGCATGATGGCTCACACCTGTAATCCCAGCACTTTGGGAGGCTGAGGCGGGCGGATCACCTGAGGTCTGGAGTTCGAGACCAGCCTGACCAACATGGAGAAACCCTATCTCTACTCAAAATACAAAATTAGCCAGGCATGGTGGCGCATGCCCGTCATCCCAGCTACTAAGGAGGATGAGGCAGGAGAATCGCTTGAACGTGGGAGGCAGAGGTTGCGGTGAGCCAAGATCGCGCCATTGCACTCCAGCCTGGGCAACAAGAGGGAAACTCTGTCTCAAAGAAAAAAAAAAAAAGAAACGAAAATACTATGTAGGAAATATGTAGTAAAAACATGCACAGGAATGACAAATGCCAAATTCAAAAATGTTGTGACCTCTGTGGAGAAAAGGTGAGGAATGAGTTAATGTGTGAATGTATGGGTACATGCTTTCTATTAACTTAGTAGGAGAAAAAAATCAACCTCTACCACGTGGACCTCCAGAGAGGGAAGCAAAACCCCATGAAAGACGCTTTTTATATTCCTGTAGGCTTTTGTTTGTTTGTTTGTTTGTTTGAGATGGAGTCTCGCTCTGTCGCCCAGGCTGGAGTGCAGTGGCACAATCTCGGCTCACTGCAACCTCTGCCTCCTGGGTTCAAGCGATTCTCCTGCCTCAGCCTCCCGAGTAGCTGGGACTACAGGCACATGCCACCATGCCCGGCTAATTTTTTTGTATTTTTAGTAGAGACGGGGTTTCACCATGTTAGCCAGGATGGTCTCAATCTCCTGACCTCATGATCCACCTGCCTCAGCCTACCAAAGTGCTGCGATTACAGGCGTGAGCCACCGCACCCAGCTGCTCCTGTAGGCTTTTAAACAGTTCTATTGACAATTCAGTTTTGGCCTGGCATGTTGGCTCATGCCTATAATCCCAGCACTTTGGGAGGCTGAGGCAGGTGGATCACCTGAGGTCAAGAGTTCATAACCAGCCTGACCAACATGGTGAAACCCTATCTCTACTAAATACAAAAAAAATTAGCCGGGTGTGGTGGCCCGTGCCTGTAGTCCCAGCTACTTGAGAGGGTGAGGCAGGAGAATCGCTTGAACCCAGGAGGCAGAGATTGCAGTGAGCCAAGTTTGAGACGTTGCTCTCTAGCCTGGGCAACAAGAGTGAAACTCCATCTCAAAAAAAAAAAAGAAAAGAAAAAAAATCAGTTTTAAGTTTCCTTCCTTACATTGTAACTTTTTTCAAGTCACCCTCAAACATACAGCGTAAGTTCTTAAACTTCATCAAGTATCAGAATCACTTGGAGGGCTTGTGAAGGGTGCAGTGGCTCATGCCTGTGGCTCACGCCCATAATCCCAACACTTTGGGAGGCCGAGATGGGTGGATCACTTGAGCTCAGGAGTTCAAGACCAGCCTGGGCAACAAGGTGAAACCGTGCCTGTACTAAAATACAGAAAATTAGCCAGGTGTGGTGGTGCACGCCTGTAGTGTCAGCTACTCAGGAGGCTAAGGCAGGAGAATCACTTGAACCCAAAAAATGGAGGTTGCAGTGAGTCAAGATGGCACCACCGCACTCCAGCCTGGGTGATAGAGCCAGACTCTGTCTCAAAATAATAATAATAATAATAACAACCATAAAAGAATCACTCAGAGGGCTTGTTGATATATGGATTGTTGAGCTGGCCCCCAGACTTTCTGATTCAGTAAGTCTAAAGTGGGACCTGAAAATTTGCATTTCTAACAAGTTCCCAGGTATTGCTGAAGTGGCTGGTCCACGGATTATGCTTAAAAACCACACTGTGAGACCTACAGTAAAGTCTGTCTACAGAACACAGGTGTTTTTGTGGTTGTGAGGAATTAAGAGGCAGTGAATGAAAGCCTGCCATTTTCTACATTCTCTTTGGGCTGAGGCCAGCACAGAAGCTCATAATTCTAGGTGGTGAATAGGAGTATTGACAGTGCAGCAGGTGGGAGCCACATGTCAGGAGAATTAGTGTGATATGAACCCCCTCTTCCAAATACATGCCTGAAGAAGTAAGTACAACGTAACTGGTTGAGAAAATCAAACCATGCCCCTCATGCCCCCACCCTAGTCCCCATCCTCAGCACAAACTTGATTTATACCCTGAAGGTGTGGGGAGGAGGGGATTGAAAATGCTGACCTCCATCCCATACCCAGCAAACCATCTTGTCCCTGGGCTGCTTGAGCTTCTGAGCTAACCTGCAGCGAGTCCCATTTTTGCATTTTCAGCTAGCTGGGCTACTCCCCAGACCTGCCCCTTTATCCTTCCAAGGTTGGGAGGAAACCTTGCTGTCACTCTGGATGAGACGTTTGTATTGGTTTAATGGGCTCTTGGTGGGAACTTCAGAGTTTGATTATTCTCAGCAATCAGCAGAGGCAGTCATGCGTTTCTGGGCCCTCCAGCCTCACTCTGTTCACCAGCTTTCCAGGCTGGGAATGTACCCACAAACCCTTGAGCTGACTGAAAGCCCAGGGAACTTGTGTGCGTGCCTGCATGAATGTGTATGTGTGCATGCCCAAGAGGGAGCTGAAGGCCAGTGCACAGAAGGCCAGAGGCCCCAGGCTGGTCATTATCTCCAAGCCAGAAACTTCCTGTCCCTGAATAGGACCCTGGCACAATGCCAAACAGCCAGACTCTCACCCTATATAATGAAGTTCTCACTGATTATCCTGATGATGGCCCAGGAGACCTGGGCCTAGGGAGGTTCGTCTGCTGTCAACCCTGGTTCCTATTTCCACTCCACTGTGGAAATTAGGATGTCCCTGCAGCTCCCCCATCATCTCACTTCCCCAGCATAATGCCTATCCCCAAGGGACCCTGATCCTGGAGCTGAACTGAAATGACAGCAACAGTTTATTAACTGGACTAATGAGAGGCCTGGGCAGGGAGAGAAAGAGAAGCTGGAAGAGTGAGAAGGAAAGGGATGAAGAGAGGAACACTGTATAGCACAGGAAGACAGAACTAGATTTAAGACCAGAGCCAGCGGCTCACTTTCTGAGTGTTTGGGGAGAGGCCGGGGAGGGACTTAGAAGATGGTTTTACAAACTTCATATTCTGTATAGGAAACATGCTATTTTTTCATCAGCAGCAAATTAGAACAGCCTCATTTCCTGATTGCCTGTGTTCCAGGCACTTTACTGTTTTACATGTACTCAGTTAATCTTCGTAAGATTCCTATGAGATGAGAATATTCATTTTACTGATGAAAAAGCTGAGGTCCAAAGAGCTTTGCCCAAAATCATACTCATAATAAGGAATAGGCCAGGCACAGTGGCTCACGCCTGTAATCCCAGCACTTTGGGAGGCCAAGGTGGGCAGATCACAAGGTCAGGAGTTCGAGACCAGCCTGGCCAACATGATGAAACCCTGTCTCTACTAAAGATACAAAAAAGTAGCTGGGCATGGTGGCATGTGCCTGTAATCCCAGCTACTCGGAGGCTGAGGCAGGAGAATCTCTTGAATCCAGAAGGCAGAGGTTTCAGTAAGCCGAGATCACGCCATTGCACTCCAGCCTGGGTGACAGGGCAAGACTCCATCTCAAAATAAATAAATAAATAAAATAAGCAATAGAGCTAGGATTTGAACCTAGACAATCTGATTCCAGAGCCCAAACTCTTTTTTTTTTTTTTTTTTTTTTTTTTTTGAGACAGAGTCTTGCTCTGTCGCCCAGGCTGGAGTATGGTGGCGGGATCTCGGCTCACTGCAAGCTCCGCCTCCCAGGTTCACGCCATTCTCCTGCCTCAGCCTCTCCCAGTAGCTGGGACTACAGGTGCCTGCCACCATGCCCAGCTAATTTTTTTGTATTTTTAGTAGAGACAGGGTTTCACTGTGTTGTCGATCTCCTGACCTGCCCACCTCGGCCTCCCAAAGTGCTAGGATTATAAGTGTGAGCCACTGCGCCCGGCCCAGAGCCCGAACTCTTAACCACTGCTATTGTGGGGAGTGATAGGAAATGAGGCTTACTGCATAAATAAATATAGCACTTGCATTCCTCTATGTCCAACCCTATGAGGCAGGTATATTTATTTTCCCTATTTTACAGATGAGGAAACTTAGTCTAAGAGAGGTGAAGTCATTTGCCTAAAGCCACATGATTAGAAAGTGTCAGAGCAGAGATACGATACCCATCTACCTGCACTTCATCCACTACAGCTGCACTTCTTACCTTGATTGTCTTATAAGGAATTTTCCCTTTACTCTGAGCTCCTGCAGGCATCCTGCATGAGAGAAGGCTAGCTGCAGGAATGGTGAGACGTTTTATTTTTCCATGGAGGAAGCTTTAGTTTGACGTAGGGGGATAGGATTGCCATGGGATCTAGCCTGTGGAACGTAACCCCTAACCAAGTGTTGGGGGCAAGTTGCTAGGACGTGGAGCTGGAAGTTTGTTACATGCAATTGTGAGGATTCCTTCCGAGCAACCCAAATCCAGTTCACTGCCTGATCTAGGCAGAGGCATGAGGGAGTTGTTAATAGCATGACATTTTCCTCAACATTTTAAGGTTTAAATTTTTTTTCCTGTCAATAAGGCTAACAGGGTAATCTGCACTGGCAGCTGCATCCTTCCTGTTTGTCCTCCTGAAGCAGTTCCAGCTGACCAGCCACTGGGAACCTGCTGCTTAAGCAGCTGGTAATGAACTGCAAAACAGAACAAGAAGAACCAGGCAGGCAGGGGTCAGCACCCTCCCGGGACAGTAAACTGGCCTTGCAGAGAGGAGCCAAGGAAGAATAACACAGGAGTACAGCTGATGTATGCATATCTAGCTATTCTCTGCTCTGGGCTTATTTCACTTTTGCAAAAAATAGTAAATGCTTGTAAACAAGCTATACAGAAGAATATTAAATAAAAAGTGAAACTTCCCCTCCCAGACACCCCACCCACGAGGTATAGCCATGGTTAATTTAATCATTTGTTTATCTTTTTGTACCTTCTCTGTGTAAATCTTGGTATAAATGTGAGCTTAATTTTTTGTTTTTTATTATCTAATACAAAGTGGGATTTATATGTTGATGTTCAGTTTGATAACTAGCTCTTTAAATTTCTTTTTTTTTTTTGAAGATAGGGTCTCACTCTGTCACCTAGGCTGGAGTGCAGTGGCATGATCATAGTTCATTGCAGCCTCGACCTCCAGAGCTCAAGCGATTCTCTCACCTCAGCTTCCCAAGTAGCTGGGGCTACAGGCCTGAGACTGCAGGCACATCCCACTACACCTGGATAATTTTTTTTTTGTTTTTAATTTTTAGTAAAGTCTTGCTATTTTTTTAATAGAGTTTTGTTGGTCTTGCTGTGTTGCCCAGGTGGTCTTGAACTTCTGGCTTTAAGTGATCCTCCCATCTCAGCCTCCCAAAGTGCTAGAATTACAGGCATAAGCCACATCACCCAGCCCCGCTTCAAAATTTTTAGCAATTTACACTTCCAACAATAGTGTATAAACCTAGCCAACAGTGACTCGTTTTTTAGTTAAAAACAAATCAAAACATGCTAGTATGTCAATTGAACAAATATTTCTCTCACTCCCTTTCCTTCTGTCCTTTCCTCTGTTTTCTATTACATTTCCAACCTCTGACCCGTGCTTATTACACAGAATTCCAGAAATTTGTCAGTAGGTGAGAAACAGGGGAGGGAGAGTTTATGGCTAATCAACAAAGATACACAAAGGTGCAATATTACTCTGTAAAAGGTGATAGCAGCTTTTACATATATATTTACAAGACTTCATAGGTACAGCTCATTAGCTGGCAAATAAAAATGTACAAGCAAGACACCTTGCTAGGTGTGGGATCTCATTTGATCCTTAGATAATAGTGCAATTAGGAAAAGCACGCATTATCTCCCCATTTTACATATGATTAAAAAGAAATTCAACAAATGTGCCTGTAAGGTCACAGTGCTAGTCAAATATGGAACTCTGAGTCAATATTCTCTTCCCTACATTATATTCACCATTTTTATATGTGTGTAAAATATAAGTGTGTATATAAACTCTAAAGTGCACAATATGTAATCCGTAAGCACATTTGTCACACCCTTTTTTATACCTGTGGCTATATACTAAATGTAATCTGGGTGTGTGCAATACAGTATATATAAAACATGGAAGATGGTGCAGGAGGCACTAAGAGGTAGTTAAAAAAAAAAAAACCCACCTAAATGTGACCTGGCAGGCCCTGACAAATACACAGGTGGGTCAGGGACTAAAGAGCTCTGGGAAATTGTTGAATTCTAAATGAGATCTCTTCTAGTCATGGTTCTGGAACAAACAATTTATAACAGGGGTTAAGTGCATGGAGTTTTGAAGTCAGGTACATATGGGTTCAAGTTCTGTCTTAGCCACATACTAGATACGTGATCTTGGACAACTAAGTTAAGTTGGACAACTAAGTTAAGAAATAGGCTGGGCGCAATGGCTCAGGCCTGTAATCCCAGCACTTTGGGAGGCCGAGGCAGTCGGATCACGAGGTCAGGAGTTCGAGACCAGCCTGGTTAACATGGTGAAACCCCGTCTCTACTAAAAGTACGAAAATTAGCTGGGCGTGGTGGTGCACACCTGTAATCCCAGCTACTCAGGAGGCTGAGGCAGGAGAATCACTTGAACAGAGGAGTCGGAGGTTGCCATGGCTGAGATTGCACCACTGCACTCCAGCCTGGGTGACAAAGTGAGACTCCGTCTCAAAAAAAATAATAATAATGATAATATTCTGTGTTTCACAAGATGAAATGAGACAATGTATGTAAAACATCTTGCAATGTGCTTGAAACATAATTCTCAATAAGAGTTATTATTATTTGTATTACATGTTTGACTTTATCATTCTTGTTTAGTTTCAACATAGTTCAGCTGTATGTAAAACTAAGCATATGACTGCAGAAGTGGCAATCATGAAAGATTAATGCAATGGTTCTCAGCTCTGTCTGCTCATTAGAATCACCTGGCGAGCTCAAAACAAAATGCTTATATCTAGGCCAGTGAAGTCAGAATCTCTGAAGGCATTGAGAATCAATGGATTAAACAGAGGCTTTGAGTGTGAAGTTTTCAGGGGTACTAAAGATCAGTAAGATTATGTGAAAATCAAGGCTTTTAGTGAGTCCTCTGAATTTTCATTATGACTGTAGAGGATGGTTGTTGGTTGATCCCTTTCCACTTTCCCAGGAGTCCTGTTTTACATTTGGACATTTTGAGTCCTGGAAAAGTTGATTCTTTCCCTGATTTCAGGGGTCAAGGAAGAAATCCCTAAAGGCAAAGGTAATATTGCATTTTATCCACCGCTATTGTGATTGGTGCATATGGCCAAAGCTTTGTAATCAGGGTGATTCTCAGGACTGTTGGAAACACTGGGACAAAAATGCTGTCTTTCTTGCTGAGCATAAAGAGAAGGCAGGTAGGTAGCCCATCTTGGGATTGCAAAGGAGGTCAGCTTTAGTATAAAGACAGCAGAGAAGAAAGAAAGACATTGTTTTGGGGCTACATCAAGCCTCATCTAAAGCCAGCTGCCTCTGGACTTTCCAGCATAATGAAGTGCAAATTCCTTATTCAAGTTTATTTTTCTGTTAGTTGAAACTGAAAGCATCCAAATAGAATAATAACCTTCCTTATATAGGTTGTAAGAACAATGAAGAGGGAAGCATGCCTGGTGTTTCTATTTTACAAGAAAATAGCAAATATTTTGCTGGAGCCTCTTCCTGCCCCTTCTAAAACCAGTAGCCCAAGCAAACAAAGCAAAAGCAAATAAACAATAAACAGAGCAGTAACTCCTCTTCTTTCAAAGTCATAACCAGTTTGAGCTCAGGGTCTCTTTGGACTTGTGGTGAAAGTCTCAGGTTCTCCATGTTAAGCTGATAAGGTGGAGTCACACCAGCATCCTCACCACAGCTCTGACCCTGTCATTCTGTTCATACACTTTCCACGGCTCCTGAACAGCCATCAAGGCCTCTCATAATTTGGCTCCGTCCTCACCTCCCACTGTAACACCCTATTCTCTCTTCACGTGATTTGCTTTTCTCCAAAATATGAAATGCTTTCGTGTTTCATTCTCCTGTGCCCTTTGTACATACAGTTCCCTTTGCCTGCTATATCCTTTCCCCCTTCTCTATGTGGCAATCTCACCTATCCTGCAACGTCCAGCTCAAATGCCACTTTCTCTGCTTTCCCCAAGCAGGGCTAGGGGGACTTTCTTGGTCCTTTCTTTTTTCTTTTTTCAGACGGAGTCTCACTCTGTTGCCCAGGCTGAAGTGCATTAGCGTGATCATGGCTCACTGCAGCCTTGACCTCCCCGGGCTCACAGGATGCTCCCACCTCAGCCTCCCGAGTAGCTGGGACTACAGGTGCACACCACCACGCCCGGCTAATTTTTTCTTTTCTTTTTTTTCTTTTTTTTTTTTTGTAGGGACAGGGTTTCTGTATGTTGCCCAGGCTGGTCTCAAACTCCTGGGTTTAAGCGATCCATCCACCTTGGCCTCCCAAAGTGCTAGGATTATAGGTGTGAGCCACCACACCTGGCCTCCTTGGTCCTCTTACGGTACTTTGTACACACCTTGTGGTAGGGTCAATGTGTTTTGGTACCCATCTCCCCACCAGTCCATGAATGCCTCAACAGCAGGGCCTCTATCTTTTTCATTTCAGTACCCTAGAGAGGCAGTATAAAGTGGTGGTTAAGTAAACTGGTTCTGGAAGAGCCTAGAATAAAATCCCAACTCTATCACTCATTAACTCTGTAACTTAAGGTAAAATACTTCTCTTTGACTCAATTTCATCATCTGTAAAATGAAGATTAAAAATAATAGCTGGCTGGGCACGGTGATTCACGCCTGTAATCCCAGCACTTTGGGAGGCCAAGGCAGGCAGATCACCTGAGGTCGGGAGTTCCAGATCAGCCTGACCAACGGGGAGAAACCCTGTCTCTATTAAAAATACAAAATTAGCCGGGCGTGGTGGCGCATGACTGTAATCCCAGCAACTCAGGAGGCTGAGGCAGGAGAATCGCTTGAACCTGGGAGGTGAAGGTTGCGGTGAGCCGAGATCGTGCCATTGCACTCCAGCCTGGGCAACAAGAGCGAAACTCCATCTCAATAATAATAGTAATAGTGTACATGACTGTTAGAATTAAACAAACAATATACTCCATGTAAAGACATCTAACTGAGTGCCTTGTACAGGTTAACTATGGTGATGATGATAATGATGATTACAGTGACAATTACTACGAAGACAACCATTCGTTTCCATTCTAGTGCCTTGCATGTTCTAAGCGAAGTACATGTTGAAGATGAACAAAAACCAGATTTGTTTTTTCTTTTTTTTTTTTTTTTGAGACGGAGTTCGCTCTGTCGCCCAGGCTGGAGTGCAGTGGTGTGATCTCGGCTCACTGCAAGCTCCGCCTCCTGGGTTCACGCCATTCTCCTGCCTCAACCTCCCGAGTAGCTGGGACTACAGGCGCCCGCCACCACACCCGGCTAATTTTTTGTATTTTTAGTAGAGACGGGGTTTCACCGTGTTAGCCAGGATGGTCTCGATCTCCTGACCTCGTGATCCGCCCGCCTCGGCCTCCCAAAGTGCTGGGATTACAGGCGTGAGCCACCTCACCCGTCCCCTTTTTTCTTTTTTGGGACGGAGTCTCACTCGGTTGCCCAGGCTGGAGTGCAGTGGCGCCATCCCGGCTCACTGCAGCCTTCGCCTCCTGGATTCAAGCAATTATCCTGCCTCAGCCTCTTGAGTAGCTGGGATTACAGGCATGCGCCATCATGCCTGACTAATTTTTGTATTTTAGTAGAGACAGGGTTTCCCCATGTTGGCCAGGATGATCTCAAACTCCTGACCTCAAGCGATCTGCCCGCCTTGGCCTCCCAAAGTGCTGGGTCACAGGCATGAGCCATCCCACGAAGCCTATCATTTTTTCCTTTTATTTTATTTTTTTTTGAGATGGAGCCTTGCTCTGTTGCCCAGGCTGGAGTGTGATGGCGTGATCGCCGCTCACTGCGACCTCTGCCTTCTGGGTTCAAGTGATTCTCCTGCTTCAGCCTCCTGAGTAGCTGGGACTACAGGCGTACACACCACCATGCCCAGCTAATTGTATTTTTAGTAGAGACAGGGTTTCACCATATTGGCTAGGCTGGTCTCGAACCCCTGACCTCGTGATCCGACCGCCTTTGCCTCCCAAAGTCTTGAGATTACAGGCATGAGCCACCATGCCCGGCCCTCATTTTTTTTTTTTTTTTTTTTTTGACAGAGTCTCGCTCCCTCACCCAGGCTGGAGTGCAATGGTGCGATCTCGGTTCACTGCAACCTCCACCCCCTGGGTCCAAGCAATTCTCCTGCCTCAGCCTCCCAAGTAGCTGGGATTACAGGCACCCACCACCATGACCAACTAATTTTTTGTATTTGTTTAGTAGAGACGGGGTTTTGCTATGTTGGCCAGGCTGGTCTCGAACTCCTGACCTCAGGTGATCCACCCACCTTGGCCTCCCAAAGTCCTGAGATTACAGGCGTGAGCCACTGCACTCGGCCGCCTGGCCCTCATTTTTTATAACAGATTTAAACAGCACAAAAAAGGAAAATTAAGTCATCCCTTACCACAGTCCTAACTTCAAAGGGTACTGCTTAGAATTTCCTGTATTTCCTTTCACACATTTTCTTTTTCTTTAATTTCAGCTTTATTGAAGTATAACTGACGTAACATAAACTGCATATATTTTAAGTGTACAACTTGGTGAGTTTCAACATATGCATATACTCGTGAAACCATAACCACAGTCAAGATTAAAAATGCACTATCCACCGGGTGCGGTGGCTCATGCCTGTAATCCCAGCACTTTGGGAGGCGGAGGAGGGCAGATCACGAGGTCAGGAGTTTGAGACCAGCCTGGCCAATATGGTGAAACCCCGTCTCTACTAAAAATACAAAAATTAGCCGGACGTGGTGTCAGGTCCCTGTAATCCCAGCTACTCTGGAGGCTGAGGCAGAAGAATCACTTGAACCAGGGAGGCAGAGGTTGCAGTGAGCTGAGATCGCACCATTGCACTCCAGCCTGGGCAACAAGAGCAAGACTCTGTCTCAAAAAAAAAAAAAAAAATGCACCATCCATCACCCATCATTCCTCATGCTCCTCTGTAATCCATCCCTCACTCCCCCACCCACCAACCCTGTTTGCAGACAACCACTGATCTGCCTTGTCACTATAGATTAGTTTATACATTAAACTCTTATATAAATAAAATAGTACAGCATGTACTCTTTTTTCTTGGCTTCTTCCACACAGTATAAGGTTTCTGAGATCTGTCTACATTGTTATGTGTATCAATAGTTGATTCCTTTTCATACTTTTGTATTTCCATGGTATGGATGTACCTTAATTTGTCTACCCATGCATTATTGATGGACATTTGAGTCATTTCCAGTTGTTTATGACAAATAAAACTGTTCTGAATGTTTATGTACAAGTCTGTGTACACATACAAACCAATCTGATTTGAATAACTGTTAAAACAACAATAGCAACAGCTGTGAGTGACTGAGGAGAGGACCTGGGTAGAGTGGTAGTGGCAACATGGGAGCTGTTTCCTTTTCAATGTGTGAGTAGCAAACATTTTAATAAAGTTGTAAACATCCAGTTATCCAAATGTTTACAAATAGGAATTATTGCTGAGCGTGATGGCTCACGCCTGTAATCCCAGCTCTTAGGGAGGTAGAGGCGGGAGGGTAGCTTGAGCCCAGGAATTCGAGACCTGCCTGGGCAATATAGCGAGACCCTGTTCTCCACAAAAAGGAAAAAAAAAAAGAGACAAATAGGAATTACTGAGTTTATTGCAAACTTAGATTTCACCAATCCAAGTGCCCATCTAGTATAGGCCCAATGGGTATGTCACCACTTCTGGAAGGAATCTGGAGAGGCCACCAGCCATATTTTCCTTGCAAACTTAGAAACATTGGAAATAGCTGGGCGCGGTAGCTCACGCCTGTAATCCCAACACTTTGGGAGGCCGAGGCAGGTGGATCACCTGAGGTCGGGAGTTCGAGATCAGCCTGACCAACATGGAGAAACCCCATCTCTACTAAAAATACAAAAAAATTAGCTGGGCGTGGTGGCACATGCCTGTAATTCCAGCTACTAGGGAGGCTGAGGCAGGAGAATCACTTGAACCTGGGAGGTGGAGGTTGTGAGCTGAGATTGCGCCATTGCACTCCAGCCTGGGCAACAAGAGTGAAATTCTGTCTCAAAAAAAAAAAAAAGAAAAGAAAAAGAAACACTGGAAATAAACTCCCTGAGGACAGGAACTTAGGTCACTGCTCTATCCCAGTACCTAGTGACCTGACACATGTACACACAAATTATTCTTTTCTAAGCAGTTCATTCCCTTTTTGGACAGTTCCAACGATTATAAACTTACATGGAGCAGATAAGTGATCTATCTTTTTGCCCTAATTATGCCCTCAGGAACCATATTTTCTAAATAAGACTTTAAAAATATTTTAAAATAGCTCCACTCCCTTTACTTCTCTAAGTTAAACAGACCCAGAGTCTTTAACCGTTTGTTAAAGCACCGTTTAACTTAGGAAAGTACTGACCAGGTCTTCTTTCTTCTGAAAGGCAGTGTGCTTAGTGACTAAGCATATGGGTGGAAAAGTCTGCCAGATCTGTGTTCAAATCCTGAGTATTGTGGTATGGTTTGTGGCAAATTCTTAATTTTATTATGCCTTAGTTTCTTCGTTTGTGGAGTGAGGATAGTAATAGCTGCCATACAAGATTGTTGCTAGAGTTAAATGAGAACATTTTTGTTGTTGTTGTTGTTGTTGTTTATTGAGACGGAGTCTCGCTTTGTCACCAGGTTTGAGTGCAGTGGTGTGATCTCGGCTCACTGCAACCTTCGCTTCCCGGGTTCAAGCGATTCTCCTGCCTCAGCCTCCCGAGTAGCTGGGACTACAGCATGCACCACCATGCCCAGCTAATTTTTGTATTTTTAGTAGAGACGGGGTTTCACCATGTTGGCCAGGATGGTCTTGATCTCCTGATTTTGTGATCCGCCTGCCTCGGCCTCCCAAAGTGCTGGGATTATGGGCCTGAGACACCGCATCCGGCCTGAGAAAATGTATTTAAAGCCTCCTGCACAGTGTTCTTAGCATTAAATATCTCCCAGGTTTTTTTCATTTGTATAAATTTAAGAAATACAGTTTAAGGAGTGTGGTTTTGTTACATGGTTATATTTTGTAGTGGTGAAGCCTGGGCTTTTTTTTTTTTTTTTTTTTTTGGACAGAGTTTTGCTCTTGTTGCCCAGGCTGGAGTGCAATGGCGCGATCTCGGCTCACCGCAACCTCTGCTTCCCAGGTTCAAGCGATTCTCCTGCCTCAGCCTCCTGAGTAGCTGGGATTACAGGCATGTGCCACCAAGCCCAGGTAATTTTGTATTTTTAGTAGAGATGGGGCTTCTCCATGTTAGTCAGGCTGGTCTTGAACTCCCAGTCTCAAGTGATCTGCCTGCCTTGGCCTCCCAAAGTGCTGGGATTACAGGGGTGAGCCACTGCGCCCGGCCAAAGTCTGGGCTTTTAGTGTATCTGTCACCTGAATAATGTGTACATTGTACCCATTAAGTAATTTCTCAACCCTCAACCCCTCCCACCATTCTGAAGCTCCGTCATTCCACACTCTATGTATAGGTGTACACATTATTTAGCTCCCACTTGTAAGTGAGAATATGTGTTATTTGACTTTCTGTGTGTGAGTTGTTTTACTTAAGATAATGGCCTCCAGCTCCATCCACATTGCTGCAAAAGACATGATTTCATTTGTTTTTATGGCTGAATAGTATCCCGTTGAGTATATATACCACATTTTCTTTATCCAATTATGGTTGATGGATACTTAGGTTGATTCCATATGTTTGATATTGTGAATAGTGCTGAGATAATCATATGAGTGCAGGTGTCCTTTTGATATAATGATTTATGTTCCCTTGGGTAGGTACCCAGTAGCGGGATTACTGGATAGAATGGTAGTTATTTTTAGTTTTTTGAGAAATCTCCATACTGTTTTCCATAGAGGTTGTAGTAATTTACATTCTCACCAATGGTTTTTAACCTATTGGATTACTGACATTTAAATAAATAATAGCATGTTAATATCCAGTGAGGCTTCAGAATATTAACTGAGTATTCATAGGCAAATTACTCACCCTCTGTGCCTCATTTTCTTCATCTATGAAAATGGAATAATGACAGTACCAACTTCATAAGATTATGACAATTAAATAAGTTCATGTATGTAAAATACATAGAACAGTATGGTACATGCAAATGTTACATAATTACTTGTTTTATTAGTTATTAGCCAAAGGTATTGGTGTGTATATCAGACCCTGGAGAGGGAGGAGGTTTACAGTGGAGAGACAGAAACACTGCAAAAGTGCATCTGACCATCATTTCTTTCCCAACTCCTCCTTGCTAATTCCATTTTCGGGCACCTCTTCCTTTTCCCTTGGCCTCCCCAGAAACTCAATTCCCCTCAATTTTGTTACACAAGCAACTGACTTCTCTACCCCCTATTCAACCCCAGGCCTTCTTTGCAGAGCTAGCTTTGTGACTGTGCCCTGCTATCCTGTGAGCATTTTCCCCAGATCCAACCCCTCAGGACCACTTCGAGCTCTCTTTTCCTTTTGCCTCCCCCAATAGCTTCTGGGAAGAGCAGGGAATAAGATAGAGATTTATTTCCCCACCAAACAGAATTTTGTCATCTCTCTTAGAAGAAGAAGAAGCAACAATCAATTCTTACGTTAAATGGCAATTTTAATTATTTTGACTCATAAACATTTTAAAAACATATTTTAACCACAGTTAAAAATACATATTTTAAACATATTTAAACATATCCTCCATATTATGAAATTTCAGTGGTGCGTTACCTAGGTCTTGATGTTTTAATGAGTGAAGTCTGTGAAAATGAGGTTCTAAATGCTAATCAGGGTTTCCTAATTCTGAGAAAGAAGTCAGGAAGGATGTCGTTAGCTCATCTGACCACAAATGTAACACTGATTCTGCCTAGGAGAGGAAGAAAATAAAGCAAAACGTGAGCAGTGCTGCTTTCTCAGCCTCAATTAACACGAGAACACCATCTCCTCCACTCTCTCCCAAGGACCTGACAAGACAGGCAGAAGCCCTTGTTCTTGAACAATTCAGAGGGTTGGTAGGAAGGTCTCCAGGGAGATACTGGACCTCCTGCCACTAACTGCAGTTGGGCTCTCAAGTGATTAATGGAAAAATAAAAGATGAGACTATATTTATATCCCAAACTGTGGAGTATGCCATACCAGTGACACCTGATTATACGGCTAAGTGTTCCAAAATTCATCAGCCTGAGACTACAGAATCAGGTTACATTTTCTCTTTTTTTTTTTTTTTTTTTTTGGGACAGAGTCTTGTTCTGTCTCCCAGTCTGGATGGAGTGCAGTGGCGCCATCTTGGCTCACTGCAACCTCTGCCTCCTGGGTTCAAGCCATTCTCTTGCCTCAGCCTCCCAAGTAGCTGGGATTACAGGCATGAGCCACCACGTCAGGCTAATTTTTATGTTTTTTTTTTTTTTTTAGTAGAGACAGGGTTTCACTGTGTTGGCCAGGCTGGTCTCGAACTCCTGACCTCAAGCGATCCACCCACCTAGGCCTCCCAAAGTGTTGGGATTACAGGCGTGAGTCACTGTCCCCAGCCACATTTTCTTTTCTTTTTTTTTGAGACGGAGTCTTGCTCTGTCACCCAGGCTGGAGTGCAGTGGTGCAATCTTGACTCACTGCAACCTCTGCCTCCCAGGTTCAAGCAATTCTCCTGCCTCAGCCTCCCAGGTAGCTGGGACTACAGGCGCGTGCCACCACGCCCAGCTAATTTTTTGTATTTTTAGTAGAGATGAGGTTTCACCGTATTAGCCAGGATGGTCTCGATCTCCTGACTTCGTGACCACCCGCCTTGGCATCCCAAAGTGCCTGCATTAAAGGCATGAGCCACCATGCCCGGCCGACATTTTCTTTAATATACAAATTTCAATGATTCCAATCGTCTTCTCTGGAATATGACAAGCTAATTCTTTTTTTTTTTTTTTTTGAGTCAAAGTCTCGCTCTGTCACACAGGCTGGAGTGCAATGGCGCAATCTTGGCTCACTACAACCTCTGCCTCCCAGGTTCAAGCGATTCTCCTGCTTCAGCCTCCTGAGTGGCTGGGATTACAGGCACACACCACCACACTCGACTAATTTTTTGTATTTTTAGTAGAGACGGGCTTTTGCCATGTTGCCCAGGCGGGTCTCAAACTCCTGAGCTCAGGCAATCAACCCGCCTGGGCCTCCCAAAGTGCTAGGATTATAGGTGTGAGCCACCGCGCCCGGCCTGAGAGGCTAATTCTTATTATTAGACTTCCCTTTACTTAATTGTTTGTTTGTTTGTGGCAGGAATACTGGGAGAAAGTCAATATGACCCTGGCATTTGCAGGTGTCCTCCCCAAGTACATTTGCCACCCTTGCTGTGCTCCATAGCTCTCAGGTCACCTGATGCCATCTAGGGACTGACTTCTCCCTGACTGCTGTTGCTTTCTCCCCGAGATGTGGTTCCCCAAGCCTGGACACAGGCTCTACCCTTTACTCCCCAAAGAATACCTAAAACCAACAAGTAGGTGCCAGGAAAAAAAAGCCTGACAGAAGTTTTGAGGATCACAGAAGGGAATGACACTAAAATTGAGGAAAATCTAAACACAAGGGGATGTCCCATTGCTCTTTGAATCTGTTAGCCCACACCCTCCCTAGGGTACCTTCTACCAGGGCTGGCTTCATGGGCCTGTGACCTATGCCATCACACAGGTCCCCAGTCTTAGAAGGGGCTTCATGCTTAGTGTTCTGCTGTCATCATCTTGAAATTCTTAATAATTTTTGAATAAAAGATATCCTGAATTTTCATTCTACACTTAGCCCTGCAAATTATGTAAGTGATTCATGCCTTCTAGTAACCATTCTTCTCTTTAACCCCCTACCTGCCTGTATGTGCAGAGACCAGTCCCACATCTTGCCAACAAAAGCGCCCATGATTATAGTCAACTCAGGCACACTATTGCTCCAGAGATGCAAAAAACCTTGCTCACGATGAAGACTTAGGAGTGACGAAATTGTCCTTCAAGTACCATAACCACAAGGTAGTGATACGAACAGATAACCAGCATATATTTGGGGTAATATTGGCAAAATTATCCAAATGTGGTAGATTCAGATATTTGGTCCCATGTAGACCAAAAACGAAGCAAATAAAATTTTATTTAAAGATGTTTGTTTTGGTTAAAGGGCTTGGCCTCACTTAGATGGACTCACCCTATACATGAGGGTGCTTGGGGGAGAGGCTAGAGTGTTTCATGACACAAAAACATTCTATTTGTTTTATTATTATTATTATTATTATTATTTGAGATGGAGTCTCGCACTGTCGAGCCCAGGCTGGAGTGCAGTGGTGGGATCTCGGCTCACTGCAACCTCCACCTCCTGGGTTCAAGCGATTCTCCTGCCTCAGCCTCCCGAGTAGATGGGATTACAGGCACCCGCCCCCACGTCCGGCAAATTTTTTGTATTTTTAGTAGAGACTGGGTTTCACTATGTTGGTCAGGCTGGTCTCGAACTCCTGACCTCAGGTAGTCCACCTGCCTCGGCCTTCCAAAGTGCTGGGATTACAGGCATGAGCCATCGTGCTGAGCTGACACGAAAACATTCTGAAGAATTTGGCTATGGCACTGATCTCCAGCCCACCTGCACTCTCATCTCCACCCCCAATTCTCCACCTCCTACACCCCTCCCCCTACTCCACCTCAGCCCCTTAGGGCGATTTAAGTAATTTTCCAGACCTGACTCTGAAGTTATCTTCCCAGCAGGAGTCGCAAGGGTGAGTGGTAGAGGGGTGAAGACCTTCAGTGACCAGCTATAGTCTGAGCTGGGAAGGGACAAAGGCAAGAAGAAGGAGGAAATGGGTCACTGCCCATGGCTGGCAGAGCAACTGCTGTGCCTGAGCTTTTATTCTGTGAACAAATCTTTGCTCTCTTCACCAGTGACCCACATGAACTGTCATTCCCAACTGCAATAAAGTGGGGCAAGGGCTGAGAAGGGCTGAGAAGGGCTGACTCCACAGCTGTGGAGTAAGAGTTCCCTGGCAGGAGAAGAAAGACTGAAAGACACAGGGCTTTCATGGAGGCAAAAGAAACAAAGAAAGTCTGAGACAAGGAGATTAAAAAACAAAAACAAAAAAACAAACAAAAACCTCTGAAAAGCCTAATTGCCCCTAAATGCCTCGACACCAAAACTTTGTCATTTTTTTCTTTTTTGTGGCTGTCTTCCCATTTTATTTTTAATTATTTTTTTTTTCCGAGACGGAGTTCCGCTCTTGTTGCCCAGGCTGGAGTACAATGGTGCGATCTTGGCTCACTGCAACCTCTGCCTCCCAGGTTCAGACGATTCTCCTGCCTCAGTCTCCCGAAAAGCTGGGATTACAGGCGTGCGCCACCATGCCTGGCTAATTTTTGCATTTTTAGGAGTGACGGGGTTTCACCATGTTGGTCAGGCTGGTCTGGAACTCCTGACCTCAGGTGATCCACCCGCCCGGGCCTCCCAAAGTGCTGGGATTACAAGCGTGAGCTACCACACCCAGCCTGTCTTCCCATTTTAAACACCCTTTATGTTCCAAGTGAGGTAAAGGTGAGGAATAAAAGGGAGAATGGTTGCAGAGCCTCATTAAGCTGGGAGCTAGGATCACAGGAGCTAGTGGAGATCTTGGGTGAATCCTACTGTTTCTTGAATGAGTCCTAGAAACGCCCGCTCATTTGGCTACTTCTTCCTTTCCTGCACACAGGAATTTAACAAGATTCTTCTACAGCCTGGTGACTTTGTGATCTCTTAGCCTTAGTCATGTCCTCTTTCCCTCCCACCCTAGCCCCAGAGACTCTTCCTCTTTTCCTTGGCAGTTCGAGTCCCAGAGTGTTATTTATCAGTCAGCAGCAGAGGGCGATCTGGCCCCGGAGAATGACCCGGTCAACTCGGGCCATATGCCTGGGTTGCTAATGACTTGCAGCTCCATCAACATAAAGCTGAATTCTTCACAAAGGAACACTGTCACTAAGCTTTTTCCTTTTCATTCTTGAAAGCTACACTGCCTTAGCTAACCCCTTCCCCCTCCCGCCTTCATTCCTGCTCTCTTTCCTCTCCCAACCTCTTGGAAGCAGCAGGAAATGAACAAGGTCCACAGTGGAGAAAAACAAATCCCAGGGCCCTGCTGAGGAAAACCACAGGAAAATGACCAAGTGGCATTAGCAGCTGCAGGAGTTTTAGGTAGCTGTGTGGTGTGCGTGTATGTGTATGTGTGTGTGAGAGAGAGAGAGAATCCCACATAGCAGTACTTTTCATAGTTTAGCATAACATAAAAATCACCTGGCGAGCTTGTTAAACCACAGCTTCCTGGGCCTTACCCAGGAATTCCCGGGGCCCAAGAATTTGCATTCTTAACACTCCTAAGGTATTTTAATGATGCCAGTGGAGGACTGACCACATTTTGAGCAGCACTGCTGTACACAAATGCAGTGAAATAGAATGTATAGATCTGAGCCAGGGGCTTGCTTGGATAACATCCTGATATGATGGCCTCCCCCAGAAGAGTCAGGCCAGATCCTTCCAATTCCAGGCCAGAAGATTTCATAGATCAGCCTACAGCTGTTCCCTCCCCTTGAAAAAGAAGCAGAGAATGTATCAACAAGAGCATTGTTTGGAGAGGGCTGAGCTCAGATAATAGGCTGGTTCTCCATTGACTGTTTCTTTCATCCCAACTGGCAGAAGAATCACAGAAGGCCCCTCCTTTCCCCTCCAGCAGAGATGGATGCTCTACCTACTTAAAAATCAAGAATTCTTCTGACCTTGGCTGTGTCCAACAACTCATGCCCAGAGGCTTCTGACCTGTCCCCTCCTTAGCACCCTCCAGATCTGAGAACCTCCAGAGTCACAAAGGCCTGTGGAAAGAGCTGGTTATCTTCAAGATACCCAGAGGCGCTTGGGCTGATTTAAAGGCACTACTCCCTTCTGTTTATGCAGCAGAAGATAACAAGACAGACAGAAGTGCTGCTATGGTCTGAATGTTGATGTCCCCACAAATTCATCTGTTGGAATTTAGTCCCTGATGTGATACCAATCAAGAGATGGGGACTTTAGGAATTGATTAGGTCAGAAGGCTACAGCCCCCATGAATGGGATTAGTGGCCTTATAAAAGAGGCTGGGGGGCCTGGCGTGGTGGCTCACGCCTGTAATCCCAGCACTTTGGGAGACTGAGGCAGGCAGATCACTTTGGGTCAGGAGTTCTAGACCAGCCTGGCAAACATGGTGAAACCACATCTCTACGAAAAATATTAAAAAATTAGCTGGGCGTGGTGGCGCATGCCTGTAGTCCCAGGTATTCAGGAGGCTGAGGCAAGAGAATCGCTTGAATACAGGAGGCGGAGGTTGCAGTGAGCTGAGATCGCGACACTGCACTCCAGCCTGGGCGTCAGAGCAAGACTCCGTCTCAAAAAACAGAGCTGGAGGGAGACTGTGAGACACATTTAGAAAGCATCATTTATGAGGAACCAGCCCTCTTTGGCAGCTTGATCTTGGGACTTCCCAGCCTCCATATATGGTACCAATCCTTCTTTAGTTTTAGTGTCCATATCACAGAAGGGCTCATGTTGTAAAAGAAGTCAAAAGCAGCCTTGAATAATCAGAACCCTTCTGCCAGATTGTCTAATGTCAATTTGTTTTCTAGAACTACTGCTTCTACATGTTCTTCCTCTTCATCTGGCTCTGGTTTGGAAGCACTTATCTCCATCAAGTCATCTTCTGTTAATTCCTCAGGTGTGGTGTCTATTAGCTTTTGAATTTATCCAAGATCTGTATCTTGAAACCCTTTATCTCCCACCTTTTTTGGGACATCCACAATCTCTTTCATGATTTCCTTGATTGCTTCTGTCATATATCCTGATAAGTCATGCACAACATCTGGACACAGTTTTCTCCAGCAGGAATTTATTGTTTTGGGCTTGATGGCTTTCATAGCTTTTTCTGTAACAATGATGATGTCTTCAATGGTGTAATGCTTCCAGACTGTCATGATGTTCCTATCAGGGTTATCTTCCATACTGTTGACAATCCTTTCCATAGAGTATCATGTGTAATGAGCCTTAAAGGTCCTTATGAACCCCCCATCTAGAGGCTGAATTAGAGACATATTTGGGGGCAAATAGACCACTTTGACACCTTTGGTGTTGAACTCATGAGGTTCTGGGTGGCCAGGGGCATTGTCCAATATCAAAAGAACTTTAAAACGCAGTCCCTTACTGGCAAGGTACTTGCTGACTTCAGGGACAAAGCATCAGTGGAACCAATCCAGAGAAAAGGATTCTCATTATCCAGGCCTTCTTGTTCCACAACTAAAAGACTGGCAGCTGGTATTTATCTTTTCCCTGCAAAGCTTGAGGGTTAGCAGCTTTACAGATAAGGGCAGTCTTAATCTAAACCTGACTGCATTTGTACAAACAGTAGAGTTAGCCTATCTCTTCCTGCCTTAAATCCTGGTGCTCGCTTCTCTTCCTTACTAATAAATGTCCTTTGGGTCATTTTTTTCCCCAGAATCAAGCACTTTCATCTGCATTAAAAACCTATTCAGGTAGATATCCCTTTTCCTCAATGATTTTCATAACGTCTGGAAAATCATCTGCTGCCTCTTAGTTGACAGAAGCTAATAATTCTCTTGTTATCTTGACATTTTTAAACCCAAACCTCTTTCTAAAATTACCAAACAATCATTTGCTAGCATTAAATTCTCTCGCTTTAGATTTCACCTTCTTTTTGCTTCAAGTTGTCATATAATGACTTTGCTTTTTCTGGAATCATATTAGACTATATACGTATGAATTTCTTATAGCAATACCGCACCAATATAAATATATTGCACCAAAATAAATATAAAATAAATGCAATATAAAAGTTGCATTTTCAATACAAGATATAAAGGTAGTTTGCAAAAAGTGCAAGGTTTTCATGACTGCTGGTATAGCTGCAGTGACAGTTTCACAAATTTCCTTTCCTTTTTTTTTTTTTTTAATGGTTCTTATGCTGGATTCATTTATCTCGAAATGGCAGACAAGTACAAGCTGCAGGCCTCAATCTGTGGAAATATCAAGCAATTCAACTTTTTGTTGTAATGATATAACTATTCTGTGCTTCTTGGGAGCACTTCCAGCATCACTAATGGCACTTCATATGGTCCCAAGGTGTTATTCAAGGTTTATGGTATTGCACTAAACATGATGAAAACTATGTGAGAACTGAGAGATCACTTTTTTTTTTTTTTGAGACAGTGTTTCACTCTTGTTGCCCAGGCTGGAGGGCAATGTTCACAATCTCAGCTCACTGCAACCTCCGCCTCCTGCGTTCAAGCAATTCTCCTGCCTCAGCCTCCCGAGTAGCCAGGTTCAAGCGATTCTCCTGCCTCAGCCTCCCAAGTAGCTGGGATTACAGGCGTGCACCACCATTCCCGGCTGATTGTTTTTTGTATCTTTAGTAGAGATGGGGTTTCACCATGTTGGCCAGGCTGGTCTTGAACTCCTGACCTCAATTGATCTACCCACCTCAGCCTCCCAAAGTGCTGGGATTATAGGTGTGAGCCACTGTGCCCAGCCTACTACAGTTAATTGTATGCAGTTATGATTTAATACTGCATCTCTATATTTGTTTGCATTTATTTCCACTGTGAATGGTGCAAGTGTTTGTAAGTGTACTTATGTGTAAGTTTTGATTTTTTTTTTTTTTTTTTTTTTTGAGACAGAGTCTTGCTCTGTTACCCAGGCTGGAGTGCAATGGCATGATCTCGGCTCACTGCAATCTCCGCCTTCCGGGTTCAAGCAATTCTCCTGCCTCAGCCTCCCAAGTAGCTGGGATTACAGGCATGTGCCACCACGCCCGACTAATTTTTTGTATTTTTAGTAGAGACAGGGTTTCACTATGTTGTCCAGGCTGGTCTCGAACTCCTGACCTCAGGTGATCCGCCTGGTGGCCTCCCAAAGTGCTGGGATTATAGGTGTGAGCCACCATGCCTGGCCTCTGATAAATTTTAACTTTTTATAATGGATTTATATATCTTTTATGGCAGTAAATAATAAAGTACACTAGTATCTACATATATTTTATGCATTTATGACACACTCAACTTTTTCTTTTTTTTTTTTTTTGAGATGGAGTCTCGCTCTGTCGCCCAGGCTGGAGTGCAGTGGCGCGATCTCGGCTCACTGCAAGCTCCGCCTCCCGGGTTCACGCCATTCTCCCACCTCAGCCTCCCAAGTAGCTGGGACTACAGGCACCCACCACCATGCCTGGCTAATTTTTTGTATTTTTCTTTTTTAGTAGAGATGGAGTTTCACCGTGTTAACCAGGATGGTCTCGCTCTCCTGACCTCATGATCCACCCTCCTTGGCCTTCCAAAGTGCTGGGATTACTGGCGTGAGCCACCGTGCCCGGCCCAACTTTTTCTTAATTTAAAAAACATTTCTGGGTTGGGCGCGGTGGCTCACGCCTGTAATCCCAGCACTTTGGGAGGCCGAGGCGGGTGGATCACGAGGTCAGGAGATCGAGACCATCCTGGCTAACATGGCGAAACCCCGTCTCTACTGAAAATACAAAATTAGCTGAGCATGGTGGCACATGCCTGTAATCCCAGCTACTCAGGAGGCTGAGGCAGAAGAATCGCTTGAACCCAAGAGGCGGAGGTTGCGGTGAGCCGAGATCATGCCATTGCACTCCAGCCTGGGTGACAAGAGCAAAACTCCATCTCAAAAAAAAAAAAAATTAGCCAGTGTAGTGGTGCATACCAGTAATCCCAGCTACTCAGGAGGCTGAGGCAGGATAATCGCTTGAACCCAGGAAGTGGAGGTTGCAGTGAGCCAAGATCGTGCCACTGCACTCCAGCCTGGGTGACAGAGTGAGACTTTGTCTCAAAAAAAAGAAAAAATCTGAGTATAAGTGGACCTGTGCAGTTCAAACCCATGTTGTTCAAGGGTCAACTGCACATTTCTCTTACAAGAGTAACTTTCCAAAGCTACTCCTATGTCTGCAATTTCTCAAAATAACCAGCCGGAAATTATTAATATGCCAAAAAGGCATGTTTTGGGGTGGCATATTTCTGTCTCCTACAGTCATACTTAAATGTGGTATCTCCTGAGTCCCAACACCCTCAGGAGCCCATAGTTTAACTGGATACAAAGACTAACAAGAAAATATATAGTAAGAGCAAATAAACCAAAATGTAGTAAAAGCATGGAGATAGCAGAAAACCCTCAAGGGCATTAGCGGAATGGGAACACATCCTGAAAGAAGGGATTGAGATGAGATTTGAAGGGTGAATGTGAGTTCATCAAGGAGATCAAAGAGCAAAGACTTGAGAGGGAATCTTGAGTCGTGGGATATGAAAAAATAGTGGGTAATGCTGAAATATAAAGTGCAGTCAGGGATCACAGGCCCCTTTCTGTTCTTTTATAGCACCTGGCACTTCAGACCACTTCGAGCATTTATCACCACTTCTCAACCAAAAGGGTGACCAAATGGGATTATTTGTTTCACAAACCCCTGTAAGAACTGTCAGCAGGGAGTGCTTTCCCTTCTAAATCCCCTCATGGCAGGGAAGAGTACTGGATAGGAGTAGGGGTAGATTTCCCTCTGGAAGGTCACTACACCAGAAACGCCCCAGGAATCTGGAGGTTGGTTTTCTCACATGGAACAGTCTGTTTGGCTCTGGCAGCTAAGAGGCTAGCAGTTCTACTGTGCCAAGCTATAGGAGATGAATGAAATGAGCAGAAACCACCAAGAGGCCAAGAAGACCAATTAGTGAGCATATGAAATCTACCCCCAGAGACTCCAGAATGACTCAGAAGATCACTGAGAGGGTTATAGGTTGTGTAAATCTGGTGGGGTAAGGAACAAAGAGCACTGCTTGGTTACTGCTACCATGACCCAGTTTCTCCCTCTGGGCAGGTGTGGCTGGGAGAAACACATTTAACATGGAGATCATTAGGGCTGCCAGTAGTGGTTAGGGTAGGTATGTAAATACTTTCCAAGGAGTACAGGGCAGTGGTTAGTTTCAAAGAAATCAATTTCTAGATCCTCAATTTGATGCGCCCCAGAGGACATCTGCAGCCCTGATTTTCTTTTCCCATCTCATTTTCTCAATTGCCCTCTTCTCACTTTATCAAAAAAAGTTTATCTCTTACTCTTCCCTAATCCTGACAAATGATGCATTACTCTGGGGTGAAAAAAGCATGTAAGGCATCAAAGGGACAATTCCAAATTTTTTTTTTTGAGACGAAGTCTCACTCTTGTCCCCCAGGCTGGAGTGCGATGGCACGATCTCGGCTCACTGCAACCTCCGCCTCCTGGGTTCAAGCGATTCTCCTGCCTCAGCCTCCCGAGTAGCTGGGATTACAGGAATGCACCACCATGCCCGGCTAATTTTGTATTTTTAGTAGAGACGGGGTTTCTCCATGTTGGTCAGGCTGGTCTCGAACTCCCGATCTCAGGTGGTCTGCCCACCTCGGCCTCTCAAAGTGTTGAGATTACAGGCACGAGTCACTGTGCCCGGCCATAAAATGTTTTTAATCACTAATTATATTAGTACAAGATTACATAGAAATGGATTCAAAATATGATTTCAAAAAAAAAAAAAAGAAATAATGTAAAATTAAAGAGTGTGATATGAGAGCTGGGAGGATGGCTTGAGCCCAGAAGTTTGAGACTGCAGTGAGCTGTGATGTGCCACTGCTCTCTAGGCTGGACAACAGAGCAAGACCTTGTCTCAAATAAATATATAAAGATAAAAATTTAAAAAAAAAAGTGTAGTCATGAATTTTCTAAATTGATGATGGTAATATCAAATTACTATATTTATATTCCTGTAGATTCCTTTAAAAGGGTGCTTTCGGCTGGGCTCAGTGACTCAAGCCTGTAATCCCAGCACTTTGGGAGGTCGAGGCGGGCAGATCGCCTGAGGTCAGGAGTTCAAGACCAGCCTGGCCAGCCAGGTGGAACCCCGTCTCTACTAAAAATACAAAAATTAGCCAGGAAGCTGAGGCAGGAGAATCGCTTGAACCTGGGAGGCGGAGGTTGCGGTGAGCCGAGATCATGCCATTGCACTCCAGCCTAGGCAACAGAGTGAGACTCCTTCTCCAAAAAACAAAACAAAGTGCTTTCATAGTTTTATTATATTAATCACAAAAAGCCAGTAATTCTATCTTACAGCTCTTTAAACTTACAATGAAAAATGTCAGTTGCTAACTTTAAAACGTACAAGGGGGTACATGGTTTTTCAAGTCTCTTACAAAATATAAGAACAAAAACATTTGACGACCATGGTTTTAGGCCAACGTCATTTCTGGAAGGGGAAACCTAGAACAGCCTAAACTTGCCTTTTCTATTTGGCACCATTCCATGATTCCCCCAGGGCAGGGTGAGAATGGTCTTCAGCTTCCTTTGCAAACCCTTTCAGCCCATTCCCAGTAACTGGCATAGGTTACTCACCTTGGAGTCACACAGCCTGACTCAGTCATGTACACAAATACTTGGGCACTCTTGGGCAAGGTACTGAATCTCTCTGTGCCTCAGTTTTCTTTTTTTTTCTCTCTTTTTTCTTTTTCTTTTCCCGAGTAGCTGGGACTACAGGCACGCATGATATCATGCCTGGCTAATTTTTGTATTTTTAGTAGAAACTAAAAACAGTTTAGTCAGGCTGGTCTCGAACTCCTGACCTTGTGATCTGCCCACCTCGGCCTCCCAAGGTGTTGGGATTACAAGCATGAGCCATTGCGCCTGGCCTGAGTTTTCTAATTTATAAAATGAGAGTAATGTTTTATAAATTAAAATATTATTCTTTTTTTACTAATACTACTTTTAAAATTTATGTAAATTATCTTAAAAAGTGCCTGGCCATGGAAGCTATTAATGTTGTTTGTTGTTGTTGTTGTTGTTGTTGTTGTTTTTGAGACAGAGTCTTGCTCTGTTGCCAGGCTGGAGTGCAGTGGCGCGATCTCGGCTCACTGCAGCCTCCGCCTCCCAGGTTCAAGCGATTCTCCTGCCTCAGCCTCCCGAGTAGCTGGAATTACAGGCATGTGCCACCATGCCCAGCTAATTTTTGTATTTTTAGTAGAGACGAGGTTTCACCATGTTGGCCAGGCTGGTCTTGAACTCCTGACCTCAGGTAATCCACCCGCCTTGGCCTCCCAAAGTGCTGGGATTACAGGCGTGAGCCACCGTGCCTGGCCCTATTATTGTTTATTTGAGTACTCATTTAACAAAAAAGGAAGAAACAGAGAGGTCAGGCCAGATGTCAAAGGTCATTTTAGCTGGGCACGGTGGCTCACACCTGTAATCCCAGCACTTTGGGAGGCTGAGGCGGGTGGATCACGAGGTCAAGAGATCAAAACCATCCTGGCCAATATGGTGAAACCCCGTCTCTACTAAAAATATAAAAATTATCTGGGCGTGGTAGCACATGCCTGTAGTCCCAGCTACTCAGGAGGCTGAGGCAAGAGAATCGCTTGAACCAGGGAGGCAGAGGTTGCAGCGAGCCAAGATTGCACCACTGTACTCCAGCCTGGTGACAGAGCTAGACTCCGTCTAAAAAAAAAAAAAAAAAAAAAAAAAGAAACTCCATCTCTACTAAAAAATACAAAAATTAGCCAGGCGTGGTGGCAGATGCCTGTAATCCCAGCTACTCCGGAGGCTGAGGCAGGAGATTGCTTGAACCTGGGAGGCAGAGGTTGCAGTGAGCCAAGATCATGCCACTGCACTCCAGCCTGGGTGACAGAGTGAGACTCCATCTCAAAAAAAAAAAAAAAAAAAAATCCGGTCATTTTGTTGGTCAGTGGTAAAGACTGAAAACCTGGAGTTCTTGCATTTGGCCCACTTATACTTACCTTTTGGTTTCTGGGCAGGGACTCAGAGCTTGTCCAGGAATCTGGAGGGATGGCTTGTAACATCTTTTCCTCCATGGGCCTTGAGAACAGTCTGTTCTTTCATGGGCTTCCACTTAGCACTGTTCAGAAGCATCCACAGCCACAGCCAGAGTCGGGGTCCTAGGCTTATAGAGTAGTGTCTCATGTCCTAAGGCTAGGCTCCACCACAGCAGAGCAGAATAGGTATCTGCTAAAATCTCCTATCACTTCTCATTTGTTTATTAAATCCTTTTTTTTTTTTATTAGAGGGAGTCTCCCTCAGTCACCTAGGCTGGAGTGCAGTGGCGTGATCACAAGTCACTGCAACCTCTACCTCCTGGGTTCAAGTGATTCTCCTGCATCAGCCTCCCGAGTAGCTGAGATTACAGGTGTGCGCCACCATGCCCAGCTAATTTTTGTATTTTTAGTAGAAATGGGATTTCACTGTGTTGGCCAGGCTGGTCTCCAACTCCCGACCTCAGGTGATCCACCCGCCTCAGCCTCCCAAAGTATTGGGATTACAGGCGTGAGCCACCGTGCCCAGCCTATGTTTCCTTTTCTTTTTTTTTTTTTTTTTTTTGAGATGGAGTCTTGCTCTGTCACCCAGGCTGGAGTCCAATGGCGCAATCTTGGCTCACTGCAGCCACTATCTCCCAGGTTCAAGTGATTCTCCTGTCTCAGCCTCCCGAGTAGCTGGGAGTACAGGCACCTGACATCATACGCAGCTAATTTTTGTATTTTAGTAGAGACTGGGTTTCACCATGATGGCCATGCTGGTCTGGAACTCCTGACCTCATGATCTGCCCACCTCGGCCTCTCAAAGTGCTAGGATTACAGGCGTGAGCCACTGGGCCAGCGGAAGTGTTTTTTAAAACACATTCTAACTGATAGCTATTAATATTTCTTGGATTGTTATATATGAGATAGGATAAGTTAAAAAAAAAAAAAGGGCCAGGCTCGGTGGCTCACGCCTGTAATCCCAGCACCTTGGGAGGCCGAGGTGGGTGGATCACCTAAGGTCAGGAGTTTGAGACCAGCCTGGCCAACATGGTGAAACCCCGTCTCTACTAAAAATACAAAAAATTGGCCAAGCATGGTGGCAGGCGCCTGTAATCCCAGCTACTTGGGAGGCTAAGGCAGGAGAATCACTTGAACCCAGGATGCGGAGGTTGCAGAGAGCTGAGATCATGCCATTGCACTCCAGCCTGGGCGACAAGAAAGAAACTCTGTCTCAAAAAAAAAAAGAAAAAAAAATCCTAGTATTAATAGGAAAATGCCAGGCAGTCAAGCATTCTAACAGAAAAGGTCAAAACAGGGATTTCTAATGTAAGTCCTGAACCCCTACTACCACTAACCTGGAGGCTCCATGGAGGTGTTAATGAAGGTGTAAGAGTTGTTTTCTCCTTTCCAAAGAAGTCTAATAGAAATCATCAATTATATTTATGCTACCTTTGCTTTTTTTTTTTTTTTTTGTCCAGAAACCCATCAAGGTAGTGTGGTAGGCCTGGCTGTCTTAAGGGAAAAGGGATTAATTAATGATATTTGTCTGGCAGGCTAAAATCTTTTCAAGCTTTGAGATCCACTCCTAAGAGCTACTTAGTAGTGAGAAGGTTAGGGATCTGCAATTTAATCTCTGGGAACAAAGTCTTAAACCAAAGAAATAAACCTCTTCAACAAACACTCAGGCAACAGTGCTGTTGCGTTTCAGGAGAAGGGTATGGATTAAAGAATTGAAGATACACTGGCCTTGATATCTAGGTCTCTAATGTAGAATCAGTAGTCTACGGTGGTTAAAATAATGGACTTTTTTCTTTTTTTGAGACAGAGTCTCACTCTGTCAACCAGCCTGGAGTGCAGTGGCGTGATCTTGGCTCACTGCAACCTCTGCCTCCCGAGCTCAAGTGATTCTCCTGCTTCAGCCTCCCGAGTAGCTGGGACTACAGGTGCATGCCACCATGCCCGGCTACTTTTTGTATTTTTAATAGAGTTGGGGTTTCACCATGTTGGCCAGCCTGATCTGGAACTCCTGACCTCAGGTAATCTGCCCGCCTCTGCCTTCCCAAAGTGCTGAGATTATAGGCATGAGCCACCGCACCTGGCCAAAATAATGGACTTTTAATAGTAAAGAGACATAGTTCAAATCTTGACTCTGCCACTTGCTATTAATAATTAACAAATTATTGAACTTCTCTGTGCATCAGTTTTCTCATTTGTAAAATAATAGAAACTATCTCATAGGCTTGCCAACTAGATGAATGAGATAATACATTTGAACTACAAGATGCTTGACATACAATAACTTCTCAATGAATGTCACAAATTTTTTTAACGGACCATAACTCAAATCTGTCTTTCACTATGACACAGGCACATCTGTTCATCCCCACCTGCCTGCCAATTCCTTTTTTTTCACCCTCTGAATTAATTGGATGTTTTAGATGTTGTCAAAAATGCCTGAAACCAAAGCAGAAGGAAAGTGTAGGCTGGGCCCCCACCCAGAAGTTGTGTGTCAGTTTGTTCCTCCTGAGTGAGGTTCACTACTAGGCTGGACACAGTGTGGAGGGAATTTGGGCCTCTGTTACAAAGGGAGGAAGAGGAAAAGAACAATTAAGGGCCCGTTCTCAGGAAGCTCACTCTAATATTACGGGAGTCACGAGTCAGGCTTGGAAAAGAAAGAAGACCAACTAAAAACATAATTGGTTAAGTATAAATATTGAATATGTAAGTGCTAGGTGGGAAGTTCTCCCTTGAGCTGCATTTGATGCGGAGGTAGGAAGACTTTGTTATGCTCTGCTATCACCTGCATTGAAGCACCTAGATCTTTTATCCCTCCAATCTGTCCCCACCACCCGGGCAGTTGCCATATTAATTGCCCTAAAGCACTACTTTAATCATGTCATTTCTCAACGAAAATATCAGACACTCTATGGAATTATCTATGGAATTAAGTACAGACTTTTTAGCCTCTCCAAATGTGAGCCCAACTTATCACCCCATTGTTCCCTGACATGTGTCAGATTGGTGTAGTCACTGTTCCCTAAGCACATCTTGAATGGTTGCTCTTCTGCACCTTTCTTTATTCTATCTGGAATGTCTTCTTGCCCCCTCCCGTCTCAAATACCACTCTCTCCTTTAAAGCTTCCCCTAACACCCTCCTAATTTTCTCAGCATTCTCTATCTAAAATTTGGAACTCTTATTTGCTGACTGGGGTTACAGTTCGTTTTGTTTTTTGAGACAGAGTCTTGCTCTGTTGCCCAGGCTGGAGTGCAGTGGCACGATCTTGGCTCACTGCAACCTCTGCCTCCTGGGTTCAAGTGATTCTCCCGCCTCAGCCACCCAAGTAGCAGGGATTACAGGTACCCGCCATCATGCCTGGGTAATTTTTGTATTTTTGTAGAGTCGGGGTTTCATTATATTGGCCACGCTGGTCTTGAACTCCTGACCTCAGGTGATCCCTCCCCACCGCCTCGGCCTCCCAAAGTGCTGGGATTACAGGCACGAGCCACTGCACCCGGCTAATACATCTCTTTAACTCTCTCCTAAGAGAATTTTAAAAAGTAAAAACAAAGAGAAGAAGGAAATTTAGCCCCCAGAAAAATTTACTGCAAAGTAAAATATAGCTTTAAAATTCAATGTTTTTCTTCTCTGAAGATACCCAGGACAGTTTGCCTCTGCTGTTTTTTGTTTTGTTTTGTTTTGTTTTTAATCATATAAATTGCTTTGCTTGAAAGGCAAGTGGGGGTAAATATAGCAGCAGTATCTCTGATATAACATTCTCTGACCTGTCCTGGACATGTCCTTGACATTGTCCTTTAGAAAGGAAAGAGAAGGAGAGAAAGTGTGTCCCTGCTACTGTATATAAGAGAAACTCCTATTTCTAGCCATTATCAGGGCACAAGGGGACTGATGAGTATACAGAATAAAAATAAAGGTCGAGTGCAGTGGCTCACACCTGTAACCCCAGCACTTGGGTAGGCAGAGGCAGGAGAACAGCTTCAGCCCAGGAGTTTGAGATCAGGCTGGGCAATACAGCAAGACGCTGTTCTCCACAAAAAGAAAAATAATAATAATAAAAATAAAGAAGCAAAAGATGATAGTAATTTGTCATGTCTCCTGTGTTTGGCTGTCTCTGGCAGGACAGCCAGAGCCAGAGAGAGTCGATCAGCAGTATTTACTGAGGTGAAGGTGGCCAGATGCCCTGTACTGGAAACCACACTCAGTTCAACTTCCATTTCTGCCAACTGCATTTTGAAAAGCGTCCTGCCTAAATGCTTTGTAGGTTACTGAATCCCACTTCCTCCTTACCCTTTTCAGAGTTTTTCTTTTTTTTTTTTTTTTGAGACGGAGTCTCGCTCTGTTGCCAGGATGGAGTGCAGTGTCGAGATCTCGGCTCACTGCAACCTCTGCCTCCTGGGTTCGAGCAATTCTCCTGTGTCAGCCTCCCGAGTAGCTGGGACTACAGTGTGCACCACCACGCCCAGCTAATTTTTGTATTTTTAGTAGAGATGGGGTTTCACTATGTTGGCCAGGATGGTCTCAATCTCTTGACCTCGTGATCCAGCCTCCTCGGCCTCCCAAAGTGTTGGGATTACAGGCGTGAGCCACCGCACCTGGCCCAGAGTTTCTTTTTTCTTAAAGGAAAATGTAAGGATACCAATAATGAAATTTAACTTGAAAGTGACTTGGAATATACATCATTGTGGTTCTCTGTTAAGGGGATTGGGTGGTGAGAGAGTGAGGTAAGGGGCTGGGGGCTGAAAGGAAGGCTGAGTAGAGAATGACCCCTAAGTCTTTGCTCTATGTTGTTGACCCTTTTATAATGAGAATGATTTATGAATTATGTGTATAATTTTTTTAAGTAGAGAAGGAAGGAAACAAATAATGTGTTGAGAAATAGCTCACCTGTGATTTATACAGGATACTTGATTTAGACATATTATGTATTCTCTATTGCTATCAAGTAAAATATCTGTTTAGTAGGTTAACTGTGATTACCTTATTTCCAGTGTCTAGTATAGTATCACACCAATGCAAATTTAAAATTATGTACTAATTCTGCCTCCCATTTCTGTCTTTTGATTACTTGTTTCCTTGATAAGATTAAAATTAGAGAACCTTGTGATAGTACCCTTGGCACACGTGCCCACCCTTTTAGAAGATCATTTGTCAAATTAACAAAGCAATGCTGTGCTAGAAATCAGTGTATACATTAGTGTACATAAAGTCCCTCATATAATGCCTGATACATGCTGGTTGCGTTGTAAAAACTAAGACCTTTCTTCTCTTCCCCTTTGTCCAAGGAATAAGACAGGGTTGACATCAAAGAATTTCAATTTGTAAGCATCTGGCCTAGCAAAGTTAGTTAGAGCTAGGAAGTGTGTTAGGTATTATTTCACCAATTTTCCTCATCTTAAGATAGAGAAACTCAGGCCCAGAGAGGGTTAATGTTTAATACATGTTACAAATCCACCGAGTGGCAGAGTCTTAATGAACTCTTCTAAACTTCTACCTAGCCGGGCACTGTGGCTTGTGCCTGTAATCCTAGCACTTTGGAAGGCCGAGGCAGGTGCATCACCTGAGGTCAGGAGTTGGAGACCAGCCTGGCCAACATGGTGAAACCCCATCTCTACTAAAAATACAAAAAATTAGCCAGGCATGGTGGCGTGTGCTTGTAGTCCCAGCTACTCGGGAGGCTGACGTGGGAGAATCGCTTGAACCTGGGAGGCGGAGGTTGCAGTGAGCCGAAATCATGCCACTGCACTCCAGCCTGGGTGACGGAGCTTTTTTGAGACTTCATCTCAAAAAAAAAAAAAAAATCAAAGTACTGGCCTAAAGGCATTTTAACCTCTCTCAGAGCACAGTATGTGAAGAACAGGCATAGTTCATTATTATTATTATTAGCATATTAGCAGCTTATCATCCTTGTCAGTTTTGGCTTCTGTGTGTGAGTTTTCAATACAATGTTTCAAAGGCCAGAGCAGCTTTCCCTCCTCCTCAGGGAGTGAGCCAGCATCCAGGTGTCTCTGAAGAACAATACCTACCCTTGACTCCCCAGGTGGCTTTGTGATGCTGAGCCTCACAAAGACAGGGAGGTCTTGTGGAAGGGAAGCCCTCAGCCCTCAGCCCTCAGCCCTCAGGGTGCTGACTGGGGTGAGCTCCAGGAAAAGCTTGCCTAATTCTCACCTAGAAAAACAGAGCTCTTCTCTGGAATTCAAACACAATTTAGAGAGGTCAGAGAAATTCAAAGCCTGGGGACCTTTGTCCTCCTGGTGCCCAAACAACCACACATTCTGCTTTCTGCTTCACAGTTTATAAAGCATTATGAAAGGCAGGAGATCTGCATAATAGGTAGTTCACTGTTCTTATTTTATAAAGTAAAAGCAAACAAACAAAAACAGCCCAGAAAGAAACAGGTGAAGAGAAAGGAGAAGACACTAACATGGCTTAAGCACTCATGTGTCCTAGGCATCTTAGATCCCTCATCCCACTTTCAAAACCTCCCTGGAAGGAAGCGTTATCCCTATTTTATAGAAACGGAAGCTTACAGGCCAAGCAGCATGTCCAAGGTCGCACAGCAACAAAGTGGCAGAGCCAGAAGTTGAAGTACATCCTTTGACCTCTATCTAGTAAATTGAGTGCACCTTCTACAGCCCCACATGAGGAAACCCAATCCCAGAGCGGTAACATGCCCTGCAGAAGGTCACGTAGCTAGTAAATAGCAGGGCTGGAATCTGACTGTAATTCTCATCTGAAGCTTGAAGTGGACAGTCTCTGTTTTAACAAGATGTTTTGTTTGCTGGTGGGAAACAGAGCTTATGGAAGAAAATGAAATGTCACGCATAAATTGATCTGTTTAGATTAGATTTGATAACTTCGGTTGGGGGTATCACTTGCAGGGAGAGGTCTCTAAACTAAAACTCCACAGTACAAAATCACAAAGCGGATGAACAAGTTGGGCAAGGAAAGAAATAAATACTGGAGGCTATGCTGACCAAAAAACTAAATCTTAAATTTCACTACTCAGCCTTAATTGAGTCTTTAAAGTAACAACTTACTGTTTCAATAAATGACACATGATCATAATACAAAATTTAAAAGATATAACAGATATGATGTGAAAAGTCCCTTTCCTTCCCTCCCTAACCGTTTATCCAGCCTGACCATTATAGAGTATCCAGAAATCTTGATTTGGCCTAAATAAAGAGTGTTCTATGTGTTGGAAGAGGGTACTCTTTACATAGTGTGATCTGAGAAGTGCGGAAAGATCCAATGCATTGTAAAAATACATCTCCACTGGCTTGCTTCTACCTTCCCTTTCTACCTAGCAAGAAATTCTGCCAGTGAGAGGTAATCCTTTCTGCTAAACTAAGAGGAGGACATTACTTCCAGAACTACATAGGAAAAGCATAATTTTGCCTAAGGGCCTTTCTGTTCATCAACCTAATCATTATTTTCCCTTGTCTTTTTTTTTTGAGACGGAGTCTCGCTCTGTCGCCCAGGCTGGAGTGCAATGGTGCAATCTTGGTTCACTGCAACCTCCACCTCCACGGTTCAAGCAATTCTCGTGCCTCAGCCTCCCAAGTAGCTGGGATTACAGGTGCATGCCACCATGCTCAGCTAATTTTTGTATTTTTAGTAGAGATGGGGTTTTACCACGTTGGCCAGGATGGTCTTGAACTCCTGACCTCAGGTGATCCACCCGTCTCGGCCTCCCAAAATGCTAGGATTACAGGCATGAGCCCCCGTGCCCGGCCCCCTTGTCATTTTTGTTCTCTCTACTTTCTTCCTGAAAACATACGCCCATCTGGGGAGGCCCTAAGAGACCCTCACTAAGGCTTAACTGATTTCAGGATTTTATTTTATTTATTTATTTTATTTTGAGATGGAGTCTCATTCTTGTTGCCCAGGCTGGAGTGCAAAGGCGCGATCTCAGCTCACTGCAACCTCTGCCTCCTGGGTTCAAGCGATTCTCCTGCCTCAGCCTCTCAAATAGCTGGGATTACAGGCATGTGCCACCACACTCAGCCTTTTTGTTTTGATACGGAGTTTCCCTCTTGTTGCCCAGGCTAGAGTGCAATGGCATGATCTCAGCTCACCGCAACCTCTGCCTCCCAGGTTCAAGCGATTCTCCTGCCTCAGCTTCCCGAGTAGCTAGGATGACAGGCATGCGCCACCATGCCCGGCTGATTTTTGTATTTTTAGTACAGATGGGGTTTCTTCATGTTGGTCAGGCTGGTCCCGAACTCCCGAACTCAGGTGATCCATCTGCTTTGGCTTCCCAAAGCGCTGGGATTACAGGCGTGAGCCACCGCGCCCGGCCTAATTTTGTATTTTTAATAGAGACAGGGTTTCACTATGTTGGTCAGGCTGGTCTCAAACTCCTAACCTCAGGTGATCCACCTACCTGGGCGTGAGCCACTGTGCTCGGCCTGATTTCAGGATTTTAAATATAATACATTTCCCCACCAGCCCCACATTTTCCAGAAGAGCTAGCTTAACACAAACTAGATTTTGCTCATGGGTGAAATGTGAAGAATTTTTTTTTTTAGATGGAGTCTCACTCTGTCGCCCAGGCTGGAGTACAGTGGCACGATCACGGCTCACTGCCACCTCTGCCTCCCAGGTTCAAGCAATTCTCCTGCCTCAGCCTTCTGAGTAGCTGGGATTACAGGTGCACGCCACCATGCCTGACTAAGTTTTTGTATTTTAAGTAGAGACAGGGTTTCACCATGCTGGCCAGGCTAAGCCACCGCACCCAGCCACTAGTGTCCTATAAACATAATTTTTTGGCCAGGCGCGGTGGCTCATGCCTGTAATCCTAGCACTTTGGGAGGCCGAGGAGGGCGGATCACCTGAGGTCAGGAGTTTGAGACCAGCCTGACCAAGTTGGAGAAGCTCTGTCGCTACTAAAAATACAAAATTAGCCAGGTGTGGTGGCACATGCCTGTAATCCCAGGTATTCAGGAGGCTGAGGCAGGAGAATCGCTTTAACCCAGGAGATGGAGGTTGTGGTAAGCAGAGATTGCGCCACTGCACTCCAGCCTGGGCAACAAGACGAAACTCTGTCTCAAACAACAACAACAACTTTTAAAAAATGTTTACTTTTGGATGGGTAGTGACATTGTGGGTGACTTTTTCTGTCTTTTATCTAGAGCTGTATTAATGTTGCTATACTGTTCATGTAATTTTCTTTAATTATAAAGAGAAGAAAAACCATTCCTTAATAGAGTGGTTTGCAATAACAAACTCAATAGGGAACTCAGTAAAGACTGAGAAGAGGCATTTTAATGTGGCTATTCAGGAGTAGATAATGGCCCTTAATTATATTTCAATAGAGACTAAAACCAAATTATTTGTTATTTGACATTAAGAGGTGACGATAACTGCGCAGATAATTTGCTAGAGGAGTTTGCCAAAAAAGAGTAGAAATAGGACAGAATCATTAGAAAGCAGCAAAATTGAGTAAAGGTTTTGTTCAGTATTAGAAAGATAGACAAAGTAGGTGTGAGCTCTGCCTCCTTAGCTATTTCTGTTGTAAACCTAGAGAAGACCTGCTTAACAGTGGAGAATTGCTAACATCCTGAGAAAACCTCTTCACTTTCTGTTATTTCACTTTTTAAAAAACAAGTAGAGGCAAAGGGTCTTCCTAAATAATGTTCATAAGGGATCAGTGGCAGGGCATTGGGGAGGGGAGGAAGCTGCTTGATTATAAATTCTTTTTTTTTTTTTTTTTTCTGAGACAGAGTTTCACTCTTGTTGCCCAGGCTGGAGTGCAATGGCATAATCTTGGCTCACCGCAACCTCCACCTCCTCGGTTCAAGCAGTTCTCCTGCCTCAGCCTCCTGAGTAGCTGGGATTACAGGCATATGCCACCACACCCAGCTAATTTTTGTATTTTTAGTAGAGACAGTGTTTCACCATGTTGGCCAGGCTGGTCTCGATCTCCTGACCTCATGATCCGCCCGCCTCAGCCTCCCAAAGTGCCGGGATTACAGGCGTGAGCCACTGCACCCGGCTGATTATAAATTCTTTACATTTCACCCATGAGCAAAATTTAGTTTGTGTCAAGCTAGCTCTTCTGGAAAATGTGGGGCTTGTGGGGAAACATATCACATTTAAAATCCTGAAATCAGGCCAAGCATGGTGGCTCACACTTGTAATCCCAGCACTTTGGGAGGCCGAGGCCGGTGGATTACTTGAGGTCAGGAATTTGAGACCAGCCTGGCCAACATGGTGAAACCCTGTCTCAACATGGGAACACTTACCTGTAGTCTCAAGAGGCTGATGCAGGAGTATCCCTTGAGCCTAGGAGGCTGAGGCTACGAATGTGCCACTACACTCCAGCCTGGGCAACAGAGCAAGACCCTGTCTCAAAAAAAAAAAAGAGAAAAGAAAAGAAATGTAACACCATTGAGGTGAGATAATAAGAGATATTCTGCTACTTTTAAAACAATTAAAATTTAGGCTAGGTGTGGTGGCTCACGCCTATAATCCCAGTACTTTGGGAGACCAGGAGTTTCAGACCAGCCTGGGTAACATGGAGAGGCACCATCTCTACCAAAAAAAAAAGAAAAATAAAAAATAAGAAATAAATAAATTTTTAAAAAGTAAAATTTCTAGTCCCCAATACTAAAAGATACTGAAAGAAATTGCCAATGGTGTTGCAAACCGCAAATGGAAATACTATTGAAATTATTGACAGTGGGGAAAGGGTCAGAGGGTAAAATGTCTTTGATTTTTTAAGTATGAAAAAAGACTTCCTTTAAAGATAGAGATTGACCAAACCTGCTTAGCTTAAGTAGTTGCATATCTAGAGAGTAAGACTGTGGAATAGAGTAGGGTTTTGTTGTTGTTATAAATATTTGGTATTACCTTAAAATTACATCCATATAGGCTGGGTGTGGTGGCTCACGCCTGTAATCCTAGCATTTTGGGAGGCCGAGCTGGGTGGATCACCTGAGGTCAGGAATTTGAGACCAGCCTGACCAACATGGTGAAACCCCATCTCTACTAAAAATTTGAAAATTAGCTGGGCGTGGTGGCGGGACCTGAAATCACAGCTACTTGGGAGGCTGAGGCAGGAGAATCCCTTGAACCAAGAAGGTGGAGGTTGCAATGAGCCGGGATCGTGCCACTGTACTCCAGCCTGGACGGTGGCAAAAGCAAGACTCCATCTCAAAAAAAAAAAAAAAAAAAAAAAAAAAAAAATATATATATATATATATATATATATATATATATATATATATATATATATGTATACAATACAATAATCAAACTTTATTTTAAAAAATGTTCTCAGGCTGGGCACGGTGGCTCACACCTGTAATCCCAGCACTTTGGGAGGCCAAGGCGGATGGATCACGAGGTCAGGAGTTCGAGACCAGCCTGGCCAACATGGTGAAACCCCGTCTCTACTAATAATACAAAAACTTAGCCGGGCCTGGTGGCTGGCACCTGTAGACCCAGCTACTTGGGAGGCTGAGGCAGGAGAATTGCTTCAATCTGGGAGGTGGAGGTTGCAGTGAGCCAAGATCTTGACACTGCACTCCAGCCTGGGTGACAGAGTGAGACTCAGTGAGAGATTTTTTGTATTTTTAGTAGAGACACGGTGGAGGCTCCATCTCAAAAAAAAAAAAAAAAAAAAAAAAAAAAAAAGTTCCCCAGGTGGAAAAAAATTACATTCTGAAAACTAGTAGGAAAATTTTCAATGATCTCTAGAACATTTTGGCATGGATTATCAAAAGATGTTTTACGAGCATGTAAAGAAATTGACTCTAGGCACTAACAAGGGGCCGCTACGGGCAAGTTCTTTCATTCAGCAAATATTTGTTGCGCAAATTCTGAGTTATAGTTACTGTGCAAGACACAAGGGATGAAGCAGAAAACAAAACAGGCACATTCCTGCCCCTTGTGGAACTCTGGTGAGGAAGACAAATAATAAAACGTATGGTATAATTACAGCTTGTGATAAGTGCCAAAAAAGAAAACCCAGGGATTTATGTGAGCCCATAATTACAGGAACTAGCTTCACTGGGAGAGGAGGCAGTGCTAGAGAAATCCTCTGTGGGGACACAGTATTTAAACTGCTACCTGAGGGATGAATAGAATTTAGGTGGACAATGCGTGCAGAGTGCTACAGAGAAAATCTGAAAACACCATGCGAAAGAGTCATGAGGCAGGAATAAGCTTGCCATGCTAGAGGAACAGAGAAAAAGCTGAGGTGGCTGGAACAGTAAACAGGAGGGAGAGTGCAGATAAGCAGGGGCCACATCACACAGGCAGTAACTAATGCTATTTTCTTTTTTAAAATGATTACTGGACAGGTAGATGAAAGAAATAAAAACACACTGTTGGAGAGAAAACATCATTTCTTTTTTTACCCTTTTTAGGTTCTTAGTTGAGACACTTGAAAACAAGCGTCAGATTAACAAAAGAAAAACAAGTTTATTAACATGCTGTACCCATCAAGTGGGAGAGGCCTCAGTTCAAAAGTATTTCTCTCTCCAGGCAGTGGCTTAGGGACCTTGTTTAAATAGTATTTTAACAAAGAACCATGAATTTTTTTTTTTTTTTTTTTTGACAGAGTCTTGCTCTGTCGCCCAGGCTGGAGTGCAGTGGCATGATCTCGGCTCACTGCAACCTCGCCTCCTGGGTTCAAGCGATTATTGCGCCTCAGCCTCCCGAGTAGCTGGGGTTACAGGCGTGTGCCACCACGCCCGGCTGATTTTTGTATTTTTAGTAGAGACAGGGTAGTGCCATGTTGGACAGGCTGGTTTCGAGCTCCTGGCCTCAAGCAATCCACCTGCCTAGGCCTCCCAAAGTGCTGGGATTACAGGCGTGAGCCACCGTACTTGGCCAGAGCCATGAATCTTACGAAGTGCTGAAACAAAGAAGAGTATCTTTAGGCTTCCAAAAGGCAGGAAAATGTGGGAAGGTAAATTAATGGGAAGAGTAAAGTCTGCTCCTGGATCCTCTGGCACCGCTGAGCTGTTTCTGAGCGGATGAAGGCAGAGTTAGGAAGGGCAGTGTGCCCATGTGTTTTAAGCTTTTAAACTAAAATCCCCAGTATTTTAGCGAGAAATATTTTGGTTTCCTTCAACACACTAAATTTGTTTTCTGCAAGGTAACTGATAAAAATGGTTGGGATGAACCAGTTATCACTTTTTTTTTTTTTTTTTGAGATGGAGTCTCGCTCTGTCACCCAGGCTGGAGTGCAGTGGCGCTATCTAGGCTCACTGCAAGCTCTGCCTCCTGGTTCACACCATTCTCCTGCCTCAGCCTCCCGAGTAGGTGGGACTACAGGCGCCCGCCATCACGCCTGGCTAATTTTTTGTATTTTTAGTAGAGACGGGGTTTCACCATGTTAGCCAGGCTGGTCTCGAACTCCTGACCTCAGGTGATCCGCCTGCCTCGGCCTCCTAAAGTGCTGGGATTACAGGCGTGAGCCACCGCGCAGTTATCACTTCTACAACCAAATTATATCCCAAATCCATCCACTTCCCACTTTCTCCTCCCTAGATCAAATCACCACCATCTCCCCTGGGCTACTGCTACTGGTCTTGTTTTCACTTTTATTTCCCACAGTCCATCCTCTATACAGCAGCTAGAGTGATCTAAAATGTAAATCAGGCCATTTGAATTCTTTGCTTAAAAATCCTTCAATGGCAGCCGGGCGCGGTGGCTCACGCCTGTAATCCCAGCACTTTGGGAGGCCAAGGTGAGTGGATCACCTGAGGTCAGGAGTTCAAGACCAGCCTGATCAACATGGAGAAACCCTGTCTCTACTAAAAATACAAAATTAGCCGGGCATGGTGGCACATGCCTATTACTAGGCAGGCTACTAGGGAGGCTGAGGCAGGAGAATCACTTGAACCTGGGAGGCGGAGGTTGCGGTGAGCCAAGATTGAGATCATGCCATTGCACTCCAGCCTGAGCAACAAGAGTGAAACTCTGTCTCAAAAAAAAAAAAAAAAAAAATCCTTTTATGGCTTCCCATTTGTCACAGGTTAAGTTTGTCACAGATGCAGAGGTGGAGTTTGGGATTCAACATGTTATTAAGGTTTAACATCTGTGACAAGGAAGAAAGAGAAATCTGAGTTGGACTGAGGAAGAAATCAGTGATGCAGACCAAAAATAGCCTTGGCCAACCTATCAAGGAGCTCTGAAAAACGAGTATTATCCGTCAGAATTGTTAGGTTAAAATAGCTGGGGCTTTATAACCCTGCTCACTTAGTCTCTAGAAGCGATCTGCTCTAAGAAGGGTATATCCTTAAGCAGTGGGGCTCTCTGTGTCTGGGGCAGATTCTGAAAGGGCTGTTTGGTGACTACACTCTTTACATCTGGGCATCAAGTCCTTCCTTAAAGGAGGATATGGATGGTACATCTCTTGTCCATCTCACCACTGCATTTAGAATAAAAGGCCTTGCCAAGCACATTGTGTGAGTCTGTAGTCTCAGCTATTGGGAAGCTGAGGGGTGAGGATTGTTTGAGCTTCAGAGTTCCAGGCTGCAGTGTGCTATGATTGCTCCTGTGAATAGCCACTGTACCCTAGCCCAGGTGACACAGGGAGACCCCATCTCTAAAAAAGTAAGTGAGTAAATAAAAGAATTTCAAGACCTTACATAATCTAGTTTCTGTCTACCTTTCCTCTACTTGCCTTTGTTCACATTTTGCTCTAGGTACACTGCCCTCCTTGTTTTTTTAAGCCCATCCCTTCCTCAAGGACTTTGTGCTTGCTGTTCCCCTGCCTGGAATGGTATACTCCCAGTCTTCACATGGCTAGTGCCTTCAGAAGTTGTGTGCCTTTCTCCTCATTATTCTGTTTAGTGTTGCTCCATTTCACTTTCCTCATAAAATGACCTGAATTTTTATTTACATCTATCTCATCAACTAGAATGTAAATTTCGTGAGAGTCTCGGTGTGGTCTGTTTTTTCCACTTCTCTAACCCCACTCAGTACCTAGAACTCAGTAGACCTCCACAAATACTTATGGTTCTTTTGCTTTTTTTTTTTTTTTTTTTTTTGAGACAGAGTCTCGCTCTGTCGCCCAGGCTGGAATGCAGTGGTGTGATCTCGGCTCACTGCAAGCTCCGCCTCCCGGGTTCACGCCATTCTCCTGCCTCAGCCTCCCGAGTAGCTAGGACTACAGGTGCTCGCCACCATGCCCGGCTAATTTTTTGTATTTTTAGTAGAGACAGGGTTTCACCGTGTTAGCCAGGGTGGTCTCGATCTCCTGACCTCATGATCCGCCCACCTCGGCCTCCCAAAGTGCTGGGATTACAGGCGTGAGCCACCGCACCCAGCCTTTTTTTGCTTTTTTTTTTGAGATGGAGTCTTGCTCTGTCACCCAGGCTGGGGTGCAGTGGCATGATCTCAGCTTACTGCAACCTCCGCCTCCCATGTTCAAGCAATTTTCCTGCCTCACCCTCCCAAGTAGCTGGGATTACAGCCATGCACCACCACGACCGGCTAATTTTTTTTTTGTATTTTTAGTAGAGACAGGGTTTCACTATATTGGCCAGGCTGGTCTCAAACTCTTGAACTTGTGATCTGCCTGCCTCGGCCTCCCAAAATACTGGGATTACAGGCGTGAGCCACTGTGCCTGGCCTGTTTTTTGTTTTTTTTTTTAAAGATGCGATCTTGCTCTGTTGCCCAGGCTGGAATGTGGAGGTGTGACCATAGCTCACTGTAGCCTCAAACTCCTGGGCTCAAGTGATTCTCCTGCCACAGCCTCCCAAGTAGCTAAGACTACAGGCATGTACCACAACACCTGGCTAATTTTTAAAATTTTTTGTGGAGATGAGGTCTTACTAGGTTGTCCAGGCTGGTCTCAAACTCCTGGCTTCAAGTGAATCTCCTATCTCGGCCTCTGAAATGCAGAAAGGTACATTGAATGATACTACAGATAGCTACAGTTTTAGCTAACTAAATTTTGTCCAAATAATATTTATTAGTATTAAGGTTAACCTGAAGGGAGATCTCTAGTTGGCTGATACAAGTCTGTCTGGTCCTGTCAAACAGTTAAAAGTCAATGATTTGTATCAGAAATGTTGTGATCATCCAAATTTCTGATGACACAAAGCTGGGAGTATTGATGGCTAACATATTGGATGATGGGTTTCAGATTCAGAAGGACCTGAAAGTTCATCAACAACAGAATGGACATTGAATTGTGGTATATTATTCAAGCAATAAACTATCGTACAGCAATGAAAGTGAGTGAACTACTGCTATCAGAAACATGAAGAAACTTCACAAAGAAAATGTTGAAAGAAATAAACCAAACACACACAAAGGAGTATAGATTGCATGATGCCACATGTATGTATGTTTCCAATCCAGGCAAAACTATTCAGTGGTGTTAAAAGTCAGGACTGGTTCTCTATAGGAAGGAGGAAGGGGGCATGAGTTAGGCTTCTGAAGTGCTGGTAATAACTTTCTTGACCTATGTGGTAGTTATATAAATATGTTTGCTTTGCAAAAATTCATTGATCATTGATGTGTGCACTTAGGATTTGTGCACATTTTATATGTGTATTATGTTAATTAATTAATTATTTTTTTTAGATGGAGTTTTGCTCTTATTGCCCAGACTGGAGTGCCATGGTGTGATCTCAGCTCACTGCAACCTCCACCTCCCAGGTTCAAGTGATTCTTTTGCCTCAGCCTCCCAAGTAGCTGTGATTACAGGCATGTGCCACCACACTCGGCTAATTTCGTATTTTTAGTAGAGACGAGGTTTCACCATGTTGGCCAGGCTGGTCTCGAACTCCTGACCTCAGGTGATCTGCCCACCTGGGCCTCCCAAAGTGCTGGGATTACAGGTGTAAGCCACGGTGCCTGGCCTATTATATGTTAATTTTAAAGTTAAGAGTGAAATAGACTTGGGAGATTTATTTAACTAAAAACTCTTTTTTTTTTTTTTTTTGAGATGGAGTCTTGCTGTGTCGCCCAGGTTGGAGTGCAATGGCGCAATCTCAGCTCACTGCAAGCTCCGCCTCCCAGGTTCACGCCATTCTCCTGCCTCAGCCTCCCGAATAGCTGGTACTACAGGCACCCACCACCATGCCTGGCTAATTTTTTGTATTTTTAGTAGAGACAGGGTTTCACCGTGTTAGCCAGGATGGTCTCAATCTCCTGACCTCGTGATCCACCCGCCTCGGCCTCCCAAAGTGCTGGGATTACAGGTGTGAACCACCACCGCACCTGGCCTTAACTAAAAACTCCTGTGTAGTTCCTGATTTTGAATAAAAGAATTTTAACATTTTGCCAGTTAGTATCATAGTTGCTTTTCATTTGGGGTAAATAGTTTTTATTATGTTGAAGTAGTTTCTTTTGATTTTCTTTCACAGTTTTTGTTAGAATGGCTACTGAATACACTATAACACCTATTGCTGCAGGGATGGGGGCAAGGGGTATTTTCATGTGCTGCTACTGAAATATGAAGTGTTATAGCCTTTTTGGAAAGCAGTCTGGCAACAGCTATTATTTTAAATATACCCTTTGGCCAGGTGCGGTGGCTCACCCCTGTAATCTCAGCACTTTGGGAGGCCAAGGAGGGTGGATCACCTGAGGTCAGGAGTTTGAGACCAGCCTGGCCAACATGGTGAAACCCTGTCTCTACTAGAAATACAAAAATTAGCCGGGCGTGATAGCGCGTGCCTGTAATCCCAGCTACTCAGGAGGCTGAGGCAGGAGAATCACTTGAACCCGGGAGGCAGAGGTTGCAGTGAGCCAAGATTGTGCAACTGCACCCCAGCCTGGGCGATAGAGTGAGACTTGGTCTCAAAAAATAAAATAAAATAAAATAAAATAAAATAAAATAAAATAAAATAAAATAAAATAAAATAAAAAACAAATAAAAATATATATACCCTTTGACCCAGCAATTACAGTCCTGGGAATCTATCCTCTGAAAAAAACCATTAGTTTCAATAAAACTATTGGAGTAAAAACACTATAGGACGTATGTACAAGGACATTTGTTGCAGCATTTTAAGTGGCAACACACACACACAAATTGTGAATACTATGGATGTCCATCAATAGAGTGATGGTTGTAAAAATTATAGTACATTCACATTTTGGCACATCCATAAAGAGGAATGAATTTGTACTCTACCAGTTGACTTAGAGGGATTTTACACACAAAAATGTTTTGAGTAAAAGGCAAAAAAGTAGTCACTTTTTAAATGACAAAAAAAACTGCATTGAATATGTGTGCATTTGTATTTGTCTATATGTGATTATATGAGCATAGAGAAAAATATTAACAACTAGGTTGATAAATTGATTATGGGGGTGGAGGGGACAGGTGATGGGGTAGTAGATGAAGACGGGGGATGGTAGAGTCAAGGGAGAAAGAAAAAGTAAAATAAGAACCAGAGGATTTTTTGTAATCTCTGTATGAGCCGGTAATCTTGTATTACAGGTAAAAAATCAAATGCAGTCTTAGGGGCATTGATATATTATACTGTCACCAAATCAAAGGACATAATAATCCCAGTGTGCTTTATGCTGTTCACATCAAATCTAGCATATTCTATTAATTTCTGGACACCACACTAAAAACAAAACAAAACAAATAACGCCCTACTTGTTGCTGCCAAAATAAATAAATTGTTTTTCTTATAAGAGGAATGGTCAGCCAGGCACGGTGGCTCACACCTTAGGAAGCTGGCTCCAACACTTTGGGAGGCTGGCCAGGCACGGTGGCTCCAACAATTTGGGAGGCTGAAGTGGGAGGATCCTTTGAGCCCAGGAGTTTGATAGCAGCTTGGGCAACATAGGGAGACCCTATCTCTAACAGAGAAAAAAAGAATTAGCTGGGTATGGTGGCTCATGCCTGTGGTCCCATCTGCTTGGGAAGCTGAAGTGGGAGGACTACTTGAGCCCAGGAAATCTAGGCTGCAGTGAGCAGTGATCACACCACTGCACTCCAGCCTGGGTGACGAAGTGAGACCTTGTCTCAAAGAAAAAAAAAAAAGAGGAATACTTAAAAATCAGGCAAACCTGGGTTCCAATATCATATCAGCCACTTACTTAGCTGTGCGGCCTTGGGAAAATTACTTAATCCCTCTATGCCCCAGTTTCCTCATCTGTACAATGGGGATAATTACAGTGCTTATCCCTCAGGGTTATTGTAGAGTAATTAAAACAAACCATCTATTTGTTTCCTTTTTTAAAAGGAAGTGGCATCTAGAATAAGCTCAATAAAAATGTTCTTCTTCTTCTTATTATTATTATTATTTTGAGATGGAGTCTCGCTCTGTTGCCCAGGCTGGAGTGTAGTGGCATGATCTCGGCTCACTGCAACTTCTGCCTCCAGGGTTTAAGAGATTCTCCTGCCTCAGCCTCCCGAGTAGCTGGGACTACAGGCACCCACCACCACGCTTGGCTAATTTTCATATTTTTAGTAGAAACAGGGTTTTGCCTTGTTGGCCAGGCTGGTCTCAAACCCCTGGCCTGGTGATCCTCCCGCCTCGGCTTCCCAAAGTGCTGGGATTACAGGCGTGAGCCACCATGCCCGGCCAAATGTTTGCACTATTAAATATTTATTGTGAAACTTAGAATTTACATATAAACAAGAAAGTAAAAACATAACCATAATCTTACCTTCCAGAGTTAAACATTAACTTTTGGATGTTCATGCGTTTCCCAATGTGATCTGAAAAATCATTATGAGACCTGGTGACAGCTTAATTGGCACAAATTAGCAGCTACCAGTGTGTGAAGGGTTGTCATATGGAAGAGAGGTAGACATATTCTGTGAGGCTCCAGAGAACCACAGGAAGAAGCAAGGGTTATGATGAGAGCTGTCCAGCAATAGATTGAGCTGCCCAACACCATATGGAGCTCCTTGTTATAACAACTGAGTTTTTGGCTTGCAACCATTTGACAAAAAAAGTTATGGAAAAGACGTCAAGTTGAATGACCTCTAAAACTCTTCCTAACTCTAACTTTTTTTTTTTTTTTAGACAGAATCTTGCCCTATCACCCAGGCTGTAGTGCCGTGGTATAATCTTGGCTCGCCGCAACCTCCGCCTCCTGGGTTCAAGCCATTCTCCTGCTTCAGCCTCCTGAGTAGCTGTGACTACAGGCGTGCACCACCACACCTGGCTAATTTTTGTATTTTTAGTAGAGACGGGGTTTCACCATATTGGCCAGGCTGGTCTTGAACTCCTGACCTCAAGTGATTCACCCGCCTGGGCCTTCCAAAGTGCTGGGATTACAGGCATGAGCCACTGTGCCCGACCATAACTCTAACATTTTATCATCAAGAAATGCTTGCTATATGTATACATACATTAGATTCACAGCCTGCATAAGAGTTTGTGTGATTTCTTACTTAGTAAATACTGAGTGGTAAGGACAATTCCAAATTCATCCCATGAAAGTTAATAGGGAATTCCTAGCAGGTCATAGGTCAGATAGAAAATCTGTCCTTCATGAAACGCTGAGGACGTGCAATTCCAATTAAACCCACTCAATCTGGAGAAAGAAATCAAAGGGAGGGGGTGGGCCTGGAAAGAGTACATCTTATCTTCAGGTACTGTTTGTTTGATTTTTTTTAATACTTGGGGTTTGTTTCTGGGAAGAATTCTTGACCTGGCAAAAATTCATAGTAATTACTCAGGGGAAAGGAAAAAGAAGAAACAAACAAACAAAAAATACATTAATGTGGTTGGAAAAAAAATCTAAGAACATGGTGTTGGTGGGAGAGAAGACTAAATGTTTGTGGAAGACCCACCCAAGTGCTTTTGATGTTTGACCAGTTATTATCTTATTGTTCTTCCTGCTATAGATACAGCTGCAATTTATGTAACAGGATGTTTAAAAAGATTAAAGAGAATCTGTAGTAGGGTTCTGAGATGATAAGAGTCCCTAGAATATGCATTTATGGACGTTTAGAATATAAGTTCCTGTACATTCTTAGAATAAACCATCTATTTGTTTCCTTTTTTAAAAAAGAAACAAACAAAATTTGTATTTCAGTATGGCTGCTTCCTTCCAGCAAGTGATATGGAATAACAGGCAAAGACAGCAAACCAATAACAGAGCAAAGACAAGTTGGTGCTGGTTCAAACTGTGGCCCATGCCGGTTCTTAATTAGCTTTGAGCTTTGAGTCTAAAATGTTTTAACTCTACATTATACACGTGTTTGGAATTTATTTGGATTCAACCTGTTCATCAGAAAATGGGTTATTCTATGATACAAGCAGGATCATTGTGTGAAATTTATGACTGCAATCACCCAACGTGAAGATGAAAGTTTAAACATTTTTTTGCTAGAGGAGTTTTCAAAAAAAAAAAAAAAAAGTGTTCTATAGATGTCCCAAACATACAGAGTGACTTACTGGCGTTTAAGTCTTTCTGCCATGTGGAGTGCTATCTTAAGTGATAAATTGGCACTGGGCACTTGATAAAAGGTCATTGGGCATATTCTCCAAGTTTCTGGTGTTAGTCATGAATTAATTGCTTGTTAACTTTAATTCTCCTAGCAACCTAGGCTAATACCTACTGCACACTTGCTCTCTCTCTCTCACTGTATTTCTGTGCATGTGTATGTGCATAATTTTTTTCTGAACTTGTTTCTGTTTGATAATAACTTACAGACATGATGCCCCTTTCCATTAAGCACTTCAGTGGATATTTTCTTTTCTTTGTTTTTTTTTTTTTTTTTGAGACAGAGTTTTGCTCTGTCACCCAGGCTGGAGTGCAGTGGCGTGATCTCAACTCACTGCAACCTCTGCCTCCTGGATTCCAGCTATTCTCCTGCCTCAGCCTCCAGGTAGCTGGGACTACATGCATATGCCACCATGCCCAGCTAATTTTGTATTTTTAGTAGAGACAGGGTTTCACCATGTTGGCCAGGCTGGTCTCAAACTCCTGACCTCGTGATCTGCCCGCCTCGGCCTCCCAAAGTGCTGGGATTACAGGAGTGAGCCACCACGCCCCGCCAGTGTATATTTTCTAAAAACAAGGATATTCTCTTTCATAACCACAATTATAAAAATTAAGAAATCAATATTGATTCAATAATATTTTCTAACCTACAGACCTCATTTGAATTTGCTCAAATGTTCCAATAATGTCCATTATGGTAAAATAAATTCTATATCATACATTGTGTTCAGTTGTCAAGTGTCTTTAGTCTCCTTCAATCTGGAATAGAATTTTCCACACTTCGTCTTTCACAACCTTGACATATTTGAGGAGTTACAGGCCAGTTGTTTTATAGAGTGTCCCCTAACTTGGGTTGTCTGATGTTTCTTCACGATTACATTCAGGTTATGCATTCTTAGCAGGAATAGCACAGAAGTGATGTTGTGACCCCTACATAATATTAGTTGACTTGTTCCATTACTGTTGAAGTTAACTTTGATTACTTGGTTAAGGGGATGTCTACCAGGTTTCTTCACTTTAAAAGGACTATTTTTCCTTTTTTTTTTTTTTTTCTGAGACAGAGTCTTGCTCTGTCACCCAGGCAGGAGTGCAGTGGCACGATCTCAGCTCACTGCAACCTCTGCCTCCCGGGTTCAAGCAATTCTCCCACCTCAGCCTCCCAGGTAGCTGGGATTACAGGCGCCCACCATCACACCAGCTAATTTTTTTTGTATTTTTAGTAGAGATGGGGGTTTCACCATGTTGGCCAGGCTGGTCTTGAACTCCTGACCTCGTGATCTGCCTACTTCAGCCTCTCAAAGTGCTGGGATTACAGGCATGAGCCACTGCACCTGGCCTTTACTTTTCCCTTAATAGTTAACAAATATCTTGTGAGGAGATACTCTGAGACTATGTAAATATCCTCTTCCTCTGGCCGGGCGCCATGGCTCATGCCTGTAATCCCAGCACTTTCGAAGGCCGAGGAGGGTGGATCACCTGAGGTCAGGAGTTCGAGACCAGCCTGGCCAACATGGTGAAACACCGTCTCTACTAAAAATACAAAAAAATTAGCTGGGCATGGTGGCAGGCACCTGTAATCCCAGAATCCCAGCTACTCGGGAGCCTGAGGCAGGAGAATCACTTGAACCAGGGAGGCGGAGGTTGCAGTGGCCAAGATCGCGCTGCTGCACTCCAGCTTGGCAACAGAGCGAGACTCCGTCTTAAAAAAAAAAAAAAGGCCAGGCACGGTGGCTGATGCCTGTAATCCCAGCACTTTGGGAGGCTGAGGCGGGTGGATCACCTGAGATCAGGAGTTTGAGACCAGCCTGGCCAACATGGTGAAACCAGTCTCTACTAAAAATACAAAAATTAGCCTGGCGTGGTTGCAGGCGCCTGTAATCCCAGCTACTTGGGAGGCTGAGGCAGGAGAATTGCTTGAACTCTGGAAGCGGAGGTTGCAAGGAGCCAAGATTGTGGCATTGCACTCCAGCCTGGGTTACAAGAGCAAAACTCTTGTCTCAAAAAAAAAAAAAAAAAAAAAAAAAAAGCCCTGGTTCCTTTAGGGAGAATTGTATTTAGAACAATCTGGGTTCTAGGTGTACTAATTTGTACTGGAGTATCATGGCTTGTAGGCCCTTTCAGAGGACAGACTATCACACTAATACACAAATGCACACATATGCGCGCGCGCACACACACACACACACACACACAAATTTATAAAACTATGTGCTCCCATTGATATTTCCAATTCTGATCCAGCACTGCAGAGTTCATTCTAGCCATCCCCCTTTCCATATTTGTTTATTTATTTATTTTGAGACGGAGTTTCACTCTTTTCGCCCCGGCTGAAGTGCTATATAGCACAATCTCGGCTCACTGCAACCTCCACCTCCTGGGTTCAAGTGATTCTCCTGCCTCAGCCTCCCGAGTAGTTGGGATTACAGGCGCCTGCCACCACGCCCAGCTAAGTTTTTGTATTTGTAGTGGAGAGGGGGTTTCGCCATGTTTCACCATGTTGTCCAGGCTGGTCTCGAACTCCCAACCTCAGGCGATCCGCCTACCTTGGCCTCCCAAAGTGCTGGGATTACAGGTGTGAGCCACTGCGCCCGGCCTCTGTGGAACCACTCTTAACTACTACACCCAAGCACCCATAAATGTTCCTTCTTGCCAGGCACAGTGGCTCACACCTGTAATCCCAACACTTTCAGAGGCCGAGATGGGTGGATCACCTGAGGTTGGGAGTTTGAGACCAGCCTGGCAAACATGGTGAAACCCTACCTCTACTAGGTGGCAGGTGCCTGTAGTCCCAGCTACTCGGGAAGCTGAGGCAGAAGAATGGCTTGAAGTCGGGAGGTGGGGTTGCAGTGAGCCGAAATTGCACCACTGCACTCCAGCCTGGGCAACAGAGTGAGACTCCATTTCAAAAAAATAAAAATAAAAATAAAAGCAGAAGGAGAAAATGGAAACATGTTTATGTATTATAGGGCATTAGGAAAATATCTATTTTCCTGCTTACAGGTTTAGATTCAGGGATCTTAAACTCCAATTATTTCAGAGGACAGGCTATACTATACATGGGTGAAGCAATTAGATATAATAGGGAGGAGTAGAGACTGTGGGGGGTGGGGAATGGAAATTGCATGCCTCTTTTTTTTTTTTTTTTTTTAAGATGGAGTCTTGCTCTTGTCGCCCAGGCTTCAGTGCAATGGCGTGATCTAGGCTCACTGCAACCTCCGCCTCCTGGGTTCAAGCAATTCTCCTGCCTCAGCCTCCCAAGTAGCTGGGATTACAGGTGCCCGCCACCATGGCCAGCTAATTTTTGTATTTTTAGTAGAGATGGGGTTTCACCATGTTGGCCAGGCTGGTCTCCAACTCCTGACCTCAGGTGATCCACCCACCTCGGCCTCCCAAAGTGCTGGGATTACAGTCGTGAGTGCTGCACCCATCCGAAATTGCATGCCTCTTCTAAAGACATTAAAAATAATTTTAAGGGCTGGGCTTGGTGGCTCATGCCTGTAATCCCAGCATTTTGGGAGGCCGAGGTGGGTGGATCACCTGAGGTCAGGAGTTCGAGAACAGCCTGACCAACATGGAGAAACCCCGTCTGCACTAAAAATACAAAATTAGCCAGGCATGGTGCCACATGCCTGTAATCCCAGCTACTCGGGAGGCTGAGGCAGGAGAATTGCTTGAACCCAGGAGGCAGAGGTTGTTGTGAGCCAAGATCGCGCCATTGCACTCCAGTCTTGGCAACAAGAGCAAAACGCTGTCTCAAAAAAAAAAAAAAAAAAAAAAAATTTAAAACAGCAACAACAACAACACACGGTGCTAATCAAAGATGTCTGTGGGCTGAATTCACTTCAAAGGCAGCTCCCATTTGTGAACTTTAGCTTAGATTTTACAATTGTCTTTGTGAATTAACATTTGCCCTTGAAAGGTGTGTTTGCATGTGTGGATCTAGGTCAGTGTGTTCCAACAGTTACTGGCTGGACAATTTTAAGGATAAAGAAGCATATTTGTCACTCACAGTGGTGAGGAAACAAACACTTGGAGGGCCCATGTACCCACCTGGGCTCTTCTGTGGCCTGGAATACCAAAAGCTATGACAAGTTTGCGAGAGTTGTCTGAAGCATTTGGAGGTTTTTTTGACCAAATAACTCAGACTTGGAGAATGAACCACTGGGAGAGGCAAGAGAGAGTTCCCAGGATGAGACCAACTCTGTGAGTAATGACTGGAGGTTCCCAAAGGTAGGTGGATGACCACACAGGAGAAGTTAGGAAATGGCAGGACTGTCAGACCTGTGGGTAGGGTAAAAAGATTATAAATTAGGTTTTCTACAAGGCAACCCCCTGGGAAGGAAGTAATATCTTGATAGCTTTCCTGGGACAATCAGAAAGGTCATTTAGCAAGACCATCACTGATACTCTAAAACTTGGATGTACAAAAAATCCATAACTTGATCCATTAGTATGACTAATCTCATTTTGTTTCCCAACACCTGACTTCCTTTTATGGTGGTAGTTGCAGGGCAAGGGACTCATTTTGCTCGCCTCCCTTGTAGAGCCTTTGTGGTAAAAGTTCATTAAGCTAAAACCATAGTGACATGAGAAATTTGAGAGTGGAACACAGACTTTATTCTTAAAGCAGTGAGTCTGTGTGGCCATGAGTCTAGGTTCCTAATGAATGAGATTAAGTGAAAGTATTGATGGGACTTCTAGGAAGACAGCTTAAATAGAGCTCCTACCTATCAAATGCACTATAATTGTGCAACCAGAGCAGACTGTGTTATGTTTAATTTTTCCCTCTTCCTAAAATATTATTTCCTTAAGTTACTTCAACGATTCACTAAGTCTAATAGACTTATACTATCTTATGTGGTGAAGGTGTGGAGAATGAGGGGATAAAGAATTAAAGAAAAATGTGCCTTGCCTCACATTTACTCTTTTGCTACACCCATCACAGGGAATAATATCCTACAAAAGAAAGTGTGTCCAGGAGTTTGGGGCAGTGATCTGCAATTAAGTGAGTGGGGACCCATGATGGAGCAGATGGTTGGGGGAGAGCATATGATGCTCCTGGGAACAGCATGCAGTTTCCAAGTACTAGGGTGATAACTCTGAAGGGACATAAACCAATAACCCTCCACCTCTCCACCTACACTAGAGTAAGGAGAGAGGCTAATTCTAGCAGTAGTCATGCTAAGTGGTATTCTTTTTTTTTTTTTTGAGACAAAGTCTCACTCTCTCGACCAGGCTGGAGTGCAGTGGCACGATCTCAGCTCACTGCAACCTCCACCTCCCAGGTTCAAGTGATTCTCCTGCCTCAGCCTCCCGAGTAGCTGCGATTACAGGCATGCGCCACAACGCCTGGCTAATTCTTGTATTTTTAGTAGAAATGGGGTTTCACCATGTTGCCCAGGCTGGTCTGGAACTCCTGACCTCGTGATCCGCCCGCCTCGGCCTTCCAAAGTGTTGAGATTACAGGCATGCCCAGCCCCCTATTCTTTTAGTGTGCATTAAAACCACATAGGGGATATGACTGTTACTACGTTGGTAAAATATTATAAGGGGGCCGGGCGCGGTGGCTCACACCTGTAATCCCAGCACTTTGGGAGGCCGAGACGGGCGGATCATGAGGTCAGGAGAACAAGACCATCCTGGCTAACACAGTGTAACCCTGTCTCTACTAAAAATACGAAAAATTAGCCGGATATGGTGGCTGGCGCCTGTAGTCCCAGCTACTCGGGAGGCTGAGGCAGGAGAATGGCCTGAACCCGGGAGGCGGAGCTTGCAGTGAGCTGAGATCGCCAATGCACTCCAGCTTGGGCGACAGAGCGAGACTCCGTCTCAAAAAATAATAATAATAATAATAATAAATAATTTCAAAATCTTATAAGAGGATGGAAGATGACTATTTGCTTTTCAACAGCCTTTTCTTAGCTTACAACAGCTTTGTTTATCATTATTATTATTTTTTTTTGAGATGGAGTCTTGCTCTGTCACCCAAGCTGGAGTGCAGAGGCAGGATGTCAGCTCACTACAACCTCTGCCTCCGGGGTTCAAGCCGTTCTCCTGCCTCAGCCTCCCAAGTAGCTGGGATTACAGGCGCATGACACCACACCCAGCTGATTTTTGTATTTTTAGTAGAGACTGGGTTTCACCATGTTGGCCAGGCTGGTCTCGAACTCCTGACCTCAGGTGATCCACCCTCCTCGGCCTCCCAAAGTGCTGAGATTACAGGTGTGAGCCTTCACACCCAGCCATGCTTATCATTACTCTTAATAGAGCTTATGAGACTATAACTAAAATAATCATAGTTTCCAACTGAAAAATTTTTGAACTTCATGATCTGTGGAATAAAGGACTTATGAGATAAAATATGAAATCTGGACCTTTCCAGATAATTTAGGACATATCATTGCCCCAACCAAAACACATAGGCAAACTCATGGGCATGTATTAATAATTACCTTTATGCTCTTGAAATTGTAATTGTGACCTCCCTTAATTTAGAGGCTCATTAAGGAAGGATTAAGTTTATGTTGCTATCTCTTGAGTAAAGTTTCAAAAGTAAGGTTTAAATCAGGGAATGGGTCAGAATAGCTATATTCTCTTTTTCAGTTCTGGGTGGTTTCTCTTTTTTTTTTTTTTTCTTTTTTTGAGACGGAGTCTCGCTGTCGCCCAGGCTGGAGTGCAGTGGCGTGATCTCAGCTCAGCTCATTGCAACCTCCACCTCTGGGTTCAAGCGATTCTCATGCCTCAGCCTCCCAAATAGCTGGGATTACAGGCACGTGCCACCACACCCAGCTAATTTTTTTGTATTTTTAGTAGAGATGGGGTTTCACTGTGTTAGCCAGGATAGTCTCGATCTCCTGACCTCGTGATCTGCCTGCCTCGGCCTCCCAAAGTGCTGGGATTACAGGCATGAACAACTGCGCCTGGCTTCTGGTGGTTTTTATAGCAATCTGTAGCAAGATAGATACAGAGCTATGGGAGTGGAAAAATTCCTCTTACTTTTTTCCTTTTGCTTTTTATTTTTATTTATTTTTTATTTTATTTTTTTGAGACAGAGCTTCACTCTTGTTGCCCAGGCTGGAGTGCAACGGCACGATATCAACTCACTGCAACCTCCGCCTCCTGGGTTCAAGTGATTCTCCTGCCTCAGCTTCCCGAGTAGCTGGGATTACAGGTGTGCGCCACCACGCCTGGCTAATTTTTTGTATTTTCAGTAGCGATGGGTTTCGCCATGTTGGTCAGGCTGGTCTCAAATTCCTGACCATATGTGATCCACCCGCCTCTGCCTTCCAAAGTACTGGGAATACAGGTGTGAGCCACCGCACCCAGCCTTCTTTTTTGTTGTTGTTTTTTTGAGAGGGAGTCTCACTCTCACCCAGGCTGGAGTGCAATGGCGTGGTCTCAGCTCGCTGTAACCTCCACCTCCCGGGTTCAAGTGATTCTCCCGCCTCAGCCTCCCAAGTCGCTGGGACTACAAGCACATGCCACCACACCCGGCTAATTTTTGTATTTTAGTAGAGATGGGGTTTCACTATGTTGGCCAGGCTGGTCTCCAACTCCTGACCTCGTGATCTGCCTGCCTCGGCCTCCCAAAGTGCTGGGATTACAGGCATGAGCCACTGCACCCAGCTTCCTTTTGCTTTGTAATCATTATAGATGATTTGGGAGGTTATTTGCCAAGTGAAGACCAGCCCTCCTGAAATTTCTTCCCAGTTTTCCTAGACCTAGTAGATGCCCAACTGCTTAACATATTCTCTTCGGTTGGTTCTCCTCATATCAAATATCAACTTGCAAAATATTCTGAGAAGTGAGACAAGCAGTGTCCACGTTCTCCCATGAAGGAAGCTAGCAAAAATAAACTAAGGCCCCCTGCTTTAAGGGTAAAGGTCATATTCCACTCTCCAATGTTTCTATTATTTCAGCCTAGTGAACTTTCACCCACAAAAGACTTTCTTTGAACAGTGTGATCAAAAACAAAAACAAGGTCTTTAATTCTTTTTTTTTTTTTTAGATTGTTTACTTACAGCTAAACCTTTAGACAGGAGGCCAACTCTCAGTGGTCACTTTCAAATAGGTTTACTTTGGACTGGCGAGATTTTTAAAAAATTCTCAGCTTTCAAATAGACACGTGAATGATGCCAGTATTCTTGACTTTATCTGTTTTTCTGAAGCATTTACTCTCTCTAAGGGGACACCTTAGGGGAGTACTATGGATTTAAGAGAATGACTTTAATGGGGACTCTGTCCCAAAAAAAAGTCCGGGTGCAGTGGCTCTCGCCTATACTCTCTGCACTTTGGGAGGCTGAGCAGGCAGATCGCCTGAGGTCAGAGGTCAGAAGTTTGAGACCAGCATGACCAACATGGAGAAACCCCCCCGTCTCTACTAAAAATACAAAATTAGCCGGGCGTGATGGCGCATGCCTGTAATCCCAGCTACTCAGGAGGCTGAGGCAGGAGAATCGCTTGAACCCAGGAGGCGGAGGTAGCGCTGAGCCGAGATCTCGCCATTGCACTCCAGCCTGGGCAACAAGAGCGAAACTCCATCTCAAAAAACAAACAAAAAAGGCAAATCTATTTTTTATATTCTTTGATAAACAGCATAGGGAACTATACTTAACGTGTCTCAGGACATTTTAAATCTAGTATGTATACATTTGTTGGCATTTGAAGAGTAAGCTTCAAATATCTACAAATTTCACTCACATGGGAGAGAAAAGTTAATGCCTTCATTTATTCATATGTTGGTTCAAAGAAGGTTTGACAGGTTGGGTGTGGTGGCTCACGTCTGTAATCCCAGCACTTTGGGAGGCTGAGATGGGCGGATCACGAGGTCAGGAGATCCAGACCATCCTGGCTAGCACAGTGAAACCCCGTCCCTACTAAAAATACAAAACTTAGTTGGGCATGATAGCATGCCTGTAATCCCAGCTACTCCAGGGGCTGAGGCAGGAGAATCACTTGAACCTGGGAGGCAGAGACTGCAGTGAGCGGAGATTATGCCACTGCACTGCCGCCTGGGCAACAGAGCAAGACTCTGTCTCAAAAACAAACAAACAAACAAACAAAAAACAAAGAAGGTTTGACTCTCTGCATATCTTTTATGTTTGTCTCAATCATGTCTTAATGGACCCATTTTATTTAAAATTCCCTCAGCTCAGAGGTAATCAACTCTTTTCAGTTTGCTGGGACATTCCCAATGCTAAAACTGGAATAAGTCCCACACACCAGGAAATCCCTCTGTCCAAGAGTCAAAACTGCAGCTATTTAGCCCAGACAATTAATCCCAACACTTTGGGAGGCCAAGGCGGGTGGATTACGAGGTCAGGAGTTCAAGACCAGCCTGGCCAAGATGGTGAAACCCCGTCTCTACTAAAAACACAAAAATTAGCTGGGCGTGGTGGCGGGTGCCTGTACTCCCAGCTACTCAGGAGGCTGAGGCAGAGAATTGCTTGAACCCAGGAGGCGGAGGTTGCAGTGAGCAGAGATCGTGCCACTGCACTCCAGCCTGGGCGACAGAGCGAGACTCCATCTCAAAAAAAAAAAAGAAATCTATCATGTCCCCCAATTTAAAGAAACTTAAAAAAAAATGTAGACACAAGGTCTTGCTATGTTGCTCAGGCTGGTTTCAAGGGATCCTCCTACCTTGGCCTCCCAAAGTACTAGGATTAACAGTATAAAGCCACAGTGCCCTGCCAATGCCATCCCTACCAGCAGTATTTTTTTTCTTTTTAATCTTCAAACAACACGTCTTCTCCCTATTTAACATTTCTCATATTCTTTTATAATTGTGATTACTCTCTTCTGAATACATTTTTATTTGACCGTATTCCTCTTAAATTGTAGTTTCTAGAAATAACCAGCAGAGTAGAGTGGATGCGTCCCCTCCTTTGTTCTAGAGTCTATGCTTCCTTTAATTCAGCCTAATATCTTAATATTTTTCTTGGAAGTCATTAACATCGATTAAGTTCTCATCTACTAAAACTTAGAAGCATTTTTCTCATGTACTTCTGTTAGGCTATATTCCTTATCTTGTACTAGTGCAGTTATTTTTTCTTAGTTTGAAGTGCAGGATCTTACATTTAACTTTGTTAAACTTAGTTTTCAAACTCTCTCTGTTTTTTTAAAATCACTTATTCCCAACTTTGATTCCTAGGTTTGATGAACACACTTTCTAGGACTTCATTCATGTCAATTGCAGAATTATTAAAAGGACAAAGCCTTCTTTGGAAACTTTTCTTTATGTTTATATTAATCCATTAATTAATTTTTACTTACAACAATTTAATGCATTTCTGGTTAACCTAATTTACTTAAAAACTCATATTTCTTTACTTCATCTAATACAAGGCTAATGTGATGGGAAAGTAAAGTTGGCAACAATAGATACCGCTTTGTGATGATAAAGTATTTTGCTACTTCCATCAAAACCATAGACTTGCTTTCTAAGCCACATGTTTTTCCACCAAAGATGGTATTTCCTATTGCTATGATTTGAATGTGTCTCCCAAATTTTATGTATTCCAAACTTTAATCCCCAATGCATATGTTGATTAGAAGTGGGGCCTTTGGGATGTAATCAGGATTAGATAATAGGTTAGGTCATCAGGGTGGGGCCTCCATGATGTGACTGGTGGGTGGCTTTAAAAGAAGATGAAGAGGGCCAGGCGTGGCGGCTAACGCCTGTAATCTCAGCACTTTGGGAGGCAAGGCAGGTGGATTATAAAGTCAGGAGTTCCAGGCCGGGCGCGGTGGCTCACACCTGTAATCCCAGCACTTTGGGAGGCCAAGGCGGGCAGATCACGAGGTCAGGAGATCCATCCTGGTTAACACTGTGAAACCCCGTCTCTACTAAAAAATACAAAAAAATTAGCCAGGCGTGGTGGCGGGTGCCTGTGGTCCCAGCTACTCGGGAGGCTGAGGCAGGAAAATGGTGTGAACCTGGGAGGCGGAGTTTGCAGTGAGCTGAGATCGCACCACTGCACTCCAGCCTGGGCGACAGAGCAAGGCTCTGTCTCAAAAAAAAAAAAAAAAAAAAAAAAAAAAGAAAAAAAAAAGTTCAGGAGTTCCAGACCAGCCTGGCCAATATGGTGAAACCCCATCTCTACTAAAAATACCAAAAAATGGCCGGGCACAGTGGCTCAAGCCTGTAATCCCAGCACTTTGGGAGGCCGAGGCGGGCGGATCACCTGAGGTCGAGAGTTTGGGACTAGCCTGACCAACATATAGAAACCCCGTCTCTACTAAAAATACACAATTAGCCAGGCACTGTGGTGCATGCCTGTAATCCCAGCTACTCGGGAGGCTGAGGCAGGAGAATCGCTTGAACCCAGGAGGCAGAGGTTGCAGTGAGCTGAGATCGCGCCACTGCACTCCAGGCTGGCGACAGAGCGAGACTCTGTCTCAAAAAAAAAAAAAAAAAAAAAAAGAAGCCGGGCGTGGTGGTGCATGCCTGTAATCCCAGCTACTCGGGAAGCTGAGGCAGGAGAATTGCTTGAACCCAGGAGGTGGAGGTTGCAATGAGCTGAGATCGCGCCACTGCACTCCAGCCTGGGCGACAGAGTGAGACACTGTCTCGGAAAGATTAAAAAAAAAAAAAAAAAAAAGAGGAAGAGAGGCCTGAGCTGACATGCATGCTCTTGCCCTCTCACCATGTGATTGATGCCCTCCGCCATGCTATGATGCCGAGATGCCTCACTGAATGTTGGCACCATGCTCTTGGATTGCTCAGCCTCCAGACTGTAAAAAATAAACCTCTGTCCTTCATGAATTCTCAAGTCTCAGATATTCAGTTACAGCAACAAAAAAATGGACTAAAATATCTATTGTGATTTTCCAACTTATTTACTGTGTTTGTCACTAAGCAACTTTTGGTAATTAAGAAGATCAAATCTTAAAGAACAAAAATTTGCCCTTGTTAAGGATGTTCAAAAAATATATCAAGGATTTCTCAGGTAATTCCAAAAGAAGAGCTTCAAGTAAACTTAAGAATAAATATATATTCTTCCAAATCTATTCCTTTAAAAGGCACAAAACACTTTGGAACTGCAAGTTTTGCTGTATTTGTTAAACCATCAGAGACAGTTTAGCCCATTAGTCAAATACATAAGCTTTGGCCTGGTTCAACTCCTGGTTCTACCACTTGCCAAGTGTTTGACTTTGGGCAAGTTTATCAGTGCTTAGCACAATACCTAACATCTAGTGAGAGCTATAAAAAAGGAGTGTGATATTGTAATACATATATTTGGTTTTCAACCCCATTTCTTGACCTACAACTTCTAAAAAAGCCTTACAGTTTCCAAAGTGATGGGTTTTGTATGCTAGTGAGATGACTGATGGTGAGGGGCTGGTCACCAGAAAGACCAAGGCATAATTAGAGGGGTGGGACTTTTAGCCCCAGCCCCCAGCTTCCAGGGAGGGAAGAGGGGCTGAAAGTTAAGTTGCTCACCAATGGCCAAAGGTGTAATCAATCGTGCTTGCATAATGGAGTTTCCATAAAACCCCCAAAGAACTGAGTTTGGAGAACTTCTAGATAGCTGAACACATGAAGGTTCCCAGAGGGTGGCAAGCCTGGGGAGGGCATGCAAGTTCTGTGTCCTTTCCTGTACCTCGTCCTATGCATCTCTTCATCTCTTCATCTGTATCCTTTATAATATACTTTTTTTTTTTTTATAGACAAGAGTCTCACTGTGTCGCCCAGGCTGAAGTACAGTGGCACAATCTCAGCTCACTGCAACCTCTGCCTCCTGGGTTCAAGTGATTCTTCTGCCTCAGGCTCCCGAGTAGCTGGGATAACAGGCATGCACCACCATGCCCAGCTAATTTTGAACTTTTAGTAGAGACGGGGTTTCACCGTGTTACCTGGGTTAGTCTCGAACTCCCAACCTCAGGTGATCTGCCCACCTCAGCCTCCCAAAGTCCTGGGATTACAGGTGTGAGCCTATTTTAAGATTATAGCATAATCTTGCTTACCAGGGAGCCATTTTACCTCTTTACTAAGACTTTGAATAACTATACTTTGACCCACTGTGCATTGATCTCAAGGTTAAAATCTGAAAGGGCAACTTTAATTCCATGGTTTCATAGGGAGTCCTCTCACTGAGGCTCCAAAGTATTGAAAGCAGCAATAAGAGACAAGATCCCTCTGGTAGAAGCTGCCTTCTTTCTGAAGGTTTTGCTGGTTGGCTCTCCAACTTCAGAAAGAGAGAATGTCGCCATCAGATTTTTGCCTGTCTACCGAAAACAAAGGATAACAAACACTGTTTCTGTAGCTACCAAAGAGACAGACTGCTTGGAGAACGACTTACATAGCTCTGCAGACGCCCTGGTGGTGCCAGCTCCAGGGGAGTCGGTGCACATGGTGTGAAGCAATTTTTTTTTCCTGGCTTTTTGCCATAGATTCAGGCAGCTACAGCAACAGCAACAGCAGTGGTTCTTACTCACATGCAGAGCTTCCAGAATGCTTGGGAGTTTCCTGAAGATAAAAACTTGTGAAAGATAAAGGTAGAAGTTATACAAGGTAGAGCAGCCAAGACTTAAAGGAGGACAGTTGCCCTCAGAACTTTTGAACCCCGGGTAACTGCCAAGCTTAAAGTCAAGGAAAGAATGCTCACTGCCTGCATGTGCTACATGACACCTTGCACAGCAGATCACAGAGAAAGAATAGCATGGACAAACTCCTCTCCTTCTGCATCTTCACGGTACAAGGAAGAGGAAGAGGGTCCTGGGGGAACAGAGTTTTTCCAGCATTATGGAGCTGCCACATTGGGAAAACATAATGAGAACTGAAGCCCCTGACTATCAAGGCCAACTCTTTCCAACTCTTTTCAGCCACATGGAAAGAATCTCAGGTAAACCCAGAGCTCCCGGTACATGGACACAGAACACTGGGTACACTCAATTATACCCACAGCCTCTTCCTAGAGTGTTCTCTAGATGATGCTAGGACAGACGGGTAGGGCAGATCAGGGGAGTCTAACTACAGTTACTGATTTTCTTCACTCAAGGCCAACTAGGGTTCTAGACAGCCAAGCTCACTCATGAGGCCCCAAAGTACTCACAGCAGCAATAAGAGACAAGATCCCTCTGGTAGAAGCTGGTGATCAAGGTATTGTGATTTCTTTTCATATCCCACCTCTTTCCAACATTCACATATTAAAGTGAAGCCCCCACCAACTCAGTATGAAGACTTGGCCCTGTTATACCTCCAGATTCTTGCAAGAGGTTTGTTTTCTGAACATTTCCCTCTGTGTACACCCCTCTTGTCTTAATTGGCCCTACCCACTGAGGTGGATTCCAGATCCTTCTCCTGTATCTTTGGCTTGGCTCAAGCCTCTGGCCCCTCCACTGCAAAGTCTAAAAGCAGGGAGATGGCCAAAATAGGCAGTGAGGGAAGAACAGAGGCATTCCTCTTGCATCTGCTCAGTCTCTCAGCAATCCTCTGTCAGGGAAGCTCTCAGGGTTACTGCCTGGCCTAGAGAGTCTCCCTTTCCTCACTGCATAAGAGAAGGGTGAGACACAGAACAAAGTCTCTCAGAGGCTGTCTGCTGCGTGCTGAAAGTCAGCCACTGTTGTTGAATATGGGTGTTCTCCATAGGCTCCATTCTGGGTGTAACTCCACAGAGCCGTTTTCTGGGTCTATTTCAGCAAGGGTCTGGATGAGTATTCTTCCAACATGACTCCTTGCCATATCTCTAGTTGTCATTGGCTCTCAGGGGAGTTGCTGTTCACGGTTTTCACAGGTTAACTGCTATTGTTGTTATTATTATTAGCTGGCATGCAGAGTGGCACACTTCAACAAACCCCGGCAGTAGTGACAAGCTACCACTTTAGCAAAGTTTGACTAATTGATTAAAAAAAGTTTTTGAACATTGGCATGTACATGAAACACTTGATGATGTAGATGGAAATAAAGATAAACAAGAAAATGAATTCTCTTCTCCAGGAGGTTACATTCTAATGGAGACATAGGTGCAGACATAAACCATTCTAATATAAAGTCCAGATAGAAGGACAGGTCACGGCCGGGCGCGGTGGCTCACGCCTGTAATCCCAGCACTTTGGGAGGCCGAGGCGGGTGGATTATGAGGTCAGGAGATTGAGACCATCCTGGCTAACACGGTGAAACCCTGTCTCTACTAAAAATACAAAAAAATGAGCCGGGCTTGGTGGCGGGTGCCTGTAGTCCCAGTTACTCAAGAGGCTGAGGCAGGAGAATGGCGTGAACCCAGGAGACAGAGCTTGCAGTGAGTCGAGATCGCGCCACTCCACTCCAGCCTGGGCGACAGAGCGAAGACTCCATCTCAAAAAAAAAAAAAAAAAAAAAAAAGGACAGGTTACAGTTATAATGCTCACACCTGCTAAGTTGAAGGAGAGCATTTTCACCTAGGAGGCCACCAGATAGATGTCTGTTGACTTCCTGGGATATCCTGATTCTGTTTTTGCTTAAGAAACCAACATCTGACCCGGCGCGGTGGCTCGTACCTGTAATCCCAGCACTTTGGAAGGCCGAGGTGGGCAGATCACTTGAGGCTAGGAGTTCAAGACCAGCCTGGGCAACATGGTGAAACCCCGTCTCTATTAAAAATGCAAAAAAAAATTAGCCAGGTTTGATGACGGGCCCCTGTAATCCCAGCTACTCTGGAGGGCTGAGGTAGGAGAATCACTTAAACCAGGGAGGCAGGGTTGCAGTGAGCCGAGATAGCGCCACTGCACTCCAGCCCAGGCAACAGAGTAAGACTCCATCTCAAAAAAAAAAAAAAGCCAACATCAAGGTTAAAAAAGGCAACTGTGGCCAGGCACGGTGGCTCACACCTGTAATCCCAATGCTTTGGGAGGCCGAGGTGGGCAGATCACTTGAGGTCAGGAGTTCAAGACCAGCCTGGGCAACATGGCGAAATCCTATCTCTACTAAAAATACAACAAAAATTAGCCAGGTGTTGTGGCGGTCGCCTGTAGTCCCAACTACTCGCGAGGCTGAGGTACAAGAATCGCTTGAACCCAGGAGGCGGTAGCTGCAGTGAGCCGAGATCGCGCCACTGTACTCCAGTCTGGGCAACACAGTAAGACTCTGTCTCAAAAAAAAAAGAAGAAAAAAAGGCAATTGTAACATGTCAAGCACCATAAAATAGATACTTAGTAATGCCTTATGTGCATATAAGAGGAGTTTGCTATGTTATCATTTTCTTTTAAATTGATCTCTTAAATTAGTCAAATAGGTTGACCTGTTAATCACTTCCCTTTTGCTTCTCTTCCCTGTTCCTTCGGGCAACTAACATGAGAACAAACAAAGTTCAGTACCAGGAATAAAGTTGACTCATACTCTTAGGCTTTCTCTCCTTTTAGAACACATTGATTGAAGACTTGGAGTGGGGTGACATTCATTCTCATAGGGAAAAAGATAAAGTCGCCAAAGCAGAAAGGTTAAGAAGGGAGCAGGGAATATGAGGTGAAGAACTAGGAAACAGTGGCTATTGGACTGTCTTTTTTTTTTTTTTTGAGACAGTCTCACTCTGTTGCCCAGGCTGGAGTGCAGTGGCATGATCTCAGCACTCTGCAACCTCCGCCTCCCGGGTTCAAGTGATTCTCCTGCTTCAGCCTCCCTGTAGCTGGGATTACAGGTGCATGCCACCACGTCCAGCTAATTTTTTCATATATTATTTTTTAGTAGAGACAGGGTTTCACCATATTGACCGGACTGAATTAGACTGCTTTTGACAAAGTTTCTTCATCTCAGAAGAAAAGTCTGTTTCGTGAAGATCATATTCCAGGTAGAAAGATGAAGATGAGTAGAAATCCCACATATTCTGTCCCAACATCTTAGAGGAAGAGAATAAGTTGTGACAACACAAATAGTATCTTTGTGACCTGGTACCAGTCCATGCTTTCCGGGTCTAGAAAATTTAAAAACAAAATGGATAGAGTACAGGTTCCAATACACAAAATTAGCAGTAAAGAGAGGTGGACTGAGCTGGGCGCAGTGGCTCACACCTGTAATCCCAGCACTTTGGGAGCCCAAGGAGGGTGGATCACCTGAGATCGGGAGTTTGAGACCAGCCTGACCAATATGGAGAAACCCCATCTCTACTAAAAATACAAAATTAACTAGGCGTGGTGGCGCATGCCTATAGTCCTAGCTACTCAGGAGGCTGAGGCGGGAGAATCCTTTGAATCCAGGAGGCAGAGGTTGCGGTGAGTTGAGATTGCATCATTGCACTCTAGCCTAAGCAACAAGAGCGAAACTCTGTCTCAAAAAAAAAAAAAAAAAAAAAGAGGTGGACCGTTTTCAAGGCAGAAATCTCAATGGTGCCACTGAGTAATTTCAGGTCAAGAGATAAATGGCCAGACGCAGTGGCTCACCCCTATAATCCCAGTACTTTGGGAAGACGAAGTGGCTGGGTCACTTGAGGTCAGGAGTTCAAGACCAGCCTGACCAACATGGTGAAACCCCATCTCTAATAAAAATACAAAAATTAGCCAGGCATGGTGGCGGGTGCCTGTAATCCCAGGTAGTTGGGAGGCTGAGGCAGGTGAATCGATTGAACCTGGGGGGCGGAGTTTGCAGTGAGCTGAGATCACACCACTGCACTCCACGCTGAGCAACAGAGTGAGACTGTCTCAAAACCACAACCACAACAACAACAACAACAAAACAAGAGGGTAGAATTGATGTCTCTCCCTCCAGTGAGTTCTTAAAGGCTTTTTTTTTTCTGTGTCATGCCTTTGTTTCTTTACTATCTAAATTATCACTGAAGTCTGTATATGCTATTGAAAATATTCGTTTGTCTTCATATAAACTCTTAACTACTTAAGGGCAGCAATCATGTCTTCATACCCTCAGTGGCAACTAGCTCAGTGCCGACTCTTATTAGGTCATTAAGAAATGTCACTGGATTTGATGTTTTAGGAGAATTGGACTTCAAGGGTAAACAGCTGCAAGGTCTGGCAATCCATAGGTCTGGCCAAGAATTACCACGAGGCAAGACAACATTTGGCAATTACAAGGGCATTCCAGTGAAGTGGAGTGTCAGATTTTGCAATAGTTCTGCAAATAAAATAGATTTTTCTGGAGCGGCTGGGTTCTTGGAAAAACACGCGTTGATGGCAAAAATTAATCTGGGTCCCACTTTTATAGAGATCACGCAAGATATAATCTCTGCCAGAGTCAAATAAGAAGTGGTGATATTAATAAATTTTCTGGGCCGGGCGCAGTGGTTCACACCTGTAATCCCAGCACTTTGGGAGGCCGAGGCAGGCAGATCACGAGGTCAGGAGTTCGAGACAAGCCTGGTCAACATGGTGAAATCCCATCTCTACTAAAAATACAAAAATTAGCCAGGCATGGTGCCACATGCCTGTAATCCCAGTTACTCAGGAGGCTAAGGCAGGAGAATCACTTGAAGCCAGGAGGCAGAGGTGGCAGTAAGCCAAGATCATGCCGCTGCACTCCAGCCTGGGCAACACAGCAAGACTCTGTTTCAAAAAATAAAAAAAATAAATTTTCTGGGTTGTACAAGGAATTATGCTAGGTATTATACATGCAGATTTTTTTTTTTTTGAGACGGAGTCTTACTCTGTTGCCCAGGTTGGAGTGCAGTGGCATAATCTCAGCTCACTGCAACCTCCGCTTCCTGGGTTCAAGCAATTCTCCTGCCTCAGCCTCCCAAGTAGCTGGGACTACAGGTGCATGCCACCACACCCAGCTAATTTTTGTAGTTTTAGTAGAGATAGGGGTTTCACCATGTTAGCCAGACTGGTCTCGAACCCCTGACCTTAGGTGATCCACCTGCCTTGGCCTCCCAAAGTGCTGGGATTTCAGGTGTGAGCCACTGTGCCCAGCCTGCAGAATTTTTTTTCTTTTTGAGACAGAGTCTCGCTCCGTCACCCAGGCTGGAGTGCAGTGGCGCGATCTGGGCTCACTGTAAGCTCCACCTACCGGGTTCATGCCATTCTCCTGCCTCAGCCTCCTGAGGATCTGGGACTACAGGAGTCCGCCACCACGCCCAGCTAATTTTTTGTATTTTTAGTAGAGACAGGGTTTCACCGTGTTAGCCAGGATAGTCTCAATCTTCTGACCTCGTGATCAGCCCACCTCGGCCTCCGAAAGAGCTGGGATTACAGGCATGAGCCACCGTGCCCGGCCCAGAATATTTTTTAAAGTAAGATGTGATTACTGTCCTCAAGCTTAAAACCTTAGTGAGAAGTTAATATAGATGTACATAAAATAATCAGAGAATGATATGAATGTTACATTGAGTTAGAAATTAAACATTACATTACTGTCCTAAGATGGTAGCCATGAGATGGGTCTTGGGACTCCTCAAATTGTTGTAGGTATTTGCCCCCCATCCTGAGGTCATTTGAAACATAATAAAGTTTATAGCTTTAACACCTCCCCCACCACTCCACCTTACCACCACCTATTAATAGGTCAAGATAGCATTTCACTTGCCTGGTGCAATAATGTGCCTCATATACCGTCTAGCCTCTGAGCTAGGATCTACAACCCCAACTTATAGACTAAGATTCACTTCATTTCAATGACTCAATTCTTCCAGCTGGAAGATCATGAGGAGACTAGGTCTTTAGTTCAAAGAGTCAGTCTCAGCCCTGCTTGGTGGCTCATGCCTGTAATCCCAGCACTTTGGGAGGTGAGGTGGGAGGACTGCTTGAGGCCAGGAGTTGGAGACCAAAGTGGGTAATAAGGTGAGACCCTGTTTCTACCAATCAATCAATCAATCAATAATAAATAAAAGAAACTGGCTGAGACCCTGTCTCAAAAGAAAAGTCTCAAAGGTAATCAGGACTTTGGGGATGGGAAAAGAGTTCCTGACTTATACTTCCCTAGGACTAAATTTCTTGCCAGTAACTTTTCTGCCTCTGAATAGAGTTACAGACCCCAAAATTATCTTGTCACTGGGATCTCTGGTTTCTATGGCCGGGGGTTTTGGATGTCAACTTTCTGTGCACCTGAATCCTGAATCTGTATAAATTGTCCAATGCATCTTAGATTGTTTTTGGAATTTTTTTTTTTTTTTTTGAGACGGAGTCTCACTCTGTCACCCAGGCTGGAGTGCAATAGCGCAATCTTGGCTCACTGCAGCCTCTGCCTCCCAGATTCAAGTGATTCTCCTGCCTCAGCCTCCCGAGTAGCTGGGATTACAAGCGCCTGCCACCACACCCAGCTAATTTTTGTATTTTTAGTAGAGACAGGGTTTCGCCATGTTGCCCAGGCTGGTCTTGAACTCCTAACCTCTAGTGGATCTGCCTGCCTCAGCCTCCCAAAGTGCTGAGATTATAGGCGTGAGCCACCGCGCCCAGCCTATTTTTGGAATTTTTATCATAGTATAAGTAAAAATTTTCTGCCAAGGTCCCAGGGGCTAGTTCTGGCAAAAGAATCACAGGGAAGATTCTACACAGCACACTGGTAGCCTAAGGGTCTCTTATTTCATCATGTGTCTTACTACAAGGCAACAATGAGTGAGAGGCTGCAGCTTTGTGATGAGCTCATAGTCATCAACTGGTTTGTGATAGGAACAGTAACTAAAGAAGATTTCTGCTTTAAGGTTTAAGGGAATGAAAGGGTTATTTCAGGAAGAAGAAGAAAAAAAAACCCACCACAGAATGGATTAGCTAGCAAGGTGACTATCCAGACATGATATGCCTTAGCATTTACATCAGATCAAATAAGATAATGCCCAAATACCCAGCTCAGTTCCTGGCACTCAACAAATATTAGTTCTTTTTTTTTTTGTTTTTTTTTTTTGAGGCAGAACTCTCACTCTGTCACCCAGGCTGGAGTGCAGCCAGTTCTCTTCCTCTTGTATAGAGATTTTACAGTTTACAAACTGCTTCTGCATACATTAAATCCCCCCCGCCCAAAACCTTCTGAATCAGATATTTCCCCCAGAGTAGTGATTTCACCTCCTAAAAGTATTGCAAGGCTGAAAGTCAGATCCAGGTCTTTAGACACCAAAATGAGTTCTCTTTTCTCCATAGCCCAAATCCTTCTATTGCTTTGTCCTAGATTTAAGATTGCAAAGGTTGGATTAGCGTGCTAAGAATGAGATGGAAAAGAAAGAATGATCTGTGAGTTCCTGTGTAGCTGAGGTTATCAGGGCCTTATTATTATATACCTTTATTTGTATTAATAAAATAACAATACTGCATTTTATCTGTCCCAAGAAATATATAGTTATATTGTAATATCTCAGAAATCAAGATGTGTCTTTTTTTTTTTTTTTTGAGACAGTCTTGCTCTGTTGCCTAGGCTGGAGTGCAGTGGCGCGATCTAGGGTCACTGCAACCTCTGCCTCCCAGGTTCAAGCGATTCTCCTGCCTCAGCCTCCCGAGTAGCTGGGATTACAGGTGCCCACCACGACGCCTGGCTAATTTTTGTATTTTTAGTAGAGATGAGGTTTCACCATGTTGGCCAGGCTTGTCTTGAATTCCTGACGTCGTGATCCACGTGCCTTGACCTCCCAAAGTGCTGGGATTACAGACGTGAGCCACCGCGCCCGGCCAAGATGTGTCTTAAAACTGATGTTTTACAGTTGTTTCTTCTGCTCAGCAGTTGTGCTATAGTTGTCATTGTCTTTTTTTTTTTTTTTTTTTTTTTTCTGAGACGGAGTTTCACTCTTGTTGCCCAGGCTGGAGTGCAATGGTGTGATCTCAGCTCACTGCAACCTCTGCCTCCCAGGTTCAAGCAATTCTCCTGCCTCAGCCTCCCGAGTAGCTGGGATTACAGGCATGCACCACCATGCCCGGCTAATTTTGTATTTGTAGTAGAGACGGGGTTTCTCCATGTTGAGGCTGGTCTCGAACTCCTGACCTCAGGTGATCCGCCGGCCTCGGCCACTCAAAGTGCTAGGATTACAGGCATGAGCCACCACACCCAGCCGTCATTGTCTATTCATGCCCAAACTTGATTGATTGTTAATCCTGGTGGCATGACTGGAAAACTGAAACTCATAGCCCTTTCAGTTTGTTCATTTAAGTATCATTTAAGCAAGCTATATGAATCCTACTTGTTGCCTGAAAACCTTTCATTGACACCTTCCTGTAAGATCAAGAAAGCATTAGCATCAAAACTTGCAGACTGGATGTCAGAGACTTGGAAGAAAAACTCAGATAAAAATAGTCTGGCCAGGCACGATGGCTCATGCCTGTAATCCCAGCACTTTGGGAGGCCAAGGCAGGTGGATCACCTGAGGTCAGGGGTTCGAGACCAGGCTGGCCAACATGGTGAAACTTCATCTCTACTAAAAATACAAAAAAAAAAAAAAAATTAGCTGGGCATGGTGGCAGGCACCTGTAATCCCAGCTGCTTGGGAGGCTGAGGCAGGAGAATTGCTTGAACCCGGGAGGTGGAGGTTGCAGTGAGCCGAGATCACACCACTGCACTCCAGCCTTGGTGATTGAGGGAGATTCTGTCTCAAAAACAAACAAACAAAAAAGGTGAAGACCTGAAGACCTGCCTAAGGAACATTACATCACCAGTGCTCTCGAGGCCACACTTGTAATATTATATTGAAAAATACAGACATAGGCCGGGCTTGGTGGCTAATGCCTGTAATCCCAGCACTTTGGGAGGCCAACACAGGTGGATCATCTGAGGTCAAGAGTTCAAGACCAGCCTGGCCAACATGGTGAAACCCTGTCTCCACTAAAAACACAAAAAATTAGCCGGGCCTGGTGGCGCATGCCTGTAATCCCAGCTACTCGGGAGGCTGAGGCAGGAGAATTGCTTGAACCCAGGAGACAGAGGTTGCAGTGAGCTGAGATCATGCCATTGCACTCCAGCCTGGGCAACAAGAGCAAAACTCTGTCTCAAAAAAAAAAAAAAAAAAGGAAGAAAATACAGACATTGATGATTCAGAGTCAAAAGTGATTCAGAGACAGACTCTGAATGTGAAGACATTTTGGACTACCCTACCTAAATAGTTTTCATTATATTTTCCTTTTATTAAAGCACAAGTGTGATATGATAAAAATCAATGTTCAGGTTCAATGAGAATAGTCATATTTGTATATATATGCCTCATAATTTATATAGTCAACTCATTTTGATCATTATAATAACGTTGTGACATTAGTAGCAAAATATTATCTCCAATTTTACCTCTGGGAAAAATAAGGCAGATTAAATACTCAACCATGGAATCAGGACTCATCCTAATTAAGTCTCATCCTAATTAAATCTTCTAGAATAAGCCTAAAATCCTTCTTTTCCCTCTAAAATTTCAAGACTTGTATCAATTTTAGAGCCACTGTTTGTTTCTTTCTGAGAGCCACTGTTTTTATTTTATTTATTTATTTTTTTGAGACTGAGTTTTGCTTTTATCGCCCAGGCTGGAGTACAATGGCGTGATCTCAGCTCACTGCAACCTCCGCCTCCTGGATTCAAGTGATTCTCCTGCTTCAGCTTCCTGAGTAGCTGGGATTATAGGTGGCCGCCACCACACCCAGCTAATTTTTGTGTTTTTAGTAGAGATGGGTTTTCACCATGTTTGCAGGCTGGTCTCAAACTCCTGACCTCAGGTGATCCACCTACCTTGGCCTCCCAAAGTGCTAGGATTACAGGCATGAGCCACCACGCCCGGCCGAGAACCACTGTTTTTAAAAAATTGAGCAAATTTGGTGAGATTGATGATAATATAATTCGGAATGAATACTGAACATGACTCCTTTTTGGCAAGGGAAGTCAACTATCAGAATTGTAACAAATCACTATTACACACAGCCTAGTACTTTGCATAGCAAAGTACATAAAAGGTACTAAATAAATAATAGGAGTTGTATTACTCAGGGCAATTAACACTGACTATCCCAGCAGTCAGACTCTAAATCCTCAGTGGTTTAAACAACAAACATTTATATCTCACACATGTCATCTATCTAGCACAGGTTGGCAAGCAGTGAAAGTTCAGTGTTGCTCAACTCCTCACCTTCACTCAGTGCTATGGTTTGAATGTTTGTGTCCCCTCCAAAATTCATGTAGGAACTTAATGCCCAAAGTTATATTAACTATTAAAAGGTGGGACCTTTATGAGGTGAGTAAGTCATGAGTGCTCCACCCTCATGAATGGAATTAATGCTTTATAAGGGAGGCTTTACACAGCATTTCTCTCTTTTTACCCTTCCATCCCTTCCACGATGTGAGGACGAGGAGCCACTGGAAGCACAGACATCAAACTAGAATAGACTAGACTAGATATCAGACCTATTGTTGCCTTCATTTTGGAAATCTCAGCCTCCAGAACTGTAAAAAATGCATTTCTATTATTTATACATTACCCATTCTCAGGGTTTTTGTTTGTTTGTTTTTTGTTTTTTTGAGATAGTCTCGCTTTGTTGCTTAGGCTGGAGTACAGTGGTGCTCACTGCAACCTCCGCCTCCCCGGTTCAAGCAGTTCTTTTGCCTCAGCCTTCCCAGTAGTTGGGATTACAGGTGTGTGCCACTATGCCCAGCTAATTTTTTGTATTTTTAGTAGAGACAGGGTTTTGCCATGTTGGCCAGGCTGGTCTCGAACTTCTGGCCTCAGGTGATCCACCTGCCTCGGCCTCCCAAAGTGCTAGGATTACAGGCATGAATCACCGTGCCCTTTGGGAGGCCAAGATGGGTGGATAACCTATGGTCAGGAGTTCCAGACCAGCCTGGCCAATATGGTGAAACCCTATCTCTACTAAAGTACAATACTTCCTCAGATGGAAATGAGGAAAATGGTATTAGAAACTGGAGGAAAAGCCATTCTTGTGGCAAAGAACTTGACTGAATTGTTTCTGTGTCCTAACGTTTTATGAATGGCAGAACTTGTGAGTGATGAACCAGGATATTTGGCAGAATTATCTGAGCAAAGTGTTGAAGGTTCTGCATGGCTTCTTTTGATTGCTTATAGTAAAATGTAAGAAGGGAGAAATGAATTAAAGATAGAACTAAAAGGGAAGCAGAAGATTTGGAAACTTCTCAGCCTGGTGTTAAAGAAAAATCTGAGGCACAAGAGTTTATTTGAGTGAGATGCAATTCATGAGTTGGGGAACACCAGACTAAAAGAAGTTTAGTGTCCCAATGATGAAATGTCAGGTATTTATTGGGAAAATGGAGAAGCAAAATAAATTATTTGATTGGCTTCCAATTACAAAATTCCTTTTTTTAGGTACTTGTTGGCAAGCCCCTAATCACATAATCATACTTATCATGGCTGGGGTTGAGTTTTAGTTTTGTCTAGCATGAACCATCAGAAATTACCCAACTTAAGTTTTTGCAGTTTAAGCAAGATTTAGGTTATTTTTTATTTTATTTTTTAATTTTTTTGAGACAGAGTCTCTCTCTGTCGCCCAGGCTTCAGTGCAGTGGTGCGATGTCGGCTCACTGCAAGCTCTACCTCCCAGGTTCACGCCATTCTCCTGCCTCAGCCTCCAGAGTAGCTGGGACTACAGGCACCCGCCATGACGCCCAGCTAATTTTTTTGTATTTTTAGTAGAGACGGGGTTTCACCGTGTTAGCCAGGATGGAGATTCAGGTTATTTTTAAGGCCTCTGGTTTTGTCTGCTCAAAAAGTTTTCTGGCCAAGTCTCCATTTTAATTTAAACACTGGCAGGGTTGCAAAGCATATTTCAGAAAGCATACCAAGGATGTGGCCAAGAGGCTATTTGATAAAATTAATAGGGATAGGAGGAAGCCAGATGCTATTCTCAGGACAATGGAACAATGACCCTGAAGGCATTTCAGAGATCTCTGAGGCTGCTACTCCCATCACAGGCCCAGAGTGCTAGTGCCTTGAGGGAAGAAAGGCTTCAAAGGAGGGACCTTGGGGCTCTCAATATTGCCTCAAGTCTGTTCCCTGCATTCAGGTGCAGAACTCCTTGGCTGCCCCAGCTGTGGTTCAAGTGGGCCCAAGTGAGGCTTGGGCTGCTGCTCCAGGAGGCACAAGCGATAAACTTCAGTGGGATCCTTGTGCTGCCAGCTCTGCAGGCATGCAGACTGCAACACTTGTGGAGGCATTGCTACCTCCACCTAGATTTCAAAGGCTCTCTCTGAAAGCCTCAGGGCCCAGGTAGAGAGCTGCCAGGGATACTGCAGAGAACCTCCACTAGGCAATGTCAAATGGAGTTGTGGGTTAAGGCCATTGTAGAGAGCCCTGTCAAGTACAGTATCTAGTGGGGCCATGGGGAAGGGTCAGCTCTACTCCCCCAACCCCTGGCAAGACCCAAAACCTAGAGAGCCACCAGTGTGCAGCATCAGTCAGGGAGAGCTGCAGCATGGGCTATGCCCAGTGATGCCATAGGAATGCAGCTGTCCAGGGCTTTGGGGGCCCAACCCTCACCCCAGGGTGTCCAGAAGGTCGCACATAGAGTCAAAGATTGTTTTTCTGAAGCTTCAAGATTTAAAGTTTGCCTTGTTGGATTTTGGACTTACTTGAGACCTGTTACCCATTTCTTCTTGCCTATTGCTCCCTTTTAGAATGGGAATGTCTGTCGTATGCCTGTACACCATTGTATTTTGGAAGCACATAACTTGATTTCACAGGCTCACAACGGGAGAGGAATTTGCCTCATGATGAATTGTACCTTGAGTCACATCCAAATGTTATGAAGATGATATTTAGATGAGACTTCAGAGTCAGACTCTAAAGTTGATGCTGGAACAAGTTAAGACTTTTGATGTTATTGGGATGGAATGATTATATTTTGTAAGTAAGAAGGACATATATTTTGGGGGGCCAGGGGTGGAATTCTACAGTTTGTGTCTCCTCCAAAACTCATATTGAAATTTAATCTACAATGAAACACTCTTTAAGAGGTAGGGCCTTCAGAGGGTAGGCCCTGAGGGCTCCACTCTCACAGTGCTTTAGAAGAGGACTTGAGGGGGTGGGTTTGCCCCTTCTGTCTCTTCCTCCATGTAAGGACACAGATTTCAGACCCTCTGAAAAATGCAGCAACAAGGCATTATCTACTAGTGGCTTGATATTGGACTTTGCAGACTCCAGAACTGTGAGAAACGAATTCCTATTATTTGTAAATTATCTAGTCTTAGGTATGTTGCTATAGCAGCACAAACGGACTATGAGACTCAGTAACCAAAATGACTCAAATTATATCTTGTGGCTGAACCATGTGGAATATTAACCTCTGGGGTTGTGTGACAGGTAATAACAGGGTTGGGGAGCACATTAGCTTATACCTTCCTCAGCCTAAAAATGATACATGTCATTTCCTTGATAGGCCATTAGCTTGCTGTAATCACATGATCCAAACCTAACTGTAAGGGATGCTGGGAAAAGCAGGGGAGCAGTGGAATATTTGATGAGTACTGTTTATACAACAGCAGTTCTATAAATATTTCCTTGAGGGCAAGAATCTGTTTTATTTACTGATATTCCCAAACATCTAGAAAAGTGCCTGACATTTAGTGTTCACTAATAATTACTGAATCAATTAATTGATGAATTAATAAATGGCATGTGAAGCTGGTATGAATCTATTCTGAAAAGTTGCCAGATAGAATGATATGCAAGTTCAGGTTAATATTTCAGCAACAATTAGTGTTAACAAGAAAAAGGTATTTTGGTAAGAATTTATTTGAAGTTGACTAACATTCTCAAATGTAGTTACAGATTACATAACATCTTTTTTACAGGAGCTTAACAGTTCTTTAAATTGACAAAAATGTGAGGAAAGACAACAGTTAATTCTAAAAGCCAGTTTGGATTTTTTGTTTCATTTAAAAACAAACAGCCTGTGGCCGGGCACGGTGGCTCACACTTGTAATCCCAGCACGTTGGGAGGCCAAGGTGGGCAGATTACAAGGTCAGGAGTTCGAGACCAGCCTGGCCAACATGGTGACACCCCATCTCTACTAAAATTACAAAAATTAGCTGGGCGTGGTGGTGCGCACCTGTAGTCCCAGCTCCTCGGGAGGCTGAGGCAGAAGAATCGCTTGAACCCAGGAGGCGGAGGTTGCAGTGAGCCGAGATCGCGCCACTGTACTCCAGCCTGGGCCACACAGTGAGACCCTGTCTCAAAAAAGAAAACAAAATGAACAGCCTGCAGTCTTCCTAGAAATGACTGTTTAGGGAGTTGGGAACAGCTTGCCATGGAGAGAATTTAAGATTGTCATAATAGGAAAAGGTAAGGAGTAGCGAGGTAGGGGGAAACATTCAATAAACAGCAGTCCTTTTCACTCTAATAGAAAAACCTGTTCTCAGTTTTACCAGCATATTTAGAAAGGCACAAAGAGTTCAATATTGGAGTTTTCAGAAAGGAATCTCAAAGTGATTATGAGATGTAATCATTCATCTTTCATTCATCATCCAAATAGGTACAAAGCACAATGCCCAAGATTGTGCTAAGAATCGAGGTGCAAAAGATAGGATTTCTATGCTAATGAAACTTCTAGTCTAATTGGGAAGATAGACATTGAACAACTATTACAATAAGCGTGACATTGGTTGCAAAAAGGGAAGTGCCAGGTGCTATAAAGTGACAGACTGGGGAACTACGGGTTTTGGGCAGTAGAAAAGTAGGATCTGAAACAATCTCAAGAAATTGATGTTTCAACTTAACTCCAAAAGATAAGGACGATTTATTTGGCAATGGAAAAGTGAGGGGAAGACAACTCCAGACGGTGGGAATAGCCTGTCCTCACAACCCTACTATGAAGTCACACAGGATTACATGCTTAATTATATAGCTGGAGAAGTTGCAGAAGAAGAAAGTGACTTGTTCAAGGGACACTGTTTAACAGGGCACTTAATTAGGACCATAGGCCGCATTCCTAACCTTTTTAGGGCAAGGCACACAATTCTCTTTCTAAGGAAGACTCTCTTTCCTCACCAAAATAGTAGCTGAGTCAATCACTCCTATAGCCCATCAGGCACATCAACCAAGCATGAGCTATACTGATATAAAAGATATCAATTTATAATCTGTCCCACAGCTTTCAGGATGAGAACTAAAGAGCCCTAAAGGTCTCTCATGTAGGAAGAGGGTGGTGTGTAGTGGCAGAGAGGGAAGCTTCATCAGTGAGAGCCAAGTGCTAAAAGCAGCTGCGTGTGACATTTCCGTCAGCAGTCCTTCCTCCCTCATTGTGTATGAGACACACATCAGATGCTCTGGTTTATGATTTCAGCTTCAGAGTACATACCCTTTGAGATCCAAGCTCACATATCTCTTCCGGTGGCATGGTGCCTTTTTATTAACTGGCTTTAAAACCCATCTCGGAGTAGTAACTACCCAAATGCTGAGAATATTGGGACCCCTTTCTCCTACCCTCATGGTTTGGAAACGTGTGGACTGGTTGACTCTCAGGCCCTAGGTGCCTGCCTAGTCTCCCTGCTTGCTAGAAAGTGACAAAGCACATGCTACCAAAAAGATTCTGCACAGATGCCAGAATCATGTCAGAACACAAGGTCACATACAGTACTGTCTTCCCCATTTATATCAGCCCAGAGGACAATCTACTCTCTTACCTTTGGAAGACAAAATAGAGGCTAACTTTTGGAGGTCCTAGGTAAGCACCACTTTATTTTTCATTTTCCTTTATTTTTTTGAGACAGAGTCTCACTCTGTCACCCAGGCTGGAGTACAGTGGCACCATCTCTGCAACCTCTACCTCCTGAGTTCAAGTGATTCTCCTGCCTCAGCCTCCCAAGAGTAGCTGGGATTACAGGCGTGGGCCACATGCCTGGTTAATTTTTGTATTTTTTTTTTAACCTTCAGGAACAATTTATTCCATTTTCTAGGAGTTACTCTCTGACTTCTGTCTTTCATTTGGCCCTGTAGTAAATGCTGTAATGTTCTGTTCAGGTGAGAACAATCCCAAGAGACAAAAAGGAGACAGATTTCAAATCGGCTTTGCCCTCCAATGGGAAATTTAAGGACAAGTATTGCTGACTCAGAGAAAAAAATGTCTTTTTTTGCCTTAAGTACTCATCTCCTCCCTGGTTAATATAATAACTTTTTATAAATATGACTTCAAAAATCCATTAAAGGAAATCTTAGTACCTGTAAAGAATGTAACATATTCTGATATGTGAGATTTCTTTTTATTATTATACTTTAATTTCTAGGGTACATGTGCACAACGTGCAGGTTTGTTACATATGTATACATGTGCCATGTTGGTGTGCTGCACCCATTAACCCATCATTTACATTAGGTATTTCTCTTAATGCTATCCCTCCCAATTTTTGTATTTTTAGCAGAGACAGAGTTTCGCCATGATGGCCAGGCTGGTCTCAAACTCCTGGCCTGGCCTCAAGTGATCCGCCTGCCTGGGCCTCCCAAAGTGCCAGGATTACAGGCATGAGACACTGCAGCTGGCCAGCATTTAATTAGGTAGATCAGATTTAGGGAAGGTCAAGTTTTTGCCCTTTCATATTGTGTTTACTCCCCCAGGTAAATTAAAGTAGGAAAAATCCATTATTTACGGCTGGGCGTGGTGGCTCACGCCTATAATCCCAACACTTTGGGAGAATTGCTTGAACCCGGGAGGCGGAGGTTGTAGTGAGCTGAGATCGTGCCACTGCACTCCAGCCTGGGCAACAAGAACAAAACTCTGCCTCAAAAAAAAAAAAAAAAAAGAAAAATCTATTATTTACAGGGGAGATAGAGGAAAGTCCTTATAGGCTTTTGCTTCTTTGATTTGATAGCACAGATCCTGATTTCACTGAGATGCCAGCAAATGAAAAGATAAGGTTGCATACTGACTTGTCTCTAAAACTTTAAAAGTTCCTGATACAGTTCCTCATTTCAAAATGTATTACTTTAGAGATTTCTGTTATGTATTTGTGTTGAAATCTGTTACTTGCTTCCAAAAGTGCTTGGTCATATAATCTCTCAGATTACTTCCCCAAATTATCCCAATACTTCTCAAATTATCTCAATGGTAATGAAAACCATTGGAAAATAAATGTCAGAGTTTTCTTTTTTTTTTTTTTTTTGAGACAGAATCTTGCTCTGTCACCCAGGTTGGAGTGCAGTGGTGCGATCTCACTGCAACTGCCTCACGAGTTCAAGCGATTCTCTTGCCTCAGCCTCCTGAGTAGCTGGGATTACAGGCATGTACATCGATGCCCAGCTCATTTTTGTATTTTTAGTAGAGATGAAGTTTTGCCATGTTGGCCAGGCTGGTCTCTAACTCCTGACTTCAGGTGATCCATCTGCCTTGGCCTCCCAAAGTGTTAGGATTACAGGCATGAGCCACCGTGCCCAGCTAAAGAGTTTTCTTTTCTTTTTCTTGTTTTTTTTGAGATGGAGTCTCATTCTGTCACCGAGGCTGGAGTGCAATGGCTCGATCTCTGCTCACTGCAAGCTCTGCCTCCTGGGTTCATGCCATTCTCCTGCCTCAGCCTCCCAAGTAGCTGGGACTACAGGCACCCACCACCAAGGCCGGCTAATTTTTTTTATTTTTAGTACAGACGGGGTTTCACCGTGTTAGCCAGGATGGTCTCGATCTCCTGACCTCGTGAGCCACCAGCCTTGGCCTCCCAAAGTGCTGGGATTACAGGCGTGAGCCACCGCGCTCGGCTGCCAAGAGTTTTCTTTTTAATAAACAAAATTATAATAATGACAATAATCTGTTCTGAACTAAACGGCAGCAGTGTCTGAACACCAAGACTGTTTGCTTTATTAATAGGTGGCCACATTTTGTTTTGTCTCAGGAATCTGTTCATAACCAGATATTAGACAGAATTTTGGATTATTTGAATGATGGGTTGGCTCTGGAAGGAGCATGCTAAAGTTGGGTGAGGCTATATAAGGGCTTCTTAGTCCACATTATTTCTCAAACCTCCATAAGTACATATATGTCTGGAGTAATAGTAACTATTTCTTAGTTTATGGCAAGGTAACGTCTGGTAAAATCCATTCATTTAGTCTACAAATATTCAAAGAAAACCTACTATATTCATTGTACTGATGAATAAGATACGATTCCTGACTTATATGTATAATTTCGTAGAGACTATTATATACTAGACTGAACTCCAAGGTCAGGGTTTAGGTCTGTTTCAATTTCCATTTTATATCCAGGGATAGCACAGAATCAGCCTCATGGTAGGAGCTCAATAAATAACTGGTTGAACAGGCCAAGCGTGGTGGTTCACACCTGTGATCCCAGCACTTTGGGAGGCCGAGGCAGGTGCGTCACTTAAGGTCAGGAGTTGGAGAACCAGCCTGGCCAACATGGTGAAACCGCGTTTCTACTAAATAAATCCAAAAATTAGCCAGGCGTGGTGGTGTGTGCCTGTAATCCCAGGACTCGGGAGGCTGAGGCAGGAGAATCTCTTGAACCTGGGAGGCAGAGGTTGCAGTGAGCCAAGATCGCACCTTTGCACTCCAGCCTTGGCAACCAGAGTGAAACTCCATCTCAAAAAAAAAATTAGTTTAATGTCTAAATATATGAACAAAAATGTACATGATGTTAGCTTTCTAACACAAAGATGTATACCATTTTTTGACAACGACATTTTGTTTGTTAATCAAAATTACATCAAACATTTCTAACATCAGCCATCAATAACCCATACTTTAGCCAGGCCTGTGGGAAGTTAATTTTAATTTTTACTTCCTTTTCTTTTCTTTTTTTTTTCTGAGATGGAGTCTGGCTCTGTTGCCCAGGCTGGAGTGCAGTGGTGCAATCTCAGCTCACTGCAACCTCCTCCTCCTGGGTTCAAGCAATTCTCCTGCCTCAACCTCCCGAGTAGCTGGGATTACAGACATGCGCCACCATACCTAGCTAATTTTTGTATTTTTAGTGGGGACGGGATTTCACCATGTTGGTCAGGCTGGACTCAAAGTCCTGACCTCATGATCCACCAGCCTCGGCCTCCCAAATTGCTGGGATTTACAGGCACGAGCCACCGTTCCTGGACCATTTTTACTTCTTGTAATCAGACTGTGGCCTTCAGGGAAATTAACACTGGGGAAAAAAGGATGATGTTTGAAAGAAAGGGATATTTAAATCAACACTATGAAGTTTTATTTAGAGGTTTTATTTAAAACATGCTATTCTGAAGACAACTACAAAGTGTGTGCATGGTGGGGTTTTTTCATTTTATTTTATTTTATTTTTTTTGGCAAATGCCAATTCAAAAATAGGAAGAGGCTGTGGGCAGAGTGGCTCCCGCCTGCAATTCCAATGTTTCAGGAGGCCGAGGCAAGAAGATTCATTGAGGTTATGAGTTCAAGACAAGCCTGGGAAACATAGTGAGTCCCCTTATCTACAAAAAATTTTAAAAATTAGCTGGGCATGGTGGTGTCTTCCTGTAGTCCTAGCCCCGCAGAAGGTTGAAGTGGGAGAACTGCTTGAGCCTAGGAGTTTGAGGTTACAGTGGGGTATGATCATGCCACTGCACTCCAGCGTGAGCGACAGAGCGAGACCCTGTCTCCAAAAAAAAAAAAGAAAAGAAAAGCCATGTCACCATGCTATTTAAGATATAGCTTTTCTCTTTCTCTTTATCCTAAACATTTTCTATCTCTTTTTTCAGACTTAAAAGAGCTCTACTTGCCAGCTCCTGCATTATACATAAATAGAAAGGAAGAAAGATGAGCTAAAGATCCTGGAAAGTAGAAAATCCAATTGTTATTCTGGATTCTAAACATTACCTGTGTGGCCTTGGATAAACTTGAATCTTTTCATATATAAAACAAAGGAAGTTGAATTAAATTATTTCTAACCCACCCTCCAGTTGAATATTCTATGATTTCATCTGACAAACCCTCCCTCTTTTCATCCTTGTTGTGTGTGAAATGCTCCATCACTCATCACAGATGCTTAAAATAAAATAGCTCTCTCTCTGTATAGAATGTCTGCCTTTTTTTCTCCAGATAGTCATGGCACCATGTTGACATTTTAAAGATCCAAATGAAGAGACAAAGAAGGAAATAAATAACCCCCTATAATCCTATCACCAAAGGATTTTGTTATAATCTAATATTGCCTTTGTGTTCATTTTATGCATATTTCTTTTAAAAAAATTGTGATCACTTTCTATTTAGTGTTTTGAAATCTGTTTTTCTTTTTGTTTTGAGACAGGGTCTTACTCTGTTGCCTATGCTGGAGTGCAGTGGTGCAATCATGGCACACTGCAGCCTTGACCTCCCCAAGCTCAGGTGACTCCCTGTATCCCGAGTAGCTGGGAATACAGGCATGCACCAGCATGCCTGGCTAATTTTTGCATTTTTGTAGAGAAGGTTTCACCATGTTGCCCAGACTGGTCTTGAATTCCTGGGATCAAGCAATCTGCCTGCCTCAGCCTCCCAAAGTGCTGGGATTACAGGCGTGAGCCACCATGCCTGGCCCAATTTTTGTATTTTTAGTAGAGACAAGGTTTCACCATGTTGGCCAGGATCGTCTCTATCTCTGGACCTCGTGATCCGCCCACCTAGGCCTCCCAAAGTGCTTGGATTACAGGCGTGAGCCATCAGGCCTGGCTTTTTTTTTTTTTTTGAGACGAAGTCTCGCTCTTGTTGTCCAGGCTGGAGTGCAAGGGCGTGATCTCGGCTCACCACAACCTCTGCCTCCTGGGTTCAAGCGATTCCCCTGCCTCAGCTTCCTGAGTAGCTGGGATTACAGGCGTGCGCCGCCACGCCACGCCTTCTAATTTTGTATTTTTAGTAGAGATGGGGTTTTTCCATGTTGGTCAGGCTGGTCTTGAACTGCTGACCTCAGGTGATCTGCCCGCCTCAGCCTCTCAAAGTGCTGGAATTACAGGCATGAGCCACCACGCCCAGCCAATAAAATATTTTTAATAAAAGATTAATACTTGGTTAATTTATTCATTGAAACATTAACAAACCTTAAACATTGGTAGGTTAATATTGGACAAATTGGAAGAATATTAGCACATTGACAGTATTCCTTTTTTTTGAGATGGAGTCTCACTCTGTTGCCCAGGCTGGAGTGCAGTGGCACAATCGCAGCTCAAGGCAACCTCCACCTCCCGGGTTCAAGCAATTCTTCTGCCTCAGCCTCCCAAATAGCTATTACAGGTGCCTGCCACCACGTGTGGCTAATTTTTCTGTGTGTATTTTTAGTAGAGACGGTGTTTCACCATGTTGGCCAGGCTGGTCTTGAACTCCTGACCTCAAGTGATTCGCCTACCTCGGTCTCATAAAGTGCTGGGTTTACAGGCATGAGCAACTGCGCCTGGCCAATATTATATTTTTAAATGTAAAACTACTAGGATTCGAATATCAAAACTGTGGTGGCAGAAAAAAGCATTTACATTCACTTGCATATCCCTAGAATTGGACTCATTAGATAACATTGGCTTACTAGCTAGGTAAGTAAAAGGTAAATACTTTGGAAGTGGCTACCTTCATTAGAACTTTTTAGCCCTTAGAAGAAAAACCAATCCAGAAAAACTGGAAACCTACAGAACCCCCTTGCTGGGCTCTGACTTACTGGCTAAGCAGGTTATTGTTGATAGTTGACCATTCAAAAGAACAACTTGTAACATGTTAGCCATGTGTTAAATAACAATGCACATCTTCACATAATTTATTGCCCCTTTACCTTGTTCTGAGACTTTATTCTTTTCTAAGCCTGTATTTATTATAACTCTTTTAATTTTTTTTTTTTTTTTTGAGACAGAGTCTTACTCTGTTGCACGGGCTGGAGTGCAGTGATCCAATCTCGGCTCATTGCAACCTCTGCCTCCCGGGTTCAAGCGATTCTTCTGCCTCAGCCTCCTGAGTAGCTGGGATTACAGGTGCACGCCACCACGCCCAGCTAATTTTTGTATTTTTAGTAGAGACGGGGTTTTACCATGTTGGTCAGGCTGGCCTCAAACTCCTGACCTTGTGATCTGCCCACTTGACCTCCCAAAGTACTGGGACTACAGGTGTGAGCCACCACGCCTGGCCTCACTGTTCTTTTTCTTGTTGTTTGAGGAGGTGAGGTGAATGGCTGGGGAACTGGGTGCAAGATTTCCTTTTCATTGTATATATATACCTTTTGAATTTTGTCCCATGTAAAGGAATAATTTAAAAACAGAATTACAAAAATCTTACTAATTAGTAGTCCAATGTTGGATAAGATTGGAGTAACTGCACTGCACATAGTAGGTATTCAATAAAGATGGAATGAATGAATAAATGAATAGATGGATGAATTAAGTGAAATGACTGAATAAGTGTCTTAAATCTATATTTTGATTACTAAAGCTTTCTGGAATTGTGAAATTTCATAACTGTATGAGACTTAATGTCTTTTTTTTTCTTTGAGCTGGAGTCTCACTCTGTCATCCAGGTTGGAGTACAGTGGTGCAATCTCGGCTCACTGTAGATGGGGTTTCACCATGTTGCCCAGGCTGGTCTCGAACTCCTGACCTTGTGATTCGCCCACCTCGGCCTCCTAAAGTGCTGGGATTACAGGCGTGAGCCACTGTGCCTGGCTTAAATGTCTTTTTAAGAACAGAAATAGGTCTGAATTGGGAGAAAAAAACTATTGTCACTTTGTTAGATTTCTAAGTCTAAGCCATTAGTCTTTATTACATCATAAAGGATGAAGAAATATATTTTTATATATGCCTACATTTGCTGAGGAGGCTAGTCCTGATCAACATTTTTCTGAAAGATGGTGAAAGGTAGAGCAGACTTCAAGTCAACATTTTTATTGCCTCTCCTACTTCAGTGAAGCTAACATCAAGGGCTTATACTAAGTGCAAAGTTACCTTTGATTTTGTTTACTGGTCTATGTCCTAAGATAGGCAATGCAGCTACCTATTGTATATTCAGATCAAGTCCTGGGGACTAGCATGGTTCTAAAATGTTGACGGTTTCCTGAAGACAAACTGATAAAGAGAAAACACTGGAATTCTAGTTATTTTTGTTGGGAAGATGAAGGCTGAGTTGTGGAATTTATTGCAGCATAGATTCTTAAAAGTTTTGCTAGATAAATAAAGACAACCAGATAAAAGTGGTTTTAGATTGAGCAACTCGATGTAAAATGCTTACAACGGTGCCTGGAACAGAGTATGCGCTTTAAATGTTAGCCGCTATTTATTATCATCATTATTATACTGACACTCACCATTTTATACCAACAAACAATTTAACAGCCATACATATACATCTATACAAATCAATCTGTATGATACTGAGAGAAGAAATAGCTCTTTTTGTAGGAAATTTATAGTGATACATTTTGAAGAATGAAAGACAGAAAGTTACATTGTTACAGAAAAAAATACTCCGTTTCTTTGAGGAAATGTTCTTTGCTAGTTCGGTTGGAGCTCTGCATCGAACGTTCAGAAAAGTTTATGGTCTATGGTTTTCCAAACAAGTTAAAAACAGAAATAACAATACCTAAGATAACAAACAGGCACCAATTATACAGTAATAATTTATTGCTTTTCAACAATTCTGGTGTGATAAAATTTAACTGAACCAAACTCCCCATGTATTTTGAATGTGAGAATCAAGCTTCCCAGGGAAGTCAGATACTTGAGACAGGACCTATAAAGTATCCTCCTTTTTAAATTTTTTTCCAGATGAAGGTAGAATGCCAAGAGAGGCTGAGAAAAACAAATAACCAGCTGCCTACAGACCTGCCTTCATAGGAATGGCCTTTGCCTTCATCTATGTGTGCCTCCATTTCTGAATGCCTTATTTCTGGATACCTTCCAGTCTATAAAAACAAAGGGAGGATACATAAAAAAAGAACTGTACTACACTTGTACTGGACAATCAAGAGGTGAAAAATGTTCTTTAGTGAGTTAAAATCGTTTTGCAATCTCTTTGAAAGAAGTAGGCAAAAATCTTGAAAAAGTCCAAATTCTTAGTAGAGATTGTCTTAGAAAGGTTAACTTTTCACGTTGGCAGGAAGTAATACCCAAACACTAACACAAAATTTAAACTTATCTCCAATATGTAGATAGAAAAATCTAACCACGGGGCATTAGGCCTTTCTTATTTACCTTAAAATATACTGTTTCCCTCCTTCCTCCTAGCATTCTCTCCTAGGAAAAGGTTCTATGGCTTTTGCATTCTTTTTTTTTTTTTTTTTAAGAGACAAGGTCTTGCTACATTGCCCAGGCTGGTCTTAAACTCCTGTCCTCAAGGGATCCTCCCACCTGAACTTTTTTCAGACAGAGTTTCGCTCTGTCGTCCAGGCTGGAGTAGTGTCACGATCTTGGCTCACTGCAACCTCTACCTCCTGGGCTCAAGCGATTCTCCTTCCTCAGCCACCGAAGTAGCTGGGATTAAAGGCGCCTGCCACCACACCCAGCTAATTTTTGTATTTTTAGTACAGACAGGGTTTCACTATGTTGGCCAGGCTGGTCTTAAACTCCTAACCTCAAGTCATCTGCCTGCCTTGGCCTCCCAAGGTGCTGGGATTACAGGTGTGAGCTACTGCCCCCAGCCCTGAATTCTCTTTTTGTTTGTTTTCTTGAGATAAGGTCTTGCTCTGTTGCCCAGTCTGGAGCGCAGTGGTGTGATCAAAGCTCAGTGTAACCTCAAACACATGAGCCCAAATGACTCTCCTGCCTCAGCCTCCCAAGTAGCTAGGACAACAGAAGTGTGCCACCATGCCCTGCTAATTTTTAATTTTTTTGTAGAGACAGGGTCTTGCCACTTTGCCCAGGTTGGTCTCAAACTCCTTGGCTCAAGAGATTTCCTGCCTTGTGAATCACTGAGCAGACCCCAGCATGCATTCTTCTAATTTTTTTTAATTTATTTTTTCTTATTTTTTAAGTTTAAAGGAATGTTAAATTCCAGAGATTCTTTTTTTTTTTTTTTTTTTTTTTTTTGGAGATGGAGTCTTACTCTGTTGCCCAGGCTGGAATGCAGTGGCGAGATCTCGGCTCACTGCAATCTCTGCCTCCCGGGTTCAAGACATTCTCCTGCCTCAGCCTCCTGAGTAGCTGGGATTACAGGTACCCACCACCTGGCCCAGCTAATTTTTGTATTTTAGTAGATATGGGGTTTCATCACGTTGGCCAGGCTGGTCTTGAACTCCTGCCTCAGCCAGCATGCATTCTTAATAGTAGACAATACATTAGGAGTTTGGAATGCCTGAATGTTTATCTATTAAAAAAATTTTTTTTTGAGACAGGGTCTTGCTCTATCACCCAGGCTGGAGTGCAGTGGCATGATCATAGCTCATTGCAGCCTCAACCTCCTGAGATCAAGCAATCTTCCCATCTGGGCCTCCCAAAGCTGATACTACATGTGTGCCACCACATGCAGCTAATTGTTTTTTTTTTTCTTTTAAAGAAACGGGGTCTGGCTATGTTGGCCAGACTAGTCTCAAACTCCAAGGCTCAAGCAATCATCCTGCCTTGGCCTCCCAAAGCGCTGGGACTACAGGCATGAGCCACTGCTCCTGGTTGAAATGCTTTAATTTTAAAGTACAAAGATTGCATACATTTTTGCTTGAGGTTCTTAGTGCTTCAAGAGATCCACCAAAATCCTAGAGGAATCCTTTCCATGAATTGGTAAAGCTTGTGAATATGTAATGTTAAAAAAACATCAGAGATGTAGGTATTCCAGAGAAGGTAGAGCAAGATAAAGATTTTAACTTACAAGCCAATGATTTTTTTTTTTTTTTTCCTAAGAGACAGTCTCGCTCTGTCACCCAGGCTGGAGTGCAGTGGCACCATCTCAGCTCACTGCGATCTCTGCCTCCTGGGTTCAAGCGATTCTCCTGCCTTAGCCTCCTGAGTAGCTGGGACTATAGGCGTGCACCAGAACGCCCAGCTAATTTTTGTATTTTTAGTAAGGATGGGGTTTTACTATGTTGGCCAGGCTGGTTTTGAACTCCTGACCTCAGATGGATCCGCCTGCCTTGGCCTCCCAGAGTGCTGGGATTACAGGCATGAGCCACCGTGCCCAGCTGCCACTGATTTTTCCAAAATAATTATGCATCCCTGGGAAGGAAATAGGAAATGAAACGTTTTGTATATAATTTGGATTTGTAGGTGGCCTTTGTAAGTAATTTATTAGAAGGTAAACAATAATTATGTAGAAAGAACCTGGTTGGTAAATATAATAATTATGAAACCTTATTAATTTTTTTTTTTTTTGAGACGGGGTCTCACTATGTCGCTCAGGCTGGAGTGCAGAGGTGTGATCTCGGCTCACTGCAAGCTCTGGTTCCCAGGTTCACGCCATTCTCCTGCCTCAGCCTCCTGAGTAGCTGGGACTACAGGCGCCTGCCACCACGCCTGGCGAATTTTTTTTTGTATTTTTAGTAGAGACGAGGTTTCACCATGTTAGCCAGCATGGTCTCGATCTCTTGACCTCGTGATCCACCCGCCTTGGCCTCCCAAAGTGTTGGGATTACAGGCATGAGCCACTGCGCCCAGCAGAAACCTTACTAATTTACATTAATTAGCAGGAAAGCTGAATTAAAAAGAGGTCTGAATCATAGAATTACTAAAACTGCTCCCCCTTAATCTACCTGCCTCTCCTCCATCTCCATGTTATTCTGCACACAGTTTATCAAGTGGAAGGAAGAAGTGCTTTTTATTTTTTTAATTTGTTTATTTTTTTGAGATGGAGTCTCGCTCTGTCACCCAGGCTAGAGTGCAGTGGCACGATCTCGGCTCACTGCAACCTCTGCCTCCCTGGTTCAAACGATTCTCCTGCCTCAGCCCCCCAAGTAGCTGGGACTACAGGCACACTACCACATCGGGCTAATTTTTTTGTATTTTTAGTAGAGATTGCGTTTCACCATGTTGGCCATGCTTGTCTCGAACTCCTGACCTCAAGTGACCCGCCCACCTCAGCCTCTCAAAGAGCTGGGATTATAGGTGTGAGCCACCACGCCTGGCCAAGAAGTGCTTTATATGAAGAAGAAACAGCCTGTACAAAGGTTCAGCGCTGGGACTATGAAACAGTTCTGCATTTTCCTGCCTCATCATCCTCCTCATCCCCATCCTTTCCTATAACGTCAAGATTTTGAACAAAATAAATGAATCAAAATAATCTAGCACTTAAGAACAGAAGCTAGGAATTAAGTAGACCTAGATTTAAATATCAGTTTTATAGTATTTATAAACTACAAATTACCCAATTTTGACTAAGCATAATTTAGTGATATCCCTATAAGTTCTGGCAGATGGAATAAGATTGCCCTAGGTTCTTGGTGAAGGCCTTTGTTTAGAAGCATGGTTGCAGTGACTGAGAATTCCCCCACTAACTCCTGTAGTCCAGACTTCCCTCATTCCACTGGATTCTGTTAAATGGTCTTGGTAGCCTGAATTATGCACTCCCACGTTATGGTTAAAGCATACTTGGGCTGTGTTTCATTCATGATATGGTCTTCCCTGGGTTGATCAAATGAGTAACTGGTGAAACAAATGAAATACATATGATAGAGTTAGAAAGCTCCCAGGTTGACTATCTTTGAATTGGAAACAGGAGCAAAACCCCATTATCTAGCCCATCTGAGCCTAATGGGAACATGAGATGAAGGCCATACCTAATCCTCTGCTTGGATGGCTACACTGATATGTTACCCATTTGCAATGTATGGTTTTGTGCTTCTCACTGACCTCTTGTGTGGCATGTAACATCTCCAGATTCTAGCTCCTGCTGTGACTATAGTAAGTGTACATGTGACAAGGTAATGAGCTATGTGTGCAGGGGGAAATGGGGTAGTGGTGAAAACAATGGCTGCAAGCAGAATGGTGTATTCTGAGCTTGTTGAGTTACTATCCTTTTGGTTTTGGGGTAACTGAGTAGACTAGCTGTCCTAGTAGGTAGCATAGAACAAAGAGTGTTCCTTGGCCAGGCGCAGTGGCTCACACTTGTAATCCCAGCACACTGGGAGGCCGAGGCAGGCAGATAACCTGAGTTCAGGTGTTCGAGACCAGCCTGGCCAACATGGTGAAACCTCGTCTCTACTAAAAATATAAAAATTAGCCAGGCGTGTTGGCAGGCACCTATAATCCCAGTTACTGGGGAGGCTGAGGCAGGAGAATTACTTGAACCTGGGAGGCAGAGGTTGCAGTGAACCAAGATCCCAAGATTGCGCCATTGCACTCCAGCCTGGTGACAAGAGTGAGACTTCGTCTCAAAAAACAAAAAAAGGAACAGAGTATTCCTACAAGATTTCCAGTTTCTTTCTTGCTATTAAATTAGTGGTGGTAAACAGTAAGAGGTATATGTATATCTCTAAGACTGTAAAGAGGACTCTCCCAAAGCAGTATAAAACTAAAGGCCTCAGACTGAGGCCATGAATTTAAGACACTAGGGAAAAAAGAACTTGTCCATTTAGCGGTGCAGTGTGGGGCTGAAGGCTGTTTAGTGCAAAAGATGAAGTGAGCCATTTCAGCCACTGTGGCCACGGTGACAAAAATGGAACCATGGGTCTTGGATAGGGGGAAATTATGAAGTTGTACGGAAATCCACCAGGTCTCTCTTTTTTTTTTATTTTATTATTATTATACTTTAAGTTTTAGGGTACATGTGCACAATGTGCAGGTTGGTTACATATGTATACATGTGCCATGCTGGTGTGCTGCACCCATTAACTCGTCATTTAGCATTAGGTATATCTCCCAAAGCTATCCCTCCCCCCTCCCCCCCAACCAGGTCTCTTAAACTCAAATCCTCATCTGCCAAAAGTAACAACGAAAGGACTGTCTCCATACAGGGATGGGACTGCCAAAATGACCCTCATTCTGATATTCAACTCTTCCTTGGGGATCTTTCATAAATCCCCCTTGGCACCGGGAAGAAGCGTTCTGCTTTCTACTTTTTTTTTTTTTTTTTTTTTGCGACAGAGTCTTACTCTGTCGTTGGACTGCAGTGACGCGATCTCAACTCACTGCAACCTCTGCCTCTGGGGTTCAAGCGATTCTCCTGCCTCAGCCTCCCAAGTAGCTGCGATTACAGATGCCTGCCACCATGCCCGACTAATTTTTGTATTTTTTTTTTTTTTTTTAGCAGAGATGGGGTTTCACCATGTTGGCCAGGCTAGTCTCAAACTCTTGATCTCAAGTGATCCACCGAACTCAGCCTTCTGGGATTACAGGCGTGAGCCACCACGGCCAGCTCTACCTATCTCTTTGTTTTTGAGATGGGGAATTTCACTCTTGTTGCCCAGGATGGAGTGCAATGGCACGATCTGGGCTCACCACAACCTCCGCCTTCTGGGTTCAAGTGATTCTCCTGCCTCAGCCTCCCAAGTAGCTGGGATTACAGGCCTGTGCCACCACGCCTGGCTAATTTTGTATTTTTAGTAGAGACGCGGTTTCTCCATGTTGGTCAGGCTGGTCTCGAACTCCAGACCTCAGGTGATCCGCCCGCCTCGGCCTCCCAAAGTACTGGGATTACAGGCGTGAACCACCGCGCCTGGCTGGCTCTACCTATTTCTTAAATACTGCAGCAGAGACTATGCTGAAATAGACTGGTCTGCTGGCTGCCATGTTTTGTTTGCCCCACCCCACATCTGCCTGCCTAGTCCTTTTTTTCCTTTTTTTTTTTTTGAGACAGAGTGTCGCTCTGTCGCCCAGGCTGGAGTGTAGTGGCGCGATCTTGGCTCACTGCAAGCTCCGCCTCCCAGGTTCACGCCATTCTCCTGCCTCAAGCCTCCAGAGTAGCTGCGACTACAGGCGCCCGCCACCACGCCCAGCTAATTTTTTCTATTTTTTAGTAAAGACGGGGTTTCACCGTGTTAGCCAGGATGGCCTCAATCTCCTGACCTCGTGTTCTGCCCACCGCGGCCTCCCAAAGTGCTGGGATTACAGGCGTGAGCCACCGCGCCCAGGCGCCTAGTCCTTATTTTCTAACTCCCACACAATTTTTTGTTGTTGTTGGTTCCTCCTTTATATTAATTAAAAATAAAGTTAGGAGTTTTAAGAATTCTATTTTTCTTCTGAATTAATGAATAATGTGTTATGTAGAAATGTCAAGCAAGTTTGGGCTGTTATTAGTGCTGTATAGGGTACTGCTTCATGAAGTACATTGTAAATGCTTGAATTTGGATGCCTAGAAGGGTGTGGCACTTCTTTTCCTCCATACTGCTTACCATTTCTTGTTGACTTATACTGGGCTAATTAACTTTTTCTTGGTCCTTAAATGCTTCTCAGTTTGAATCCTTGATTTAGATTAAACTTGATTGATGGAAGTTGAGGAACAGACTTACAAAATATGAGTGTTTACTTTCATTTTTGGTTCTCCTGGAGTAGGCAGCTCTGTGACAGAAGCTATTTCCCCTGATCAGTGAGAAGGGCCTTCAACAATTCTTAACTCTTCCAAGTTCAGATGTAAAAAGGCATATCCAGAAGTGCCACCTTCCATCTGTTCTATGTTCCAAGATTTTCTGGTGAGGATTCTCTTTTTCTTTGAATGACTGATAATAAGAACACCTACTATATAGAGGGAAACCTTTATACCCTACCCACAGGGTATGGCCTTATTCCATGACTGCAAAAAAAAAAAAAAAAAAAACTTATCAGAGTGCAATAATAGGTATAACATCTGAACCCATGATTTGTGCAAAAGGTAAGACAGAGGGAGGGTAGGGAGGAAGGCTTCACTCTAATATGCAGCTCAGAAGTAGGTTTGGTAGCTACTGGACCTCACCTTGGCACAGGTGTCACAGGTATTGTGTGGTGCAGGGATTCATGGCAGATTTGGGGTTCTCAGAGGTCACCACAAATTGAATAGTATGCTTTATTTAAGCCTCATCTTGCTCACCAGTGCAGCAGTATGAAGGTCCAGGTAGAACACCCAGGTCTGGATCCCCAGGCAGATGGATACACAAAGCCAGTCACTGTGATGTTAGAGGCCTCCTTCGCTGCATGCACCCCTCAGCTGAATCACAGTAGGCTTGATGTGCAGCTGTCCAATAATTCCAACTATCTGCTGCTGCTTTGGGTGAGGGCTATAAAGTCCAGGTTCTCACACTGAATGATCTTATAGCATGGAATATGGGGACCAGGACACCCAGAACTTCCTAGAAATAGGTGACCTTAAAATTAAGCTGTTAGTTGGCTGGGCGTGGTGACTCACACCTGTAATTGCAGCACTTTGGGAGGCTGAGGTGGGTGGATCACCTGAGGTCAGAAGTTCAAGACTAGCCTGGCCAACATGGTGAAATCCCATCTCTACTAAACATACAAAAATCAGCCTGGTGTGGTGGCATGCGCCTGTAATCCCAGCTGCTTTGGAGGCTGACACAGGAGAATTGCTTGAACCCACCGAGGGGGCGGACGTTGCAGTGAGCCGAGATTGCACCACTTCACTCCAGCCTGGGTGAAAGAGTGAAACTCCATCTCAAAAAATAAATAAATAAATAAATAGATAAGCTGCTAACAAAACCATGTCCCATCATCTTTGTCCCCAACTTAGCTGACTAGAGACTGATAACTACCCCAAATTCAGATAAGCAAGGGGTAGTTCTCTGTGGTGAATCTCTGGTTTCAAAGGCACCTTTCATGGCACATGCTTTCATAATGGTTGTTTTGCTCTACTAACATAAAAGGAACCCAAAACAGGGTTTTTCTAAGTCAAGATGGCCTTAAATTCTATGGATTAGTCTCCTATGGTATTAATAGCTAAAAATGACAATTTCTACTTGTGTATTTTTGGTGAAAACTAAATGATGACTACTTTCTTTTTTTTTTTTTTTTCAGGCAGAGTCTTGCTCTGTTGCCAAGGCTGGAGTGTGATGGTGCGGTCTCAGCTCACTGTAAACCTTCCCTCCCAGGTTCAAGCCATTCTCCTGCCTCAGCCTCCCAAGTATCTGGGACTACAGGTGCCTGCCACCACATCTGGCTAATTTTTGTATTTTTAGTAGAGACAGGGTTTCACTATGTTGGCCAGGCTGGTCTCAAACTCCTGACCTCGTGATCCATCTGCCTTGGCCTCCCAAAGTGCTGGGATTACAGGCGTGAGACAACTTGCCCGGCCATGATGACTACTTTCTGATGACTCGAGACAATACTGATTATGTGACCTTGGGGAAGCTACTTAACCTCTCTGTATCTGTATATGTCTGTAAAATGGGGATTGTAACAGTTCCTAGTTTATAGCATTTTTGTGAGGAATTAATGAGTGTTACTACATCTAAAGTGCTTAGAGCAATGCTTGGCATATGGTAAGTATCCCAGAAATCTTGGCTATCATCAATTTATTATTGTTATTATTGAACTCCCCATCCCATTTGCCTAAAATACTTTACTAGAGATGGAAGGAAGAAAGGAGGGAAGGGAGGGAGGAAAAGAGGGAGGTGGGGAAGCTACTCAGGGTTAGGACTTTTAGTAGCTAGGGGTCAAGGAAGAAAACAGGTCTGGCAAATACATAGGACCATCTCTAGAAAGAATGCTTCCTAGAAAAGATCCTAAATAGCGATGATGTACATTACAAAGAGCACAGGTCAAAACTATCCCCCTGGGCTAGCAAAAACAAGGAACAGGAGTCAAGCCATATCAGACCAGAGTGGGAATTAGGATGACATAGATTGAGCCTCAGGTAATCTGGTTAAAAACAAATTTAATTTGGCCGGGTGCAGTGGCTCACGCCTGTAATCCCAGCACTTTGGGAGGCCAAGGTGGAAGGATCACGAGGTCAGGAGATCGAGACCATCCTAGCTAACATGGTGAAACTCCATCTCTACGTGGTGGTGGGTGCCTGTAGTCCCAGCTACTCAGGAGGCTGAGGCAGGAGAGTGGCGTGAACCTGGGAGGCCGAGCTTGCAGTGCGCCAAAATCGCGCCACTGCACTCCAGCCTGGGCGACAGAGCAAGACTCCATCTCAAAAAAAAAAAAAAAAAGGAAAACAAATTGAATTTGAAGATAAATGGGTCAAAAAGGAATATTCTCAGCTGCTTGTTTTCCATATGGATTGTTTTGCCACCTTTAAAGTTTTAAAGCAGTACTGTCAGATTATCATAATATTTTAGGTATGTTTCAAACTTTTGTGCTTTTTAATCTAAATTAATTCTTAGATAATTATTAAGAAGCAACGTAAATGTTTCATATTATCAAGCCATTGCAAATATATATATATATATATTTTTTGAGACAAAGGCTCGCTGTCGCCCAGGCTGGAATGCAGTGGCGCCATCTCAGCTCACTACAACCTCTGCCTCCCGGGTTCAAGCAATTCTCTGCCTCAGCCTCCCGAGTAGCTGGGATTACAGGCACCCGCCACCAATTTTTGTATTTTTAGTAGAGACGGGGTTTCACCACTTTGGCCAGGCTGGTCTGAAACTCCCGACCTCGTGATCCACCTGCCTCAGCCTTCCAAAGTGCTGGGATTACAGGCGTGAGCTGCCACGCCCAGCCTGCAAATATTTAAAAAGTAGTAAACAGCGGCCAGGCGTGGTGGCTCACGCCTGTAATCCCAGCAATTTGGGAGGCCGAGGCGGGTGGATCTGAGGTCAGGGGTTCAAGACTAGCCTGGCCAACATGGTGAAACCCTGTCTCTACTAAAAATACAAAAATCAGTCGGGCATGGTGGCACGCCCCTGTAAGCCTAGCTACTTGGGAGGCTGAGGCAGGAGAATCGCTTGAACCCGGGAGGCCGAGGTTGCAGTGAGCTGAGATCTCGCCACTGCACTCCAGCCTGGCAGACAGAGTGAGATTCCGTGTTAGTGGAAAGAAACAGTATGTACAATATGATTCCTTAAGAAACATATATATATGTGTGTGTGTGTGTGTGTCTGTGTGTGCACAAAAAAATTCTCAAAGGCCCAAAGAAGCAATAAAGCAAATCCCTGGCCACCAGAATAACTAAACATACAAAAAACCAGCAGTTGGAAACAATAATTTTTGACTTATTTGTCATGTTGAAGACATTTTTATTGCAAACATTTTGTTTTCTAGCAAACTATTTTGACTGCGCCATGCCATGTCAGTAGAGTGCCAGAGAAGTAACTGATTAGGATACTAAACTGGTGCAAGCTGGTAAGATAAGTGATAGGTCAAAACAGAGCAAAGAGAGCTGAAGAGAAACGGGGGAGGTCAGGGAGGAGCTTAGAGTGCATCTCACGAATACCGAGTTAGTCTTTCTTTAAAGAATGGCAAAATTCATCCTAGATCCAGACATAGGCCTTTGAAAGCAGTAGGACTACACCTGACATATAACCTGAAATTAGATGATGATATTCTGAATGAGAGGGCTCTCAACTTTAAAGAAAGAATGTCTTTAGGATTGGCATTATCTTCTTTACTCCAGGTATTTGTTTAGCAAACCTTTTTTCAAACATGGTTCAAAAGCAAATCACATTTTCCATATTCCCTATTAAATTATTATATATTATGAGGGGGGGGCAGTGTTCTTAATGACAAAATATTGTTTAAAAAGAATCCTTTCCTAAAAGAAATCAGGAAGATAATTCCATTTACAATAACTACACAAAAATAAGATACTTAAGAATAAACTTTTTTAAAAAAATTTTATTATTGTTACACTTTAAGTTTTAGGGTACATGTGCACAATGTGCAGGTTTGTTACATATGTATACATGTGCCATGTTGGTGTGCTGCAAAAAAAAAAAAAAAAAAAAAAGAATAAACTTAACCAAGGAGGTTAAAGATCTCTAAACTGAAAAACTATAAAACCTTGATGAAAGAAATTGAAGAAGACACAAATGAATGGAAAGACGTTTCATGTTCATGGGAGAATTAGTATTGTTAAAACACTCATACTACCCAAAGTGATCTACAAACTAAATATAATCTCTATCAAATACCTATAATATATTTCACAGAAATAAAAAAGACAGCCAGGCGCGGTGGCTCACTCTGTAATTCCAGCACTTTGGGAGGCAGAGGAGGGCGGATCACCTGAGATCGGGAGTTCGAGACCAGCCTGACCAACATGGAGAAACCCTGTCTCTACTAAAAATACAAAATTAGCCAGGCATGATGGCGCATGCCTGTAATCCCAGCTACTAGGGAGGGTGAGGCAGGAGAATCACTTGAACCTGGGAGGCAGAGGCTGCGGTGAGCCGAGATTGTGCCATTGCACTCCAGCCAGGGCAACAAGAGCAAAACTCCGTCTCAAAAAAAAAAAAAAAAAAAAAAAGACAATCATTAAATTCACATGGAGCCACAAAAGACTCAAATAGGCAAATCAATCCTGAGCAAAAATAACAAAGCTGAGGCATCACAGTACTTGATTGCAAAATGTACTACAAGGCTATAGTAACCAAAACAGCATGGTATTGGCATAAACACAAACACAGAGACCAATGAAAGAGAATAAAGAACCCAGAAATAAATTCATGCATCTATGGCCAACTGTTTTTCAACAAAGGTGCCAAGAACATGCACTGGGAAAAAGACAGTTTCTTCAATAAATGGTGCTGGGAAAATTGGAAAGTCACATGCAGAAGACTAAGACTAGACCCTGTCTCCACTATATACACAAATCAACTCAAAATGGATTAAAGACTTATATATAAAACTTGAAACTATGAAATTACTAAAAGAAAACATAAGGGAAATGCTTTGCAACACCGGGTTGGGCAAGGGTTTTTAAAAAGAGATCTCAAAGCACAGACAACAAAAGCAAAAAATAGACCAATGGGATTACATCAAACTGAAAAGCTTTTGTACTTAAAAAGGAAACAACAAAATGAAGAGAAAATCTACAGAATGGAAGAAAATATAAGCAAACTATACATCTCACAAGGAGTTAATATCTGAAGAATATATAATAACTTAATTCAACAATGAAAAACAAATTATCTTAATTTAAAAGTGGGCAAAAGACCTTAATAGGCATTTCTCAAAAGAAGACATACAAATGGCCAACAGGTACATGAAAAAATGCTCAACATCCCTAATCATCAGGCAAATGCAAATCAAAATCACAATGAGATATCATCTCACTCTAGTTAGAATGGCTATTAACAAACAGACAGGCTGCGTGGTGGCTCATGCCTGTAATCCCAGCACTTTGGGAGGCTGAGGCAGGTGGATCACTTGAGGTCAGGAATTCAAGGCCAGCCTGGCCAACAGTTACATGAAAAAATCCTCAACATCCCTAATCATCAGGCAAATGCAAATCAAAATCACAATGAGATATCATCTCACTCTAGTTAGAATGGCTATTAACAAACAGACAGGCTGCGTGGTGGCTCATGCCTGTAATCCCAGCACTTTGGGAGGCTGAGGCAGGTGGATAACTTGAGGTCAGGAATTCAAGGCCAGCCTGGCCAACATAGTGAAACCCCGACTCTACTAAAAATACAAAAATTAGCCAGGTATGGTGGCACATGCCTATAGTCCCAGCTACTCGGAGGCTGAGGCAGGAGAATTGCTTGAACCCACGAAGCAGAGGTTGCAATGAGCCGAGATTGCACCACTGCACTCCAGCCTGAGTGACACAGTGAGACTCTGTCTCTGTCTTAAAAAACAAAACAAAACAAAAAAAACAACTGTTGGCAAGGATGTGGAGAAAAGACAACACTTGCACATTTTTGGTGGAATTACAAATTAGTACAGCAGCTATAGAAGACAGTCTTTAATCCATTTTGAGTTGATTTGTGTATATGGTGGAGACAGGGTCTAGTCTTATTCTTCTGCATGTGACTTTCCAATTTTCCCAGCAACGTTTATTTAAGAGACTATCTTTTCCCCAGTGTGTGTTCTTGGCACCTTTGTTGAAAATTTTTTCCTCAAAAAATTAAAAATAGAACTACTGTGTGAGCCAGGAGTCCCACTAGTGGCTATATATTCAAAGGAAATGAAATCAGTTACATTGAAGTGGTATCTGCCCTCCTATGTTTACTGCAGCACTATTTACAATAACCAAGATATGGAATCAACCCAAACATCTAACAGTGAATGAATGAATAAAGAAAATGTGAGGCCGGGCACGGTGGCTCATGCCTGTAATCCCAGCACTTTGGGAGACCGAGGTGGGTGGGTCACTTGAGGTCAGGAGTTCCAGACCAGCCTGAGTAATATGGTGAAACCCCGTCTCTACTAAAAATACAAAAATTAGCCAGGCGTGGTGGCAGGCGCCTGTAATCCCAGCTACTTGGGAGGCTGAGGCAGAAGAATTGCTTGAATTTGGGAGGCGGAGGTTGCAGTAAGCTGAGATTGCACCACCGCACTCCAGCCTGGGGAACACAGCGAGACTCAGTCTCAAAAAAAAAAAAAAAAGAAAAAGAAAAAGGAAAAAAAGAGAAAATGTGGTACATATGGATTACAGAATATTATACAGCTGTAAAAAAGCATGAAATCTTGCCATTTGTGAAAATACGGTTAAACCTGGAGGACATTATGTTAAGTGAAATAAGCCAGACACAGAAAGATAAATACTGTATGATCTGTGGAATCTAATTTTTTTTAAAGAAAGAGTTTATATCTTAGAAGCAGAGAGAACAGTGGTTATCTGAGACTAGAAAGGGGAGAGAGGAAAGGAGGATAGGGAGAGGTTGGTCAACAGGTACAAAGTGACAATTAGATTGGAAGAATAAGTTCTGGTGTTTTATTGCACAGTAGGGTTGCTGTTAACAATAAGGTATTGTATATTACAAAATAGCATGAGGTGAGAGATATGCTAAGTACCCTGATTTGATCAGTATACAACATTTGTATGTATGGAAACACCAAAACTGTAACCTAGAATATGTACAATTACAATGTGTCAATTAAAAGAAGAATCCTTTCCTGTATTGTTTATTGTTACTAAAATGGGCAAAATAGCACCTTCCTATCTACTACATCACAGAAATGGTGAAGTAACTGAAAGAATGTAAGTTAAGTAGGTGAATTCCAGAGAACACACTGTAATTTCATCTTTCTTTTTTCAGATAACGCAATAGAGCAACTTACTCAGCTTAAAGAGTACCTATATCATAATTTTTGAAGTTTGCATTTGCATTTCTTATTGCATCACTAACTTCCGAAGTTACAACTCTTACCTTGAAATCTTCCCAAGATTTGCTCACTTAACCAGCTTGCAAACAACAGTCCGGCATTTTCCTGAGGCAGATTACCATAGCAGCATCCAGTCTATCAACCTTTAAAACAGAAAGGTGAATCCTAAGAATTTTGTGATAAAGCTAAAAGCCAGTAGAGAGTACCAGGCCTTCTCTGGTTCTGATGTAATGATTCTGAAAGACCCCCATGACAAAATATTTTATCTTAAAGGTTGTACTTGTTCTTTATACTTAAAGAAACTGGAGTTTCTGATCATGCCAATCATTAGATGGGAGGCCTCAGACAAGTCTTTTAGCATCCCTGGGCCTTAATTTCCATTTCTGTAAAAAGTCAGGAGTGCCTTAGATGATCTCCAATTTCCTCTCCACTCTGATTTCTCATCCTATGCTCCCTAGTTCATTTCTTCAATGTCGTGTGCCTCAAATCAGGAAAAAAACCTGGCAGAAGAGCAAGGATTTTACCTGTATTATTTTATTATTTTCACCAGCTCACCCACCCACCGTGTTTCTATTTTTCCAGGTAAGAGCCTGGTAGTTGCTTTTAATTTTTCCCTTTTATCTACTTTAGACAAATTATGACATTAATTCATGAATACAGAACACTTTCCAAGTTTTACCAATTACTTCTGCAGATACTATCTCATTTGATTAACACAACAGTTCAGGCTAGTAGGTATTATTTTTAATTTATCTGGCGAGGAAACTAAAGCCCAGGGAAGTTCAGTGAATTAATTGCCCAGAATAACACAGATAGCAGTTATGGGACCAGATCTTTTTTTTTTTTTTTTTCTTTTTGCGCTCTGTCACCCAGGCTGGAGTGCAGTGCCACCATCTCGGCTTACTGCAACCTCTGCCTCCTGGGTTCAAGCGATTCTCCAACCTCAGCCTCCTGAGTAGCTGGGATTACAGGTGCATGCCACCACGCCAGGCTAATTTTTGTATTTTTAGTAGAGACGGGGTTTCACCATGTTGGTCAGGCTGGTCTCGAACTCCTGACCCCGTGATCCGCCCGCCACAGCCTCCCAAAGTGCTGGGATTACAGGCATGAGCCACTGCCCCTGGCCTATTTATTTATTTATTTATTTACTTATTTAGATGGAGTTTTGCTCTTGTTGACCAGGCTGGAGTGCAATGGCGTGATTTCAGCTCACCACAACCTCCACCTCCCAGGATTACAGGCATGCGCCACCACGCCCGGCTAATTTTGTATTTTCAGTAGAGACAGGGTTTCTCCATGTTGCTCAGGCTGGTCTCAAACTCCTGACCTCAGGTGTTCCACCTGCCTTAGCCTACCAAAGTTCTGGGATTACAGGCGTGAGCCACCGTGCCCGGCCTAGGCCTATTTTTTTTTTTTTTTTTTTTTTTGCATTTTTTAGTAGAGACAGGGTTTGGCCATGTTGGCCAGGCTGATCTTGAACTCCTGACCTCAGGTGATCCACCCACCTCAGCCTCCCAGAGTGCTGAGATTACAGGCGTGAACCACCGTGCCCGGCCGGGGCCAGGTCTTCTGATTCCAAAGTCTTCACAACACTAAAATCTATTAAAGCAGATCCAGGTTTTGTAGGGCCTGAGGTGTCTATAATTTTGATGACTGTCTATCTTCAAGGATAGGAGTACAAAACTGCAATACAACAGAAAGTATGATCCTGTTGAACATACTGTTAGGGCCCCTCTCAGAGCCTCCTTAGGGTCTATTCAAGGGAAGGGCATCTAGGGTTAATCTTTAGGGTTAGGTCTCATGTAATGTTTTCTATATGCTAGACACTGCAAAATAAATACTAATTTTTTTTTTTTTTTGAGACGGAGTCTCACTCTGTTGCCTAGGCTGGACAGGCTGGAGTGCAGTGGCACCATCTCGGCTCACTGCAACCTCCACCTCCCAGGTTCAAGTGATTCTTCTACCTCAGCCTCCCAAGTAGCTGGGACTACAGGCACATGCTACCACACCTGGCTACTTTTTGTATTTTTAGTAGAGACAGGGTTTCACCACATTAGCCAGGCTGGTCTTGAACTCCTGACCTCGTGCTCCATCCGCCTCGGCATCCCAAAGTGCTGGGATTACAGGCATGAGCCACTGCACCCGGACCTTTTTTTTTTTTTTTTTTTGAGATGGAATCTCACTCTATTGCCCAGGCTGGAGTGCAATGATGAGATCTTGGCTCACTGCAATCTCTGCCTCACGGGTTCAAACAATTCTCCTGTCTCAACTTCCTGAGTAGCTGGTACTATGCATTACGCATGGCTAATTTTTGTATTTTTAGTATCGGCAGGGTTTCACCATGTTGGCCAGGCTAGTCTCAAAATCCTGGCCTCAAGTGATCCACCCACCTCGGCCTCCCAAAGTGCTGGGATTACAGGGTTGAGCCACCACGCCGGCCTGAAATAAATACTAGTTTTATTATCATAATAACCCTGAGGTAGGTATTATCCTTGTTTTACAGAGTTGGGAGTGAGGCTTGGAAAGGTAAAATGACTTGCCTGAGGACACAGAGCTGGTAAGTGCAAGAATCAAATTTGGAACTGAACAGATCTGGCTCTCAGGTCTATAGTGTGAATCTACCACCCTATGGGGCTCTATAAGCCTTCTTTTGAGGTTTCCTGGGATTCATCTTATTTAACCACTTCTCACTACATTCCATAGAACAGGCCCTTATATATTTACTTCTGAACCAGACTGAGGATCCTGTCTCTCTAACTTAATTCTCCTTACCATCTACCTGAATGCTGCTGCCACCCTAGCACTGCTCTTATAAGTCCTAGCTGCCCCAATGACCCGAAATGCCTTCCCTTTCTCCGTGTTTATCAAATGTAAAAAGCAATTACTGTATTACTCACTAGTAGTACTTGGCCGTGGATGCCACACTGTCTTCTAATATACTGAACTGTTATTGGAAAGCACATGGGACCTCTCAGGATCTGATCCTCCAATCTCTACTCTTCTTCAATCTCAGGTTCTTCATTTGCAAAACAGAAACCATAAGGCCTACCTCCCAGGGTTGCTGTGAGAATTGAGGGGGAGGGTAAGTGAGGGGGAGGGTAAGTGAGGGGGTGAGTCCTGGAAGGGAGGAAGACACGAGGGGAAGGGCAGGGTCCTGGCAAGCAGCAAGTGCTCAACAGATGTTGGTTAATTTGTGCCTAAGTCTCCCCCAAAAACTTGCAAGCTCTTTGAAGGCAGGGGCCTTGCCTCATATTTTTCGGTATTTCTCAAAAGTCCTGGACATCAAAGACACTCCATGGTTATTTGATCACTTCAACACACACGTTGGTTATGCGGTCACAGCGGCTATTATGTTAAAAACAGGCTCTGGAGTGTGACTTCAAATGCTGGCCGCTGACGAGCTGGGCTGTCTGGAAAGTTACTTCACCTCTCTGAGCCTCGGGTCCCTTATTTACAAAATGTTCAGGGCAGTGCCCACTTCACAGGGCTGAGGATTAGAGAGGATAATCCGGGTGAGGAGCATCAGCCCCAGCGCCGCCTGCCACAATTCTATCCGGCCCCACATATGCATCGTCCATAAGCGTCCGGCCTCTGCATTCTCGCTTTTCCACGTGGCCGAGGTGCACACCCCAACCCACTGGGCCAGTCTCCCCACCCTCTTACCTGCTCTTCTTTCCCGACTCGTCTTTAATACCCACCAGGCGCCAACCGCCGCGGGCCTGGCTCTATGGTGGCAAGTTGCATGGGTTCTCCCATCAGGACCTCCCGATGAGCCTACGAGGTCGGTTCTACTACTGTCGCCACTTCAGAGGGAGGAAACAGGCCCGGAGGGTTGGGGAACTTCCCGAGGTCACTGAACTGGTGTCAGGCCCGGATTGGAATCCAAACACATCCCAGCCCATGCCCGGCTCTACAGCGCCGGCCCCCAGCGTCTTCCCGGGTGCCAGCGGCACCCGCATCCATTCAAATGCTGCCCATTCCCCGCTCCTCAGTCGCTTCCCGCTACTCCGCACGCGCATCTCCCCCACCCGTCAGGGTCAGGCCTCTCGGTGACTTTTCCTTTTTCTCTGGCAGAAACTGAGGGGTGAGACCGATGGTTGTGTCCCGAACGAGGGCAGATTGCCTAGAGCTCGTCAGACAGGGACCCAAGGGCGAGTCTGGCAGGGCGTGGTAGCTCCGCGCCGCTCAGCAGGGGCGCAGCGCGCGGGTCGGACTGGGACGCCGGTCACGTGGCGGGGAGGGGGCGCCGGCGCGCGCGGGCGAGCTAGAGGGCGCGCGCGGCTGAAAGCGTGTGGAGGCGCGGGCTGCAGTTCGGATGTCTGTGTGGCGGGGAGGGGGCGGCGGCCGGGAGAGACGACTCCGCCCCCTGCGCGCATGCTCCGGCCCCGGCGGGTTATAAGGCAGCCTCGCTGGCCCGGCCAGACAAAGTGGTGAGCTGCGACGTGACTGGCTAGCTGCGTGGGTACTGGAACAAGCAAACGAGGCAGCGAGCGAAGGACGGGAGCCGGACCCTGGGCCCCGTGGAACTCCAGCCTGCGCCACCACGTCACGCACACGCTCGGCGCTGCGATCCGCGCATATAACGGTTAGTTGGGTAACAGCCGGCGGCACGCGGCGCGGACCCCACGGTGCCCTCGCTGCCCTGGTGGGGTCGGAGGGGACCTCCGGGGTTGGGAGACTTTGTCTCCGGCGGAGGGAGGCGGCCCAGCAGAGGGCATCGTGGTCACAGGCAGCCGCGTGGCCTCGGACTGCAGTGCTGGTGAAGGAGACCTTGAGGCGCTGGGGTCAGCGCCTCTCTTAGCCGAGCCGCGGGCCCCGTGCTAAGATGCCGGTCCCAGGCCTGGCCGAGGAGTTGGGTCGTGGTGCCCGGTGACGGTGGGGAAGTCCCTTCCCCCCTAAGTCTTCAATAGGCTCCTCGAGAGATGCTTTGATCTGGAAAAGGGATAACATGAGGCTGCTGCATGTGGTACCTCCAGACTCTCCTGGCCGCTTCTGCCCCAAGGGAAGGGACTCGGGGCAGAAGTTATTTATGATTCGTGACATTGTCCGCCCCAACCTTCTTGGCCCGCCGATCCTTGCCCCACCTGGTGACTTGCGAGAGTGGTGCGGAGAGCCGCATTCCCCACAGCCAAGGCGTGACTGCAGGGTTCGAGTAGACTTTGCGGAGGGGACGGGGCAGCCCGCAGACTCCTGGGAGTGGTGCTGACGGGGGCTCTTTGTCATTCAACCTGTGGCTGCCAGCGTCCGCCGCAGCGCCCTTCTACTCATGGACTTAAGGCGGCCCTGTTGAGAGAAATCTGGAGGATAGCGTTACACTTGGTCCGATGCAAGTTTTTTGTTCCAAGTACGTCTTTTTTTTTTTCCAGCATGCGTTTTAACATTTTATTACTTTGTCATGACATATTTGATGGAACAAGCAGTTGCCAAAACTAGTTTGTAATTAATCTAAACCAGGAGACAAACTTGTTACTACTTTAGTCTTTCTTTGGGTTTCCAGTGGCTGATTAGAAACTGGGCTGCTACTGATAACAGTAAAATGTTTACACGCTACTTTATTTACTGTAACTTACTAAGCTACTTTATTTACTGTAACTTACTATAACTTGTTTTGAATTTTTTTTTCAAAAATTACTCTGGTTTCAACAATTTTTTTATCCCAACCACCAGCCCAGTGAGGTGATGCAAAGACTATGTATCTTCAGTTTTTTAGTTAGGTGTTAAATAGTACCCATAAATTCAAGTCTTACACCCTGGGGCACGACTTTGCCTTCAGATTGCCATAGAAATGACCAACAATTCAAGATATTTAGCACTTAAAACACGTGGTAAGATTTATTATTTACACAGAAGTTGAATATATTTCAGTAATTCATTTTGGTCTTAGGTAGATGCTGTTGTTTCATCAGATTGCAGTTACCATTGTTAAATATGCAAGTTAATGATCTGAGGAGCATTTTGTAAGATTTTTATAGCTGAATAGATTTGAAGGTTTAGTTGTAAGCTTAACGGGATAGACTGTAATGTCCTTAAACAGATTAAAAAGGAAAAAAGTCATATCACTATAGGATGAAAGCAAATGATTAGTATTTCACTAGTTTACATGTTTTAGCCTTTAAATATTAGGGCATATATTAGCCCTGGAAAGGATCCTAATGACCAGCTGATCAGGATCCCTTGTTTTACACATAAGGAAACTGGGGCTGGAGGGATTAAGTGATCTAACATCTTAGGTCTGAAAACTTGTTATGGTTTGGTGGGAACTATGTGTGTCTTTGGACTCATTTTTGTTAGATTGGCACTCCTGATTTTTCTTTAGATTGTAAATTTGGATACAAATTATCTCAGCCTGAAAATAGATTTCTCAGCTCCTTATGTTCTGCATTCCCATCGTGTTTTCAATTCACTTTATAATGCTCACTCCTATGCAAGATTAAGATCTCTGCGTAAATGCCTACATAGCTGTCTTGTTTTTGTTGCAGTTGAGGACTAGGAAGATGGAACTTGGGTATGAGGAAAACAGTCCAGATTGTTGTGAATTTTATATGTTCGGCAATTTGTTATTGGCTACCAGGCACCATGAGAGACTTAGGATTCAGCAGTGAACAAATTTTACCACTTGCCCTCCTAGAGTTATAGTCTAGCTGGAAAACAGATAAATATATAATTGCCACAGCAAATACTCTTTACAAACAAGTAGGTACTGTTATAATAGGGTGGGTACAGGTTCCTGTAGGAACAAATACTGTATTGTGTAGGTGTGAGAAGACACCCAACTTAGTATAGAAGCAATTTGGCTAGACCTCTCTGAGGAAATACTGTTTAACCTGAGACTTGAAGGATGAAAGAGCTAGCCAGGCAAGACAGTGATGATGGGTGGAAAGAACATTCCAGACATGAACACTGAAGCTACACTCAAGAGTACAGGGTGTAATGCAAGAGCTGAATTTTACCAAAGCTAAAGCATAAAAAAGTCAAAGAGAATGGGAAGAGATAGAAGTTGAAGAGATAGACAGTATGAGAAAATGGAGGGCCTTGTAAGCCATTTTAAGGAATCAAGGAGGGTAAAAAAATTAAAGGGATTTTTAAGGGATAAAGGAGGGTAAAAAAATTTTAAAGGAGCGCTCTTGTCTTGAAGCTGATTGAAAGCAGTTGAAGGATTTTCAAGCTGGTGGCTCACGCCTGTAATCCCAACACTTTGGGAGGCCAAGGCGGGTGGATCACTTGAGGTCAGGAGTTCAAGACCAGCCTGGCCAACATGGTGAAACCCTGTCTCTATTAAAAATACAAAAAATTAGCCAGGCATGGTGGCATGCTTCTGTAATCCCAGCTACTTGGGAGGCTGATACAGGAGAACAGCTTGAACCCAGGAGGTGGAGGCTGCAATGAAAACTGAGATCACACCACTGCACTTCAGCTCAGCTCAGGCGACAGAGCAAGACTCTGTTTCAAAAAAAAAAAAAAAAAAAGGATTTTCAGTGGGGCTGGGGATAACCTGATTGGATTTTGTGTTTTAGGAACATCACTTTGGATGCAATATGGAGAACAGGCTGAAAGGAGGCTGTTGGAGTGGTGTGAGACCACAGTGATGGACAAGACAGGATTTGGTAGAGAAACAGACAGGATTTGGTGGAGGATTTGGTGGAGACCAGATGTGGGAGACTGGGAAAGTCAGAGACGTTAAGGATATAACCCAGGTTTCTGGCTTGAACAAATACGAGTTTATTAGGTGGTATTTGTTTGTCTCCATTTAACCAATAGGGACACTAAAAAGTTGTGTGACTAGACCAGGGCTGCTCAGCTTGTAAGGCTTGGAGACAAAATTCAAACTGTTGTTTTCAGTTTTTGTTGGCAACCCCTGAGAATGGTGTTTTTCTTTTTTCCCTTTTGAACAGTTAAGTATGGAAAATTTCAAAACACAAAGAGTTGAGCGACACGATTTCTCTCTTCCCCTATCTACTTTCCCCAGACCCTACTGGATTACTGTGAAGCAAATTCTACAAATGATTTCATTTGTTTTATTTCAATATAGATATCTGAAAGATAACTCTCGAGAAAGTCATAACCACAATGCCATTACCCTACCTTTAAAAATTAACATCGCCAAATATCCAGTCAGTATTCAAATATTCCTCAGTTGTTTTTAAATAATTGGTTGGTTTGATTTGGGGTCCAAACAAGGTAACATATTACATTTGTTTGGGATGTCTCTTAAACTTTTTAATCTATAGGTTCCCTCATCTTAATTATTTTCCTCGTAATGTATTTTCCTTGTAAGGTTGGTGCAAATGTCATTGTGGTTTTTGCCATTACTTTCAATGGCAATTGAAAAACCGCAATTATGTTTGCACCAACCTAATATTTGTTGAAGGAACCAGGCCATTTTTCCTCCGGTTTCTCTCATCCTGGATGTTGATGAATATGTCCCTCAGGTATAGATTTAACATGTCCTAGTTTAATATGTCCCTCTATCCTTTGTATTTCTTGTAAATTGGTAGCTAGATTGAAGACTGAACAAATTTAGTTCAGGTTTGATTTCCGAGTGGGAGTGTTGGGGGAGAGGACAAGTATAATTCCTAGATATTGGTGTGTACTTCCTTCAGGAGGCATATATTTGGTTATCCCTCTTTGTACTACACTAATAGCCTGTTTTCATTATTTCACTAGTGGTTTGCAAGTGGAAATAATTATGCCTTTAATTCTACCATTTATTTTTAATTTAACTAGAATACCTCTATAAAGAGAGGTACAGTTTGAATAGGAAGGACAAGTTAAAGTTTATGTTTTAATACAATATGCTATGTTATTGAGACACTGTCGTTTTCTGGAAATGTATTTAAATGTATTGAGGTATATCCTCTTAAAAGGCCACTATTTTAAGTTGTAAAAGTGTTTTTAGCACTTGATGTTAACATTTCAAATGGCTTTTAGTATTTAGAATATTTAAAATTTTTGTCCTTAAATTTATGGCGTTTCTTTTGGTCTTTCATGCTCTTTCTTGGAGGACTTTGCTGTTCCCACAGCTTTTAGAGAATACCTAGTAGAATCACTACTAAATCCAAATCTTTAGCTATAAAAGGATTCCAGATTGTAAGTTCCTCAAGGACAGGGGTTGAACACTCTTATTGATGATCTGCTTTTCCAGTTGCTTCTTGGGCATTTTGAACTTAATATGTCACTTAAAGCTCATTATCTCTGCCTGTTCTCAACTTTCCTTCATCCTCCAAACCTAGTTTTTTTCTTCTGATTCTACCATTCTTGAAGGTAGCCAGGCTTAAAACCTCTGAATCTTCTTAATATTTCTCCTAGTAGGCCCCCCTGCCCTACCACATGCAGTTGGTGCCAATCTCTTGTCCCTTTTGTTATTTCTCGTCCAACCCCCCACTTTTCATTTGTAATACTGCTACCTAGTTTATATATTTTTCTCTTTGCAGGAAGGGAGTGTTATAGGAGATTTTTACAATGAATGGAAGGACTAGTTTAGGTGGCATGTTTGGTTCCTAGTGTCATCCTGAGAAGAGATTAAAATGCAATAACAATCTTTTTTTTAAAGATAGAATGTATAGAATTTATACATTCTAAATTTATAAATTATAATTTTATAAATCTATAAATTATAATTTATAAATTTATAAATTCACTCTGTCGCCCAGGCTGGAGTACAGTGAAACCATCATGGTTCACTGCAGCCTGTAACTCCTGGGCTCAAGCAGAGCCACCTCAGCCTCTTGAGTAGCTAGGACTACAGGCATGGGCCATAATGCTCAGCTAATTTATTTAAACATTTTTTTAGTGATAGGGTCTCACTATGTTACCCAGGCTGGCCTCAAACTCCTGGCCCCAAGCCATCCTCCTGCCTTGGCATCCCAAAGTGCTGGGATTACAGGTGTGAGCTACCTCACCTGTCTAGCAATAACAATCTTCTGGGATCACAGTATGCATAATGATAAGAAGGGTTCACATCCACCACACCAGTGAGGCAGCTGCATGGGCTGAGCCATTGAAGGGTGTCACTGACCATTTGTCCTGCAGAGTAAGATCCAACTCTGTTGGTTATCTACACTATCATGTTGCTAATCACAACTCATGATATTGTTGAATCTGACTTAATTACAATGACTTAGCCTTAGTATAGGAGAATTTCCTCAAAATCTACTGATATCGTAAGCTATATATTTGATCATTGATTGAAAAATATGTCTTCCTTCTGATTTTGCTCTTCCTACACAAACCTTTTGAAGATTATTGAATGAATGAAAGTCTATACACTGCTGTGGTGTGTTAGACTATTTTGGAGGTAACAGGGCCTTTGTAATTTGTCTTATTGAGTTTTGGAAACCAAAACTTATGTTTGTACTTTATTGACCTGCTCTTCTGTTCCTGTATGAGAAATTTTTATCCTGGGGTCTGCATATTGATCCCCTAAGGTCTATTGAATTCGAGGGGTCTGTGAACTTGTTTGGGGGAAAAATATTATATCTTTTCATTAACCTATAACTAAAACTTGGAATTTCATTCAAATATGAGTGTAGGCAACAAACCATAGTTGTATTAGCAGTACCTGTGACTTTGTCACCAGTAGAAATCATGTACTTCATACCATAATGCAGCTGTTATAGCTATCTTGAAATTGTTTAAGCTTATCACTACCTCAAAATTAGTGTGATTATTAGACCCACTGCTGGATCTTATTTTATTTTTTAAAAGCACATTGTTAATTGCAATTAAAGTATTTTGACAGTTCTATCTTTGCATTTTATTTTATGCATTTAAAAACATTATTCTGTCTGGGCACGTGGCTCACGTCTGTAATCCCAGCACTTGGGAGGCTGAGGTGGGTGGATCACTTGAGCCCAGGAGTTCAAGAGCAGACTGGGCAGCATGGCGAAACCCTGTCTCTATTTGTTTAAGAAAAAAAAATAAAATTATATTAAAAAAAGAAAACATTATTCTGACAAGGGTTCCATAAGTTTTACTAAATGGCCAAAGGAATCCCTGGCACCAGAGTCTAAGGACCCCTGCTCCTAACTTCTTTACTTCTGTTCCAAGGTTAGAATGAAGTTAGCCAGAACCTGTGAAGCAACACGGCACACAGATGCTGATGTCACAGGATTCTACAGAATCATGATGCCATTTCTTGGTTATTGACTTGGTTTTATTTACTAATCATCATAAATTCTGACCTCACAAATGAGAGGGAACAAAATGTTTGTGTATATGCTAACAGAGAATAAAATGATTGTCACAAATTAAGGCATAATAATTTTCCTTTGAGGCCGGGCACAGTGGCTCACGCCTGTAATCCCAGCACTTTGGGAGGCCGAGGTGAGTGGATCACCTGAGGTTGAGAGTTCGAGACCAGCTTGACCAACATGGAGAAACCCTGTCTTTACTAAAAATACAAAATTAGCCGGGCATGGTGACGCATGCCTGTAATCCCAGCTACTTGGGAGGCTGAGGCAGGAGAATCGCTTGAACCTGAGAGGTGGAGGTAATCCCAGCACTTTGGGAGTGCGAGGCAGGCGGATCACAAGGTCAGGAGATCGAGACCATCCTGGCCAACACGGTGAAACCCTGTCTCTACTACTAAAAATGCAAATATTTTACTACTAAAAATACAAAAAATTAACCGGGCATGGTGGTGGGCGCCTGTAGTCCCAGCTACTCGGGAGGCTGAGGCGGGAGAAAGGCGTGAACCCGGGAGGCGGAGCTTGCAGTGAACGGAGATCACGCCACTGCACTCCAGCCTGGGCAACAGAGCGAGACTCTGTCTCAAAAAAATAATAAAATAAAATAAAACACTCATTTGAAAATTGTATATTGGCCGGTGCAGGGGCCATGCCCATAATCCCAGCACTTTGGGAGGCCCAGGCAGGCAGAACACCTGAGGTCAGGAGTTCGAGACCAGCCTGGCCAACATGATGAAACCCTGCCTCTACAAAAATATAAAAATCAGCTGGGCATGATGGCGGTTGCCTGTAATCCCAGCTACTTTGGAGGCTGAGGCAAGAGAACTGCTTGAACCCGGGAGACGGAGGTTGCATTGAGCCCAGATCGCACCATTGCACTCCAGCCTGGGCAACTGAGCAAGACTGTCTCAAAAAAAAAAAAATTGTATATTTTAGGCTAGACTCCATCTAAAAAAAAATATATTGTATATTTCTAATAAAATAACTGACAATTATCTTAATGGCAGCATAGTCTAAGATTTATATCGTTAGCAATTAAAAAGGCTATTTAATGGTGCTGTTTTGAGGTAAGAATGCTGACTTTGATACATTTTTAATGCCTGCAAATATCTTCCCAAAAAGCTTTGCAAGTAAACATTTGAGAATAGTATACCCTGGTTTCTCTTCAGATCACATGAACTTTTCTCTTTTTTTTTTCTCCCCCGCCGCCCCCGGCTGGAGTTTCGCTCTCATTGCCCAAACTGGAATACAGTGGCGTGATGTTGGCTCACTTGCAACCTCCGCCTCCTGGGTTCAAGCGATTCTCTTGCCTTAGCCTCCCAAGTAGCTGGGATTATAGGCGCATACCACCACGCCTGGCTAATTTTTTGTATTTTTAGTAGAGATGGGGTTTCACCATGTTGGCCAAGCTGTTCTCGAACTCCTGACCTCAGGTGATCCGCCCACCTTGGCCTCCCAAAGTGCTGGGATTACAAGCGTGAGCCACCACACCCAGCAAATTTTTCTCCTTTTACTAAAGATTTCCATGGAGAGAATGGTGAATCATGTTTCAGTGCCAAAGAGTACTCAATTTTAATACTCTTTTGTGAGATTTGTCTGTTACTGGTGAAGCAAACAAGAAAACAAAACAACTTAGATCTTTATTGGAGATAATGGGGGAAGTCAAAGATAGCATCATAATGAAGTTCAGACTTACTCAAGGAATTTTTAAACAGTTACTGTTATATACAAGCAGTTATTAGAAAGTTATTAGAAGAGATTAGAGATGTAAATACATATTTAAAATATGGTTTAAAAACGTTTAAAATGAGACTAAAACTTTAAAATGAAATGTTATATTACTTTGTTGTCTCTAGTCCTCAAAGATTTTGTTAATGTAAAACTAAGTAAAATGTTAATTATTTCTGTGAGTGAATAGTTCAATTTAGCTCTTTGCAAGAAAAGGAAAAGCTTTCTCTGTTGTTTATCTTTTTCTTAATGAATTATAATCCACTTATTCTCCCTATTTGGCATCTGATAGTGGAAGTGAAGTAGATTGTAATAGAAATACCATCTATTATTAATATATTCGAATACTCATTTACATTCAAAGTAACATAAATGATATAATCCTGACAACTCACTTATTTGTAACTTTAATCCAGCCAGTACATTTCTTCAAATTCTGGAACAGGGTAGGTTATGTGTTAATAAATTTAAATGGCCCACTTAGATATCGATTTGTTGAATATATTTTGAGTTGCTGTAGAAAATAGAACACATACCATTATTTATTCCAGAATATAATTTAGAATTCTGCCAAGCAAAACATACTATTGATGGACATAGCCCCCAGCTTTCTTTTCTCCATGACATCTCATGTCATTTTATAAAATGTGAAATGGGTCTATATTTGGAAACTCCTGGCCAACCAAGAAATAAATTAATATGTGAAAGGGACATAGGACTCTCAACTTAGGTAGTAGCCAGTTTTTCAGTCTGTGAGAAGAAGGCAAAAATGAAGCATTAAAAAAGGCAAAATTTGCTGGTGTAATAATAGCTCAGAAAACAAGATAGATAAGTTCTTTGTGCCAAGAATAGCTCAGAAAACAAGATTGATAAGTTCTTTCTCCCAGCGCTTTGGGAGGCTGAGTTGGGTGGATCATCTGAGGTCAGGAGTTCAAAATTAGCCTGACCAACATGGCGAAACCCCTTTCTACTAAAAATACAAAAAATAGCTGGGCGTGGTGGTGCATGCCTGTAATCCCAGCTACTTGGGAGGCTGAGGCAGGAGAATTGCTTGAGCCCGAGGGGCGGAGGTTGCAGTGAGCCGAGATAGTGCCACTGCACTACAGCCTGGGCGACAGAGCGAGACTCCCTCTCAAGAAAAACAAACAAACAAAACAGAACAAAACAAAAACTTTTCTGCTTCTTTCACTGTAGAGAGCAGTAGATCTAGAAAGCATTACATCACTGAGAGGTTTTTTTTTCTGGTTTCATATTTTTCTCTACTTCTCAAAAACTGGGAAAATTAGATTACTTGAAGTTCATCTAATGCTAATATTTGGATGAGATATAGGGATTTTTTTTTTTAACTCAAGTGGATCCGCCTGCCTTGGCCTCCCAAAGTGCTGGGATTACAGGTGTGAGCCACTGTGCCCAACCTACTCTTAGTTTTTTAATATTGCTGTGGCCATGGTTGTTAGTTGAAGATACTTTTGCCACAAAATGCAGTGAAAGAGTGAAAAAATAACCCTTTGTTACACTGTGGTAGGAAGAAGAAATTGGTAGAATCTTAACAGCAAGTTGGCAATATGAATAAAAAATAGAATTTGCAGAAATTCTTTGTCTAAAATTATATCCTAAATTTCTAGTTTTCCACAGTAGTGTGGAAAATACTATAAAAGGAAAAAAGAATGTAGCAACCTAAATGTGCAACAGTAGGTTTTTTTGTTTTGTTTTTGAGACAGAGTTGTGCTCTTGTTGCCCAGGCTGGAGTCCAATGGCATGATCTTGGCTCACCTCAATCTCCGCCTCTGGGTTCACGTGATTCTCCTGCCTCAGCTTCCCTAGTAGCTGAGATTACAGGCGTGCGCCACCATGCCTGGCTAATTTTGTATTTTTAGTAGAGATGGGGTTTCTCCATGTTGGTCAGGCTGGTCCTGAACTCCCAACCTCAGGTGATCTGTCTGCCTCGGCCTCTCAAAGTGCTGGGATTACAGGTGTGAGCCACCGCACCTGGACAACAGTAGGTAATTTTTTTTTTTCTTTTTTTTTTTTGAGGCCGAGTCTTGCTCCATCGCCCAGGCTGGAGTGCAGTGGCACGATCTCGGCTCACTGCAACCTCCGACTCCCGGGTTCAAGTGATTCTCCTGCCTCAGCCTCCCAAGTAGCTGGGATTACAGGCACCCGCCACCATGCCCAGCTAATTTTCATATTTTTAGTAGAGACGGGGTTTCACCACGTTGGCCAGGCTGGTCTCAAGCTCCTGACCTCAGGTGATCCACCCGCCTCGGCCTCACAAAGTGCTGGGATTACAGGCGTGAGCCACCATGCCCGGCCAACAGTAGGTAATGTTTTAAAGTATAATACATCCATAGACCAGAATGCTGTTCTTCAAAAACAGCATTGTGGAACTAGACACATCAAAAAATGTTTCCGGCCAGGCACAGTGGCTTATGCCTATAAGCCCAGCACTTTGTGATGCTGAGGCGGGTGGCCTGAGGTCAGGAGTTTGAGACCGCCATGGCAAACAGGGCGAAACCCTACCCTTACTAAAAATACAAAAATTAGGCAGGCACGGTGGCAGGCACCTGTAATCCGAGCTATTTAGGAGGCTAAGGCAGGAGATTCGCTTGAACTTGGGAGGTGGAGGTTTCAATGAGCCGAGATCACGCCACTGCACTCCAGCCTGGGTGACAGAGAGAGACTCCGTCTCAAACAAAAAAAAAAAAAAAAAAGAGGCTGGGTGCAGTGGCTCAGGCCTGTAATCCCAGCACTTTGGGAGGCCGAGACGGGCAGATCATTTGAGGTCAGGAGTTTGAGACCAGCCTAGCCAGCACGGTGAAACCCCATGTCTACTAAAAATATAAAAAGTAGCCAGATGTGGTGGCGCCCACCTGTAATCCCAGCTACTCGTGGGGCTTAGGTATGAGAATGGCTTGAACCTGGGATGCAGGGGTTGCAGTGAGCCAAGACTGCACCACTGCACTCCAACCTCAGCGACAGAGCGAGACTCCGTCAAAAAAAAGGAAGTTTCTGATATTAATGGAAAATGTCTATTAAGCAGCATATACATACATATTCCATATTTATGTTTATTCATATGCATGACTATCATAAAAGGAAGTCAGGATTTACATCAAAACATAAATAACTTTAAATGAGGATGGTAGAATGACAGGTAAATTTTATTTTCTATTCACACATATCTTTTAATTTTTCTATAACACACATGTATAACTTGTCATGTTTTAAAACTACTACTTTGTGGGGCTTTGTTTTTCGTTTTTTGAGACGGGTTCACTCTGTTGCCCAGGCTGGGGTCCAGTGGCGTGATCTTGGCTCATGCAATTTCCACCTCCTGGGCTCAAGTGATCCTCAGCCTCCCATGTAGCTGGGACCACAAGTGTGTGCCACCACTGCTGTCTAATTTTTTGTATTTTTTGTAGAGACAGGGTTTCGCCATATGGCCAAGGCTGGTCTTGAACTCCTGGACTCAGGTGATCCTCCCGCCTCTGCCTCCCAAAGTGCTGGGATTACAGGTGTGAGCCACCATACCTGGCCATATTTTCTTTACTATCAGGTAATACATGTTCATTGGAACAAGTCAGTCAACATAGTTATATGGAAAGAGCATATTAACTCCCCTTCTCAACCTCCAGCAATATGGCATTTTAAGTATGCCTATTAGAACATATTTATTTAATTAATTTGTTTACCTATTTACTTTCTTTCTTTCCCAGAATCTAAGCTCCATGAAGGCAGGGATTATGTCTGTCTCTTTTTCTCTTTTACTGCCTTTACTCCAGGCACTCAGATTTGTTGAATGAATGGCCAAAAAGTTTGGTGTATATCCTGATATACTTTTTAAAAATGATGATACAGTTGTATGGTGTGTAATTTTTTAAATCTTAGTTTGCAATCTTTTTTTTTTTTTTTTTTTTTGAGATGGAGTCTCATGCTGTCACCCAGGCTAGAGTGCAGTGGTGTGATCTCGGCTCACCACAACCTCCGCCTCCTGAGTTCAAGTGATTCTCCTGCCTCAGCCTCCTGAGAAGCTGGGATTACAGGCGCCCACCACCATGCCCGGCTAATTTTTGTATTTTTAGTAGAGACGAGGTTTTGCCATGTTGGCCAGGCTGGTCTCAAACTCCTGACCTCAGGTGATCCACCCGCCTTGACCTCCCAAAGTGCTGGGATTACAGGCGTGAGCCACTGCGCCCAGCCGGTTTGCAATTTTAATTGCAAAAACAATACGATGAAGTTTGATAATTTAGGACATTGATATTTGATCTTCTTTGGCTATTATCCTAAAATATTGCCCTTCTACAAATCTTTCTTTGTTAGCTAACAAAGTATACCCCATTCTTCCTTTCCACTCACTGCAGCCTCCGCCTTCCAGGTTCAAGAGAGTCTTCTGAGTAGCTGGGACTCCGGGCGCACGCCACCATGCCCGGCTAATCTGTGGTGCTTTTAGTAGACACTGGAAAATTCCGGTTTTCAATTTAAAATGAATGGGTCACTATCTTTTGAAAAAAGTTGTACTGATGTGGGTACTTATCCCAAAAGTAAGTGATCCATTTTATACCCCCACACCTTTCTTATATAATAGCCTCATTCTCCCTAAATAAAATCATGCTTATTTGGTTGAACAAATGATGTAAGTCATTTTCTTACAAGGAGAATTAAGAGTGTTTGCTACTAGATTCAGATTATTTAACATAACGTTGGCTGAGATTGACAAAAGAGGATTAAATAAGTAAATATATACACACAAGTGCGTGCATATATGTATATCTATGTTCATTACCTTTAAGTTTGCATGCTAGTTTGCCCATTTACAAATATGTTCACTTCATCAGTTCTCTATACTACTTTAATCCTCCTCATATCTAAAACAACTACTGTACAAGAGGATTAGGATTGGGGTCACAATAGTAGCATCATAGGGTATTGTAGAGTATTAAAGTCAAGTCAAATTAATTGGAATTATATATCAACATATGCCCAGTAAATACAAATGAAGATTGATTCTTACTCAGGCATATTGTATCTTAATGAAATTTAGTTGAAGTTGCAAATAGAAAGCCAACATTTTCCATTTGTTTATTTTTCATTGAAACAGCTTGACTGGCTTTGTTCATGATATAGCAAAAGTAGCTCTTAATGCTGGTTAGCAGAAACATTGATTGCCAGGCAGCTGTCTAGGAAAACTTAAACCCATTTCACCTAACAAGCCAGAAATATTTATAATACATGTTATTTGGTAGTTAAATCCCATTCTCTGGAAATTTCTTAAGGCTGGTTCTTTATGTCCACATGCCTTCATGTTACTTGAACTTTGTTTATGCCTTTTCAAAAAATTTCAGCATTGAAGCTTTGCTCAGCTGACTCAGTTGGACTAATATTTAGCAAAGATTCTTCACCAAAAGTCATTCACAAGGTAGAAAAGTGTCATACTGGCCTGGCACAGTGGCTCACGCCTGTAATCCCAGCATTTTGGGAGGCTGAGGTAGGCTGATCACCTGAGGTCAGGAGTTTGAGACCAGCCTGGCCGTCATGGTAAAACCCTGTCTGTACTAAAAATACAAAAATTAGCTGGGCATGGTGGCACGCGCCTGTAATCCCAGCTACTTGGGAGGCTGAGGCAGGAGAATTGCTTGAACCCAGAAGGTGGAGGTTGCAGTGAGCCAAGATCGCACCATTGTACTCTAGCCTGGGCAACCAAGAGTGAAACTCCATCTCAAAAAAAAAAGGGGGTCATACTTGAACTGCAGTGGACAGAGAGAGGTGTCAGAAAGGCTGGAAATTAAGGGATATTGTTTATGCTGGAGAAACCCTCCTCTCAACCTCCTTCTGTCTTACTTTAGGTGGTGAAAGGGCCCTGAGATCTTACAAACACTCTCCATTTCATCACGTATCACAAATTTAGCACATGCTATATTTACTTGAAACAAAACAGGGCTTTTCTAGATCACAGTAGAGATGAGGACAGTTACAAATGTTAGCTTTCGTATGTTTTATGGTCCTGTAGACTCCTGACAAGTGTGCATTGCGAGCTTTCTTGTTAGGAAAAACTTTGGACAAATTTCTGGTTTGGAGAATGCTCTCCAAGAATACGTATGGTATTTAGGACTACAAGAAGATGTGGGCCAGGCATGGTGGCTCACACCTGTAATCCCAGCACTTTGGGAGGCCAAGGCAGGCGGATGACCTGAGGTCGGGGGTTTGAGACCAGCCTGACCAACATGGAGAAACCCCGTCTCTACTAAAAATACAAAAATTAGCCAGGTGTGGTGGCAGCATGCCTGTAATCCCAGCTACTTGGGAGGCTGAGGCAGGAGAATTGCTTGAATCCAGGAGGCGGAGGTTGCGGTGAGCCAAGATCGTACCATCGCACTCCAGCCTGGGCAGCAAGAGCGAAACTCTGTCTCAAAAAAAAAAAAAAAAAAAAGGTGTGAAGAGGTCTATAGGGGATAAACTTGATAAGCCAAAGAACTCTTTTTTTATACTACATCATTATTTATTTATTTATTCAACTTTTATTTTAGATTCTGGGGTACATGTGCAGGTTTTTTACAAAGGTATATTGCATGATGGTAAGGTTTGGAGTACAATTGAACCCATCACCCAGGAAGTAAGCATAGAACCCAATAGGTAGTTTTTCAACCCTTTGCCCCTCTTCACTTCTCCCCCATCTTGTATTCCCCAGTGTCTATTGTTCCCATCTTTATGTCCATGTGTACCCAAAGTTTAGCTCACACTTATAAGTGAGAAAAATATTTGGTTTACTGTGTTAGTTTGCTTAGGATAATGGCCACCATCTTCATGTTGTTGCAAAGGACATGATTTTGTCTAAAGAACTCGTAAAGGAAAGTGAATTATTATTTTGTTCTATAATAGAATTTTTGCATGTTCTTTTTTAACTGACTAAAAATAGTAAATTTGACATCCTTGATCAAAATTATTTTAATAAGAAGTATGTGCATACTTTTTATCAAAGTATAAAATATATATTATTTAAATAGAGCCTAAATGATGTACAGTGAAAAATAGTGTATTCTGCACCATCTCTGACCATCCTTTCCAGTATACATATATATCAGCTTTTTTCTATAATTAATACATCCCTGTTATACATCAGAATTTACTGTAGTGCTGAAAAAAACATTGTCTAACCTGATTCTGATTCAGTTGAATGCACCAAGATGATATGCAGTCTGAATAAACCATTAGGTATCAATTTAGTCACGTTTGTGATCAAATTGAATTAATGATTTAAAAAAACAGCCGTTCTCAAAGTGTGGTTTTTTTGGATCCTTCAAGGACCTCAAGACTCTCTCACGATTGAGGTCTTTAGATTTCACTTAAACTAATCATCATGAAACTATCAGCCGGGCCGTGACTGATGCCTGTAATCCCAGCACTTTGGGAGGCGGAGGCCGGCGGATCACTTGAGCCCAGCCCAGGCGTTCAAGACCAGCCTGTGAAACACGGCAAAACTTCATCTCTACAAAACATACAAAAATTAGCCAGGCATGGTGTCTCATGCCTGTAATCTCAGCTACTCGTGAGACTAAGGTGGGAGGATCACTTGAGCCCAGGAGCTACAGTGAGGCACTGCACCACTCTACTCCAGCCTGGGTGACACAGCGAGACACTGTCTTTAAAAAAAAAAAAAAAAAAAAAAAAATCACCCATCAGGTTTTGGTGTAGTATCAAAGAGGAATATCCTCAATTATCTGAAAATGCTATTAAAATACTCCCTTTTCCAAATACATTTCTGCCTTGGAACAAAAACTTTGAGATTTGTTGTCTTTTTGTGCCAGGGGATGGGCAGGGGCGGGGAGTGGAGGGAGTATGAGGCTGAGTTTTTGTTTAGAATGATGAAAGAAATAATACATAACTCATTTTAAAAAGCTGACAAATGCAGGGCACGGTGGCTAACGCCTGTAATCCCAATACTTTGGGAGACCGAGGTGGGTGGATCACCTGAGGTCAGGAGTTCAAGACCAGCCTGGCCAACATGGTGAAACCCCTTCCTACTAATAATACAAAAATTAGGCCGGCATGGTGGCACATGCTTGTAATCCCAGCTACTCAGGAGACTGAACCAGGAGAATCACTTGAACCTGGGAGGCAGAGGTTGCAGTGAGCCGAGATCATGCCATTGCACTCCAGCCTGGGCGACAAGACCAACTATATGTATTTTCCACATTTTCTTAATCTGTTCCTCCGTAGATGGACATTTAGGTTGCTTCCATATCTTGGCTATTGTGAAAAATGCTGCAGAGAACATGGGAGTGTGCAGGTAATCTCTTTGAGATCCAGATTTCAGTTCCTTTGGATATATACCCAGAAGTATGACTGCTAGATCAAATGGTAATTGTATTTTTAATTTTTTGAAGAATCTTCATATTGTTTTGCATAACAGCTACACCAGTTTATATTCCCTCCAACAGTGTACATGGGTTTCCTTTTCTCCACATCCTTACCAATTCTTGTTCTTTGGAAATCTGCTGTCTTTAAAAAGAAATACGTTGGCCGGGCACGGTGGCTCACGCCTGTAATCCCAGCACTTTGGGAGGCTGAGGCGGGTGGATCACGAGGTCAGGAGTTCGAGACCAGCCTGGCCAACATGGTAAAACCTGTCTCTACTAAAAGTTAAAAAAAAAAAAACTGGGCATGGTGGCGTGTGCCTGCAATCCCAGCTACTGAGGAGGCTGAGGCAGGAGAATCGTTTGAAACCGGATGGCGGAGGTTGCAGTGAGCCGAGATCGCGCCATTGTACTCCAGCCTGGGCAACAGGGCAAGACTCCATCTCAAAAAAGAAAAAAAGGTAAAAAAAAAAAAAAGAAATGCTTTCTATTTATTGGTAGAGTGGTCTATGTAAATAATTTTAAACTGTAAATTATTAACTAAAATACTGATTTTTTTAGGGATTATAAATATGAATTAAAAGCAAGGTCTAAAATCAATTATCATAAACAGAATTCTGAAAGATAGGCCTAAAATCCTTCTTTAAGCATTCGAGTTAGCAAGTTGTTAATTTCTCTTATAAGCATAATATATTTAACTTCTTGTAATGTGGATAGGATTTTCCCAGAATGGCAGGGTAGGTAAAGAGAGTTGGAAGTTTGCAGAGACAGGTTTATATTTTTTAAGATTCTTTATATGCAGTTTGATCAAAATTATGCATTTCGTAATTGCTGAGTGTTTGGCTAGCCAGATCCAGTAGTTACATTCCTTCTTTGACTAGCGCTTTCTGCTTGATTTTTTCATTGTTTTGGTTTCCTCAATGTATTCAGTTTCAAAGTGGAAAAGAAACGAAAGTGAGGTTTCCTAGACTTTGAATCTTGGGAGTTAACTTGGGACAGGTGGTTCTGTAAACCATGAAGCTGCATTAGGGCTAGTTACAGAGAACAACAGGTTATCTACTTTAGCAGCAATAGCTTCAGGAAATCAGCCTTTCTGGATTTGAATGTTTCCATGTGTTTGAAACCTAAAACTAGTTTACACTCATTAACAGATTATTTTAAGGTTATTGGTTTTAGATACTTTCTGCTTCTTTTAAGTTCACAAACTGGTCATTGTCATTTTAGGAAAAGACAGTGGCTTCATTTTAAATGTTGATGAGGAAAGTGTACAGAACATGATGAATACTATTTTCAAGGCTTTTGTAGCTCTTCTCTTTGGGAGTGGGGCAAGGACATGGCAGGTATGGAGCACAGCTTCGGCTTTCCAGATTAGTTTACTAGCACAATTCATGAGAGTTACGAGAAAAAAATATCAGAAAATCTAGAAGGTGATTCTTATCACCGTCATTGCCAAGAAAAGTTAGGGTTATTGTTTTCTATCATCCTTTAGAAGATGAATTAATGAAGAATTTTTCTCATTACCCTATCACTTTGTTTTTTAGTCTCCCCATCACTCTTGGGCAGTAATAGCTAAGCTGATAGGAAAGCTACTGTGCATATTGTAAGGATTAAAATCTTAAACTTTAGTCCCTTTTAGCCTCTGGGCTTTAGCATACAAAGAATGCATGTGCTCTGCTTTCTCAAGGGAACTCTGAGTACTCTGCAAGGGGGCCTGCTCTCATAATTTACTTTTTGAATGAGCCCTTCTGTTTATAGCTGAGATTTGCCAGTTAAAAAAGGAAATAATATGCTTAGATAATATTAACTGACTTTTTTTTTTCAGTTATGTACCATCAGTATTTTTAAGTTAACAGGGATAGCCATTTGTCAGGTGGTGGCAGAATTGTGTTGAATCTGTGTGTGGTTTTTTGAAGTGTTCTGTTTTTCATAATGATTTTGCATGCTCTTATTTCTTATACTTTCTTATTTCCTTTTAAATTTTTCTAAAGTTTCTTGAGGCTTTAAATCTAATTTTGGCACTGTGGAATAAGGTATTAACTTGATGAGGCAAGCTTTAGTGACTAAAAATTGTAACTGCCTTAATTGGGACAAATCATAGCTGGCAGCTAAACTCAAAGTTTAATCACGTCCAGCACGTATTAGCTGTTCTAGTCAGAGCTTGATGTGTTAAACAGCCCTACTGTCTGTGTGTGGGTGTTCTATGTGTGTAAATATTCTGAGATGAATTAATCTTTTTAGTGGTTCTTTGAAATTTTTTAAGTGTTCTCTTTTTTCATACTTAGAAGAAGAAAAAGCTCATAAAATCAATGCCTGCAGCAGTTTTATTTAACATCATTTTAGAATTCAGGCTGTTGCTGTTAGCAGAGCTGACCTGTTAAATAGCTTTTAATCATATTCATTCCAGTAGAAATTTTAGGAAACCTTAACTTGTAAATATTTTTATCTCACCCAAATCCTAGGTAGATGAAATGCCCTAGGACAAAGACCTTCAATTTTTAAACTGGGTTATATTTTTGAAGGAATTATTCTGCACATCCTCAGGTTGAGAGATAACCTTAGCTAAAAATTACCTCTTGAGAATGGATGCCTGATCTCTACTTTTTCTTTTCCAACTTGAGTTATCCAAAAGCCTTTTACTCCCACTACAAAAGAGAGGTGTATCTCTTATTCATCCCATTTCTTATGGTGGTTCACTGTCCTAAGCAATAAAAATCTCAAAGGAAGGGAAAATTCCAGAATGCATAGTCCTAGAGAGAGTCCCATGATAGAAATCCAAAAAGAGATTAGGTCAGAAATATTGGAGAATATTGAAAAATTATTTCATCTGGACAACAAACTCCTGCCTTCTCCTTTTTTTTTTTTTTTTTTTTTTTTGAGACAGAGTCATGCTGTGTCACCTAGACTGAGCAACCTCTGTCTCCCAGAGTCAAGCAATTCTCCTGCCTCAGCCTCCCAAGTAGCTGGGATTACAGGTGCCTGCCGCCATGCCCAGCTAATTTTTGTATTTTTAGTAGAGTTGGGGTTTCACCATTTTGACCAGGCAGGTCTCGAACTCCTGACCTCAAGTGATCCACCCGCCTCGGCCTCCCAAAGTGTTTGGATTACAGGCATGAGCCACTGCCCCCGGCTGCCTTCTCTAAGTTAGAATTATTATTATAAAAATGAGATAGTTATCACAGAGATGTGTATCAACACATTTATTTGAATTAAAATGAAGTGTGCTTTTGTTTAACAGAAATCTCTTTTACTTGATTGGTTTGAAAATGAGGACTGGCCAGCTATTTCCTGTAAGTTACATCACCTTAATCTTAAGTTACATCACCTTAATCTTTAGTGCCAAACACAGCTAAAGTACAGAAGAAACCATCCAGAATGAAGTTCAGAGAAACAAAGGAATGAATGATAACATGACAACATAGAAGGGAGAGTAAGAGAGTAGATAGCATGGGAAGGTCCAACCCATATCCAGTTGGAGTCTGAGAAAAGTGAAAAGAGAGAATGGGGGAGAAGCAATATTTGAAGACATAATAGGTGAGAATTTTTCAAAATTGTCAGGAAGACTGTTTTGTCAGTATGAATATTTGTTAGCTGAGTCATCTGTATTTTCTAAGTAGTTGTCTTCTAAGATTTTTCTCTTTATCTTGTTTTCTCAAACTGAGGATTTATATTGTTCATCAAGTCTATAATATCCTTAGTCATTAACCCTTAGTCATTTACCCAGACAGTTGTCTCTTCTCCATTCTCTATTCTCTTTTTCCAAAGTCCCATTAGATAAATGTCAGATCCTCCCATTCTAAAGCCTTTCTTTCATAGCTTCAGAATGACACTCCCCTGAATTCTGACTAATCTCTTCAAACCTATTCTTAAGGTTTACTGACTCTGTATATAGCTACATCCAGTCTTCCAGTTAATGTGTTATTAATTTCACTGACTTTACTTTTTTTTTTGAAGCGGAGTCTTGCCGTGTCACCAGGCTGTAGTACAGTAGTGCAATCTCAGCTCACTGCAACCTCCCAGGTTCAAGCGATTCTCCTGCCTCAGCCTCCCAAGTAGCTGGAATTACAGGCATGTGCCACCATGCCTGGCTAATTTTTGTATTTTTAGTAGAGATGGGGTTTCACCATGTTGGCCAGGCTGTTCTCGAACTCCTGACCTCAGGTGATCCACTCTCCTCGGCCTCCCAAAGTGTTGGGATTACAGGCACAAGCCACCATGCCTGGCTAACTTTACTTTCCATTTCTAGTTCTATTTCAAATCAATTAATCTTCTTCTATGGATCTTTTTTAGAGAAAGACATAATTTTAGAGAAATACACAGTTTTTTCTAATGTTTTAAATGCCTTGTTTTATGTCTTTAGTCATTTAAATATTCATATTGCTATGCCTATAGTTCCTGAGTGTCTAATCCAACTGTGTTAGATTGGCATTGCGTTTGCTCACGGTTAATTGGTTCTTGATGTGTTCACAATTGTGAGCTTATGTTTGGCAGGCCTTTGTGGGAAATCTTTGCTAGCAAAATCAAATATAGTGTATCTCTGGAAGAACAACAAAGATATTCTACAGATAATTCCCTGCCAAGCATGAGCTCACACTGGCCTGAGTTGTGAATTCTCAGAAGAATCTTCTGTCCTCCTCTTGTCTCCTTTTCTTTATCCTCATCTTTGTCTTCTTCCTCTTTCTTTTAACCGTCTAGATAACTAAGACAAAGAAGTTTGCCTGCCCTCTCCTTTTGCTTCTGTATTGTCTCCCTGTGCCACAGAACAAATTTTATTCCCCTTGTCACTGTCCTTGGACTTTCTTTTGGTTTTGATCAGCTTTATTGAGGTATAATTGACATAATAAAATTTACTAACTTGAATGTATACTTTGATGAGTAACTGTCACCATCATGATAATAAAGTATTTCCATTTACCCTAAAAGTTATCTCATACTGCTTTGCAGTCAGTCTCCTCTCCCCAACCCCTGGTAGCCACTGATCTGTTTTCTATCCCTTATCTAAAATGCCTGGGATAAAATGTGTTCTGGATTTCAGATTTTTTCAGATTTTGGAATATTTGCAGTTACTTAAGCAGTTGAACATCCCTAATCCAAAAATCCAAAATTCGAAATGTTCCAATGAGTATTTTCTTTGAGCATCATGCTGGTGTTCAGAAAGTTTCAGATTTTGGGTTTCATATTTTCAGATTAGAGAAATGCTTGACCTGTGCTAGAATTTTGCCTTTTCTACAATTTAATATAAATGTGACCATATAGAATACAATCTTTTGTCTAGCTTTTTTTTCCTACTTAACAGAACGCTTTTAAAATTCATCCATGTTATCGCATGCATCAGTAGTTCCTTTTTATTGCTGAGTAGTATTCTATTATATGGCTGTACCATTGTTTATCCATTCATTTGTTGATGGACATTGGGTTGTTTTCAGTTTTTGGCTATTATGCATCAAGCTGCTAGAGAATTTTTTATATAAATCCTGGGTGATACCTGACACTGTAATGGCTGGCTCATATGTTAAATATATCTATAACTTTATAAGGAACTGCCAAAATGTGTTCCAAGGGACTGTAACATCAGCAATATGAGAGTTCCATTGGCTTTATAACCCCACAAAGTCATGGAATTATCTGTCTTATTTTTAGTAGGTATGTATTAGATTGTGATTTTAATTTGCATTTTTAAATAACCAACGACATTCAGCATCTTTACATGTGCTTGTTTATCATTCATGTATCTTTGGTGAAGCACCTGTTTAGATCTTTTGCTTTTTTTTTAAGCTGGGTGATTTGCCTTTTTGCTATCGTTGTGCAAGTTCTTTTTATGTTCTGGGTATGTCTTTTCTTGAGTATATTATTTTGCATATATTTTGAAGTCTAATTTTAAAACTTTTTTTTTTTTTTTTTTGAGACGCAGTCTCGCTGTGTCGGCCATGCTGGAGTGCAGTGGCGTGATCTCAGCTCACTGCAACCTCCGCCTCCCGGGTTCAAGCGAGCGATTCTCTTGCCTCAGCCTCCCGAGTAGCTGGGACTACAGGCACACGCCACCACACCCAGCTAATTTTTGTATTTTTAGTAGAGACAGCCAGGTTGATCTCAAACTCCTGACCTCGTGATCCTCCCGCCTCAGCCTCCCAAAGTGCTGGGATTACAGGCGTGAGCCACTGCGCCCGGCCAACTTTTTTTATAGTTGTTTCTTTATGTTCCTTCAGAAATCTTTGCTTGATTTAAATATTGAGTCTTTCAGTCCGAGAGGATAGGTTATCTATTTTAACTTCTCAGTATTATAGTTTTCAGTGTACATATCTCATACATCTTTTGTGAGATTTATTTCTATATAGTTTACCATTTACAATAGCATTTAAAAATGTTTTCATATTTGGATTGTTCATTGTTAATATATAGAAATACAATTGATTTCTGTGTATTGATGTTGTATCCTAAGACCTAGTCAAATTCACTTATTTGATGTTCCTTAGGGTTTTCTTTATACATATCTGTCATCTGAATAAAAACAACTTTATTTATTATTTATTTTTTAGAGACAGGCCTTTTTTTTTTTTTTTTTTTGCGACGGAGTCTCCCCTTGTCACCCAGGCTGGAGTGCAATGGCGCGATCTCGGCTCACTGCAACCTCTGCCTCCTGGGTTCAAGCGATTCTCCTGCCTCAGCCTCCCAAGTAGCTAGCACATACCACCATGCTTGGCTAATTTTTTGTATCTTTAGTAGAGACGGGGTTTCACCATGTTGGCCAGGCTGGTTTTGGATTCCTTACCTTGTGATCCGCCCGCCTCAGCCTCCCAAAGTGCTGGGGATTACAGGTGTGAGCCACCGCACCTGGCCGAGACAAGGTCTTGCTCTGGAGTGCAGCAGCATGATCATAGGTCACTGTAACCTCAAATTCCTGGGCTCAAGTGATCCTCCCACCTCAGCTTCCCAAGTAGCTAGGACTACAGATGTGTACCACCACACCCAATTTTTAAACAATTTATGTAGAGGTAGGGTCTCGCTGTGTTGTCCAGGCTGTTCTTGAATTTTTGTCCTCAAACGATTCTCCTACATTGGTCTTCCAAAGCATTGGAATTATAAGTGTGAGCCACTGCACCTGGCCTATTTTATTTCTTCTTTTCCATTCTTTATGCCTTTTGTTTCTTTTTCTTGCCTGCATGCACTGGCTAGAACCTATAGTAGAATGTTGTGTATAAGTGGTGAGTATATCCTTGCTTTTCAGGAAACTTCTTGTATGGAGCTATTTTCATCATACTCCCGCAATGTCCAGTGTCCTAAATTGTATTTGAAGTGTTCATAGGGGTTGGAAGGAACAGTGTTTTGGAGTTGAGTGCTAATATTATGAAGAAGCGTTTGTGTTATAGACTAAAGAACATGGTAGTCAAGAGTGAACTTGTCATCTCTGACCTGTGTTCATTGCTGTAATATAGTCTGAGTGGAAGTACTTTGAAATGGACCTGCTAACATACAGGATAAGTTGTAATATAGGGTGGAAGTTGGCTTAAAGTAAAGGAGACCTTCATGAGAAAACAGGTAACCTACCACCAAACGCTCACTCCCACCTGCCCCTTATTAAAATCTTATTAGAAAATGTAACAGAAGGTTACATTTTCTAACCATGCTATTCATTATTCATTAGTACTAAGTGAATTCAAGACAAAGGAGTTATCTTTGATTTAAAACTACTTTTTTTTTTTTTTTTTTTTTTTTGAGACAGAGTATTACTCTGTCGCCCAGACTGGAGTGCAGTGGCATGATCCCGGCTCACTGCAACCTCCGCCTCCCGGGTTCAAGGATTCTCCTATCTGAGCCTCCCTAGTAGTTGGGACTACAGTCGCATGCCACCATGCCTGGCTAATTTTTGTATTTTTAGTAGAAATGGGGTTTCACCATATTGATAAGGTTGGTCTCGAACTCCTGATCTCAGGTGATCTACCTACCTCTGCCTCCCAGAGTGCTGGGATTACAGGTGTGAGCCACTGCGCCTGGCCTAAAACTACCATCTTTTGACATCATATATATATTTATGATTTTAACTGTATTGGCTAGCTGTTGTTTAGGAGTTTCTTGTCATATAATGCGGAAAAATACCTTGAATCAAAGCTATTAAGATAAAAGGAAACTTTTCTGAGATAATTCCCCAGCCTGTTAAGTGAAAATTTTCGGTGTTCAGAATTATCTTTTTTTTTGTAAATTGCTACATATCTAGTGAGTCAGGCACCCACTTCCTAGTATGTTAAGTCAGCCATAAATAAGAGAATGAAAAGAGTATGGAAGAATATATTTTGGAAAAGGTAAAAAACTTATAAAGGCTATATTAAAACCTGTAGCATTGGGGCTGGGAGTGGTGGCTCATGCCTGTAATCCCAGCACTTTGGGAGGCCAAGGTGGGTGGATCACCTGAGGTCAGGAGTTCGAGACCAGCCTGGCCAACATGGCCAAACCCCGTCTCTACTAAAAATACAAAAATCAGTCAAAGGTGATGGCGTGTGCCTGTAGTCCCAGCTACTCGGGAGGCTGAGGCAGGAGAACCGCCTGGGAGGCAGAGGTTGTAGTGAGCCAAGATCTTGCTATTGCACTCCAGCCCGGGCGACAGAGTGAGACTCTGTCTCAAAAAAAAAAAAAAAAAACCTAAAATGTTTGTAGGTTATGTATTATGTGTTATCTTAGGTTAAGCAGATAAGTCAAATGGGGCATTTGGTTATCTAAGTAATTTAAGGAATTATGATGTTAACTGATTTATTGAAAGGGATTTATTTCAATTATGATTTCTTAAGTGGTGAGAAGCTATTTTCCTTTAAGCTACAAAAAATTATGGGCAATACTATGACTCTAAAGCTTTTTCTGATAATGTCTTTAAAAGAAGATAATGTCTATTGGATAAGTAACATTAAAAAAAATTCATTTACTCGAGAGCTAGGTGTAAAGTTCTGAAGGAGAAAAACACTTTTTTTTTTCCTCTTACACAGTCAACACTCAGCACATCACAAAACACTACTGTAACCAGAAGTGTGGGGGTTTTTTTCCCCCACATATACCAAGCAATTGTAGGAGACACCAACTGGGTGTCCCGTAATTCAATTCAATTTTGACTTCAGCTACCTGGAGTTAGATCGCAGGTTAAGGCCTCAGTTGCACAAGACTAAGGCCCTTACTTCACATGCCAATCATACATAAGTAGTAGCTTGTCACCTGTACTTGTGACTCACCAGCTATAAATCGGGTTACCACTACCCCTCTCCTTGGGTTTGATTAATTTGCTAGGAAGGCTCACAGAACTCAGGGAAACGCTTACTAATATTTGCTGGTTTATTATAAAGGATACTTTAAAGGATACATGTGAAAGCCAGATGAAGAAGTACATAGGGCAAAGTCTGGAAGGGTCCCCAAGTACAGGAGCCTCTTCCCCCGTGGAATTGGGGTATGCTATCCTCCCTGCACATGGATGCAATGACCAACCTGGAATCTCATCAGGTCTCTTGTTTACCAATTTATTTATGTATTTACTGAGACAGGATCTTGCTCTTTCACCCAGGCTGCAGTGCAGTGGTGCAATCACAGCTCCCTGCAGCCACTACCTCCCAGGTTCAAGTGATCCTCTCACCTCAGCCTCCCAAGTAACTGGGACCACAGACACACACCACCATGTCTGGCTAATTTTTTAATTTTTTTGTAAAGTTGGGGTCTACTTATGTTGCCCAGGGTGGTCTCAAACTCCTGAGTACAAGTGATCCTCCTGCCTCAGCCTCCTGAGTAGCTGGGACTATAGGCATGCTCCACCATACCCAGCTAATTTTTTAAAAATTTTCTTAGACACAGGATCTGTGTTGCCCGGGCTGTCTTGAACTCCTGGCCTCAAATGATCCTCCTGCCTCAACCTCCCAAGTAGCTGGGATTACTAATAGGCATGATCCACCACGATTGGCTATATTTCTTATTTCACAAAAGAGTTTTATAGGTGTGCCTTATATTGACATACTATTTTAATTTTATGTCTTTCAGATATTTGGATTTGACCTGCATTTTGGAATTTATCTACACTTAAAATGCCACCAGCAGTTGGAGGTCCAGTTGGATACACCCCCCCAGATGGAGGCTGGGGCTGGGCAGTGGTAATTGGAGCTTTCATTTCCATCGGCTTCTCTTATGCATTTCCCAAATCAATTACTGTCTTCTTCAAAGAGATTGAAGGTATATTCCATGCCACCACCAGCGAAGTGTCATGGATATCCTCCATAATGTTGGCTGTCATGTATGGTGGAGGTAAGTACCCATTAAGGCCTGCTCTTTTAATTTTCATGAAGCAGCCAGAGTGTCTGTATTAGGTAACTTTAAAAAAAAAAAAAAGTCTTATTCAGTGAGATGTTTTGAAATGTTATTTCTTAAAGTTTGGTGTTTAGAGTCACATTTTTCATTCCTGATAACAATAGCAACTCTTGCTATAGTATACTGTAGTATTTCAAAACAGAAATGAGAAAATTGTGAGGGACCTTGATTTGCTCCAACTGATGTATCATTGAGTTTAAAAGACTGTTATAAAAATGATGTATTCACAGCTGTATTTTTTTTGTTGATCTCTGCTGGACTCTTGAAATGTAAACATAAATATAGATTTTTAAAAATTGATGTTGGGAGGATTAAAATAAATCAGACTAGCCTGAATGGCATGGTTCAGATTCTCAGGTAAAATCTTTATATGATGTTAGAATTAACTGAAAAAACCTCCTCCGTATTACTTGCGATGTTATGAGTCCTAAAAGCATTTCAGCTGCACCCTAAACTTAAATTTTACCATTTATTTCTCTTTTGTTTTTTTTGGCATATTGTAAAGGAAATGTTGGAAGTAAGTTGCTCACTTAACATCATCTAAAATACTGTTTCTAGCCAATGTAATGATTCTTGGTTTCAACTATAAATAACTTAGCCTTAGGCTGCTAAGGTGGTGCCAGAGTCAACCAATATCTGTCAAGTTCTATGAATATATTCAGCACTGGGCTAGGTATTGTGAGTGACAGAAAACACTGATCCCTTCCTTTGAGAAGTTTATAATCCTTTTGAGACAGTAATATATGATCGTGAAACAGGAATAAGCAGTTGAAATCATAATTTCATTAAGCCTGTAATTAAATCGTCCAGAAGAAACAGGTAACTGGCTGCCATGGAGAAAGAGAAACTGGGTGACTGGGAACAGGATTAGGAAGACTTATGTTTCCACTGTTTATCTTTTTGTGCCTTTTACATTTTGAACATAGGCCTATTTTGTCTATCAAATTAAAGAACCTAAGTGCTTAATTGTAGTGTTTTTTTTTAATAAGTTCAGAGAAATCAAAATGGACTTTGGGCATTAGCTTCTGAGAGCCAATAATTTTGTAGGCTTTGAACTCCATTCTGCCAGGATTTTAATCAGGTTTTGACTATGATGGCTTGAAGAAATTGGTATAAACATTACCCAGAGGTACTCCAGGTGTTCAGTGTCTTCTTAAGTTGACTACAAACCAGAAGTTTACATGTTGCTATTCTGTGCTACCAAAGAGCGAGAAAGCCACTTGTGTTTTGCATCAAAAGTAAGTGATGTCAGTTTTATTAGTTGCACATGACACTTTCCTTTGGGGAAACAGTTCCTTCTTTGTCCTTACTCAATTAGTGAGATAACTAGCACATTTTTTTGAGTTTGTATTATAATAGGCCTATAAACCGTACCCCTTTCTATTTTTAATGATAGCTAATTAGGCCTATCCTTCCTGAAATAACACTAAAAGACAAAATGCCTATCATGAACCTTGTTGCAGAATTTTTACTAAATGGGTTGTTTTGTTTGGTTTGGTTTCTAAATAGTATATCCCCTAATAGTTTTCATCACTTTTACAACTGTGATAATCCTTTAACTTGTTCATTTGGACCACAATCTGAACACTAATACGTCTTGAGATATGGTTGGTTTTGTTTTCTTTTTTAGTGCTTTGGGTCAGAGATATACAGTGATGGTTGTTAAAGTATATTTTGCGGGGAAGAGATCTTACCTGCCTACTTTTGGTTTGTTTATTTGTTTTTCCTTTTTTTTTTAAACATGAAAGTATAAATTTTATCAGTTCCACAAGGGTCACCTTAACACTTGTGGTTTGGAATTTTAAATATTTCAAAAACTTTAACTTCTACAGTATTAACTTCTACCTCAGAGTCAACAGTGTGGTGATACTGATCTTTGTTTTGTGGGATTTTTTTTTTTTTTTTTTTTGACACAGGGTCTCACTGTTGACCAGGAGTACAGTGGCATGATCATGTCTCCCTGCAGCCTCAGCCACCGAGGCTCAAACCATCCTCCTGCCTCAGCCTCCCCAGTAGCAGGTGGCCCTACTACTATGCTCAGCTAATTTTTTATTTTTGTTAAGTAGAGATGGGGTCTCACTCTATGGCCCAAGCTGATCCTTTTTTTTTTAAGTTTTTTTATTATTTATTTATTTATTTATTTATTTTGAGATAGGGTTTCTCACTCTGTCACTCAGGCTGGAGTGCAGTGGCACAATCACCACTAACTGTAGCCTCAGCCTCCCTGGCCTCAGGTGATCGGTCCTCCCCCTTCACCCTGCCAAGTAGCTAGGACTACAGGCTTGCACCACCACACTCGGCTAATTTTTGTATTTTTTGTAGAGATGGGTTGTTGCAATGTTGCCAAGGCTGGTCTTGAACTCCTAGGCTCAAACAATCTGCCCACCTTGGCCTCCCAAAGTGCTGGGATTACAGGCATGAGCCACCATGCCTAGCCTGGTATTTATCTTTGTAATTCTAACTGTACAAAGTCTTATGACTACAGTGGCATGATCTCTGCTCACTGAAACTTCTGCCTCCTGGGTTCAAGCAATTCTCCTGCCTCAGCCTCCTGAGTAGCTGGGACTGCAGGTGTGTACCACTACGCCCAGCTAGTTTTTGTATTTTTAGTAGAGATGGTGTTGGCCAGGTTGGTCTTGAACTCTCCTGACCTCAGGTAATCCACCTGCCTCAGCATCCCAAAGTGCTGGGATTACAGGCGTGAGCCACTGCGCCTGGCAACGGCCAGTTCTTGATGTAGCACCTTAGAGAGACTTGGTCCTATGAAACACATGAATAATCAAAAGCTTTAATTCCTTCTTAACATGCTTATCTTATGTATATATACATACATAACATCTATATCTATATGGATGGAGATGGAAAGAGAGCACCTTCTGTCTGTGTCATGTGAAAGCATAAATAAGCATGTGCACCAGTATCATGATCACTGCCAGTATTTATTGAGGACCAACTAAACACCTCACATATATTAGTTAATTTTTTATTCTTTCAACAATCCTATAAAGTAGTTTAATAATAACCTCTGAGAAACAGACAAGAATATGGTGAAACCAAAACTTAAAACAGGGTGCCCTGGGGCTACAGCCTATCCTTTTAATGTTAGTATACTGTACCGCAACTCTGAATAGTAAAACTAGACTATAAGTAACTGAAGTATTTTTCATAGTATTTATGGAAATAGAATATGCCAATATGTGATCATTAGTATATTCTGAATATATGTACATTCAATATGTGTTTTTAGAAATAGACTCTATGTTTGGATAAGACTTTCTTGTAATTAAGATTTTGAAATTTGGAAAAGGCAAATTACAGATTATACCTATTTATAGCAAGTAAGAAGAGAAGGCCAGGCACGGTGGCTCACACCTATAATCCCAGCACTTTGGGAGGCCTAGGTAGGTGGATCACTTGAGTCCGGGATTACAAGACCAACCTGGGCAACATGGTAAAACCCTGTCTCTACAAAAAATACAAAAATTAGCCCGGCACGGTGGCATGCACCTGAAGTCCCAGCTACTCGGGAGGCTGGGCAGGCAGATTGAATGAGCCCAGGAGGTCGAGGCTGCAGTGAACCCTGATAGTACCACTGCATTCCAGCCTGGGTGACAGAACAACACCTTGTCTCAAATTTAAAAAAAAAAGAAAGGCCACTTGACATTTGATTCCTCTTCTCAAAAACTGATACATAGGTCAGTCATGGTGGCTTACACCTATAATCCCAGCACTTTTGGAGGCAGTGGTGGCAGTATCACTTGAGCCTAGGAGGTTGGGTCTGCAGTGAGCTGTGATTGCGCTACTGCACTCCAGCCACAGAGGGAGACTGGTCGCAAAAAACTGATACATGAAATGCATAAAATATTTTCTTGTTTCTTATAATGCTTTTCATTTGGTTCCTTTTCTCACATACTAGAAATGCTGATTTTTATATGCATATAGTTAGCTGAGGAAATGTCTGGTTTTCTTGGATAATACTATTTCCTATTCTCTTGAGTTGTTACACCCACGTTGTGTTGACTGTTATCTGATTTAATCTTATCCTGCAAGCATTTTTTTTCACAATTGTACTACCATGAAACTTAATAATATAGGCATGGAACCAAGTAATTCTGAAGGATATATTTGGGTGGGTTTTTTTTGTTTGTTTGTTTTTTGAGACAGAACCTCACTCTGTTGCCCAGGCACGATCTCATCTCACTGCAACTTCTGCCTCCCAGGTTCAAGTGATTCTTCGCCTCAGCCTCCCGAGTAGCTGGGACTACAGGCATGCACCACCACCATACCTGGCCCCTGAAAGATATATTTGGTTTAGTACCTGAATTTGGATGTAACTAGGAACTTTTTCTTTTTTAATCAAGATTACCTAATTGCAACACTACTTAAACTTGGAAAAAATGATCATGCATTTTTGTCTTTTTTCTTTTTTTTGTTGTTGTTGTTTTTGTTTGTTTGTTTTCTTTATAAATGACCCGGTCTCAGGTATTCTTTTATAGCAATGCAAACAGACTAACACACAGCACCCCAGGAGGTTTCATTCTTCATTTGGTGGTGACTTTACTGTTAGGTTTTTGTCCAAATACTTCCATCCCTAAGAATTTACTGAGGCACTTCTAAATTAAAGAAAGTGTGAGAAACAAAAGAGGTTACAGAAGAGCCTTGGGCAACCTGAGAAACGATGGGCCTAGTGGAAGTAGTTGGGACATTCGTGAGCAACCAATTGCCAGGCTTGATTAAAGGCCTCCACAACATCTGGCTCCAGGGGCCCTTCCTCTGCCGCTGCCAAGTTCTGCTCCAACTGCTCCAAGCTGGACATGCCCAGGATGACTGCGTCCCCGTGGGCACCCTGCAGCTGTGAGTGGTGGTACATCCACCAGAGGGCAGCCGAGGTCATGCTGGGGGCGCTGGCGCCATACGCGGCCTGCAGGGCCTTCTCTACCAGGGCAATGCCATCGAAGTGGTGCTTCTTCCAGAAGCGATTCCTGTAGATCTCTGCCCATTGAGTCCCAAAGAAGCGGCCCATGGGCTGTTTCCTGTCCTTGTCCTTATACTTGTACTTGCCAGTCAGCAGGTCCCCAGCCAGAGGGTTGAAGGCATAGAACCTCAGTCCAGAGTGCCTGAGGCAGGGGAAGAGCTCCGTTTTCACCTGCTGGGTGGTGGCGTTGTACATGCCCTGGTACACAGTGGGCAGGGTCCAGCCATTGCTCTTGCAGAGGTTACAGATCTTGGCCACTTCCCAGGTGGCATAGTTGGAGAGGCCAAGATCCAGGAACTTGCCCTCCTGGTGCAGCTGGTGGCAGGCACTCAGTGTCTCTTCCACCGGGGTGCTGTGGTCTGGCCTGAGCAGGTAGAAGAGGTCCACTCGGGGACACTGCAGCCACTTCAGTGACGTCTCCAGCTGGAACCGGAGACTGTCAGGTTTCAGGGAGTTCCCAAACAATGGATTGGCCTTGGTATCAATTTTCAGGCCACCCAGGATGGTCTTGGACTGGCTGTCGCTGTACACGAAGGCCGTGTCTATCTTGGTGTGGCCGTGCTCCAGGAAGGCGCGGGTGACTACGGCGCCCCATCTCCATGGCACCCAACACCGTGGAGGGCCGGGACATGATGGCGGCAACAGGAGACTGCGACAGCCCGGGAGCAACGTGCAGTGGTTGGAAGCATCAGCTCCCTGGAGTTGGCGGCCGCGTGGCTTTAGGGATTGCTGTTTGTTTGTTTTTGAGACGGAGTTTCACTCTTGTTGCCCAGGCTGGAGTGCAATGGCTCACCGCAACCTCCACCTCCTGGATTCAAATGATTCTTCTGCCTCAGCCTCCTGAGTAGCTGGGATTACAGGCATGCGCCACCACGCCCAGCTAATTTTGTATTTTTAGTAGTGATGAGGTTTCTCCATGTCGGTCAGGCTGGTCTTGAACTCCTGACCTCAGGTGATCCATCCACCTCCCAAAGTGCTGGGATTACAGGCATGAGCCACCACGCCCACCCTGTCTTTCAGGAGGCTGAGGCAAGAGAATGGCATGAACCCGGGAGGCGGAGCTTACAGTAAGCGAGATCAGGCCACTGCACTCCAGCTTGGGTGACAGAGTGAGACTCCGTCTCAAAAAAAACACAACACCACAAACCACATTTATGATAATATACAAGTACTCTAAAATCTAGATGCATTTATACGTCTCCTATCACTGCGTGTGTCTGAAATTTAAAACAGAACATACTTTCTACTAACATGTTTTTGTTTTGTTTGTTTGTTTTTTGAGACAGAGTCTCACTCTATTGCCCAGGCTGGAGTGCAGTGGCGCAATCTTGGCTCACTGCAACCTCCACCTCCCAGGTTCAAGCCATTCTCCTGCCTCAGCCTTCGGAGTAGCTGGGATTACAGGCACGCGCCAACCACGCCTGGCTAATTTTTGTATTTTTAGTCGAGACGGGGTTTCGCCATGTTGGCCAGGCTGGTCTTGAACTCCTGACCTCGGGTGATCCACCTGCCCCAGCCTCCCAAAGTGCTGGGATTACAGGCGTGAGCTACTGCGCCCAGCCACTTTCTACATACATGTTAATCGTATCCTAGATACATCAAGAACCTTGTGAACATCCATTACCAAGGTGTTTTCAGCCTGCCCTGCCATAAAAGAGAAAGATTAAGGATAACTTCAGGTCTTTTGTATTTTAGTAAAATTCCATCCAGTATTTTTAGATTTAGAACCTGCACAATTAATTATGTTTTCTAACATCTTTATTTTAGTACACATGTGACTCAGAAGTAATTATAGAAAACAATATTCTTATCATTGCTGCTTGTTTATTTTGGAGGATTTGTCATTCATTGTCATTCATACTTGTGTAGATGTGAGGGAGCAGTTTCCTTTATATTACTACATTTTTGGTTGTCTTTTAGGTCCTATCAGCAGTATCCTGGTGAATAAATATGGAAGTCGTATAGTCATGATTGTTGGTGGCTGCTTGTCAGGCTGTGGCTTGATTGCAGCTTCTTTCTGTAACACCGTACAGCAACTATACGTCTGTATTGGAGTCATTGGAGGTGAGTTACTACTGATTCATTTGGAAGCATTAGTTTATGGCTGGCTATTTTGTATTTACCTGCATTCATCTTTCAGATCTCTGGAGTGAAATTCTTTTCTTATAGAAATGACTTGATTATCATTTTGAAGAACTAGAGATAAAAGTACTAGAAAAGCAAACTTTTAAAGAAATTGCCATTATATAATGGATATTTATTGTTTGTCGAATGAGTGAATGAATTGAAAGAATGATTGCATTCCTTGTCCTAAGAATAGCCAGTAGTGGTAGATACAATGTGTGTGGCAACTTGGTGCGAGAGTGGCAATTTGATAGAATGTCCACATAACATTTCTGAGGGGTAGAGGATACGCTTCATAATTCCTCCCCCCATTTTAAAAATCACTAAATTAAGATAATGAACTGTTGATGAGCATAATGAATAAAAGTTACCCATAACCTCACAATCCAAAGAATATCATTAACATTTCTATGTATATCCTTCCATGTGTTTTTCTATGCACAGATACACCTTTTTTTGAGCAAAAAAGGATCAAATTATGTCTAATATTTTATAACCAGATTTTTGTCAGTATTAAGTTGAAAGTTTTGTGAACATGAATATATTCTTCGTATAAATTTGTAGAAAGGGAACTGCTGTGTGTTTGTTTTAATATATGTATGCTAAATTGTCCTCCAAAAAAGTTATACTCACTTATTATCCCACCACAATATATCAGAGATTCCAAGATTATCCCTTTTGTCAACAATGGGATATTGCCTTTTTTAAAAAAATAATTGCCAGTTTAACACGTGAGAACAGTATCTCTTGGTTTTAATCCTTATTTTCTTTTCTTTTTTTTTTTTTTTTGAGACGGAGTCTCGCTCTGTCTCCCAGGCTGGAGTGCAGTGGCGCGATCTCAGCTCACTGCAAGCTCCGCCTCCTGGATTCACGTCATTCTCCTGCCTCAGCCTCCTGAGTACCTGGAACTGCAGGTGCCCGCCACCACGCCTGGCTAATTTTTTGTATTTTTTTTTAGTAGAGACGGGGTTTCATCGCATTAGTCAGTATAGTCGATCTCCTGACCTTGTGATCCGCCTGCCTCGGCCTCCCAAAGTGCTGGGATTACAGGCGTGAATCACCTTGCCCGGCCTTCTGATGTTGAATTTTGTTAAAAAGTATTTTTAAAATTCAGTCTTTTCCAATGTTTTTCCCTTATTAAACATATAAATTTTTATGTATTCAAAACGTATTTTATGGTTTCCATCTTGTATGTCATCCTGAGAAAGTTGTTTTCTACTCCAAGATTATGAAAATATTTGTCCACTTCTGTTTACTGCACTTTAGTTTTTATATTTTAAAAATCTGGTTTTGTTGTTGTTCTTTTGTTTTGTTTTGTTTTTTTGAGACACAGTTTCACTCTCACTGCCAGGCTAGACTGCTATGGCATGATCTCGGCTCACTGCAATCTCCGCCTCCTGGGTTCAAGCGATTCTCCTGCCGCAGCCTCCCAAGTAGCCGGGATTACAGGCGCCCGCTACCACACCCAGCTAATTTTTGTATTTTTAGTAGAGACGGGGTTTCACTATGTTGTGCAGGCTGGTCTCAAACTCCTGACCTCATGGTCCGCCTGCCGCTGCCTCCCAAAGTGCTGGGATTACAGGCGTGAGCCACTGCACCTGGCCAATTTTTGTGTTTTTAATAGAGACGGGGTTTCACCATGTTGGCCAGGCTGGTCTCAAACTCCTGACCTCAGGTGATCCGCCTGCCTCGGCCTCCCAACATGCTGGAATTACAGGCATGAGCGACCACGCCCAGCTACATTTAAAAATTCCAAATGGATGAAAACATCTGACATAAGATGAGAAAAAAGAAATATAACTCTATTTGTTCCCACATGGTTAATCAGTTGGTTCATTTGCTCTTTTATTAATTTATTTATGAAATATTTATTGAGCAACAACTGTATGTGTGTTAGGAACCATTTTAGGTGCTGTAGAGATAGAGCAACAAGTCAGGCAGTTACACTCTTTAATAGGAGGAGACAAACAGTACAACTCATAAATAAATTAATAAATAAGAAAAATATCAGGTAGTGATAAATGCTATATAAAGCCTTTAACTGAGTGTTGTGACAGGGAAGAACTGGGCAAGCAATGAAGGTCAGGGCTCACTGAAGAATCAACTTTAAGTAGAGACCTGCATAACAACAGGGAACCAGATTTGTGAAAATGTAAGGGATCATAGACCGTAGAGCTTATTAACAAATGTAAGAATGGTTTGCTATGAGGTCAGGGAGGAAGTTCTTTGAATATTACTTTTGCTAGCACTATTTATTGAATAATTTCTCTCTATTAATTTAAAATGCTACTTTATCTTACATTAAATGTTTCCATGTATTTCAACTCTGTTCCTGGACTTTCTATAGTGTTTCTGCACTTTCACTGACGAATTTTTACTGGTTCCTGAAACAGGGCCACACTGCTCTAATGACTGTAGCTTTTGTAAAGCCATTTAAATAATTTGTTCTGGTTGGTCCCACTTTTTCCTCTGCACCATCAAAAATTTCCTAGTAGCTCTGTATTTGTTCTGTAAGTATCCTTTAGAATCATTTACCTTAATCCGAAAGTAAAATTCACTGACATTTTCATTGGATTGCATTAAATTAGTACATTCAGGCTGGGTGCGGTGGCTTACGCCTGTAATCCCAGCACTTTGGGAGGCCGAGCCAGGTGGATCACGAGGTCAGGAGATCGAGACCATCCTGGCTAATACGGTGAAACCCCGTCTCTACTAAAAATACAAAAAAAAAATGAGCCGGGCATGGTGGCGGGCGCCTGTAGTCCCAGCTACTCGGGAGGCTGAGCCAGGAGAATGGTGTGAACCCGGGAGGTGGAGGTTGCAGTGAGCCGAGATCGCGCCACTGCACTCCAGCCTGGGCGGCAGAGCAAGACTCTGTCTCAAAAATAAATAAATAAATAAATAAATAAATAAATAAAATAAATTAGTACATTCATTTCAGGAGCCTTGGCATCTTAGCAATGTTGTGTTTTATTTTCCCAAAACTTTGTGTGTATTTTAAATTCTCTGATCTCTCAGGAAAGTTTCACAATTGGAGTCTTAGGAATTGGCCTGTTTTTAAGTTTTGGTGCTATAGTGGAAGGGATCATTTTGTACTATATGTTATTTCTTTCGTTTTTGGGTTTTTGAGACAGGTTCTTTCTCTGTAGCCCAGGATGGAGTGCAGTTGTGTGATCATAGCTCACCATAGCCTCAAACTTCTAGGCTCAAGTGATACTCCAGCTTTAGCCGCCCAAGTAGCTAGGACTGCAGGCACACACTACCATACCTGACTAATTTTCGAATTACTTTTTGTAGAGACAGGTCTTGCTATGCTGCCCAAGGTGGTCTTGAATGCCTGGCCTTAATCAATCCTGCCGCCTTGGCTTCCCAAAGCACTGGGATTATAGACATGAGCCACTGCAGCTGGCCTTATGCATTTTCTAGTGTAAATTTGTTTTATCTCTACTGTCGACTTAATGATCTTATATGGTTATAATAATCCTTCCGGTGATTTTGTTAGATTAGACAAAATAGTTATTCACCTTCAAATAATAAAAACAACAATAATAAAAATAACATGTATTAAGTGCTTACTACATACTGGGCACTGGGTACTAAGTGCTTAACAAATCTTTTCTTCCTCACAACAGTGACCTGTGCCCGTTTTACATATTAGGAAGCAGTCATAGGAGGGTATACATGTCTGAGATTATGCAACCAGTAAGCACTGATACTGAGATTTGAACCCATGTCTGTTTTAGAAGTCATACTTTAAACCACTACATAACATGTCCTCTAATAATGAGGATTTATATCCTATTCCTTCCATTATTTATACCTCTTATTATTTATTTATTTATTTATTTATTTATTTATTTATTTATTTATTTATTGTCTTCACAGGTCTTGGGCTTGCCTTCAACTTGAATCCAGCTCTGACCATGATTGGCAAGTATTTCTACAAGAGGCGACCATTGGCCAACGGACTGGCCATGGCAGGCAGCCCTGTGTTCCTCTGTACTCTGGCCCCCCTCAATCAGGTTTTCTTCGGTATCTTTGGATGGAGAGGAAGCTTTCTAATTCTTGGGGGCTTGCTACTAAACTGCTGTGTTGCTGGAGCCCTCATGCGACCAATCGGGCCCAAGCCAACCAAGGCAGGGAAAGATAAGTCTAAAGCATCCCTTGAGAAAGCTGGAAAATCTGGTGTGAAAAAAGATCTGCATGATGCAAATACAGATCTTATTGGAAGACACCCTAAACAAGAGAAACGATCAGTCTTCCAAACAATTAATCAGTTCCTGGACTTAACCCTATTCACCCACAGAGGCTTTTTGCTATACCTCTCTGGAAATGTGATCATGTTTTTTGGACTCTTTGCACCTTTGGTGTTTCTTAGTAGTTATGGGAAGAGTCAGCATTATTCTAGTGAGAAGTCTGCCTTCCTTCTTTCCATTCTGGCTTTTGTTGACATGGTAGCCCGACCATCTATGGGACTTGTAGCCAACACAAAGCCAATAAGACCTCGAATTCAGTATTTCTTTGCGGCTTCCGTTGTTGCAAATGGAGTGTGTCATATGCTAGCACCTTTATCCACTACCTATGTTGGATTCTGTGTCTATGCGGGATTCTTTGGATTTGCCTTCGGGTGGCTCAGCTCCGTATTGTTTGAAACATTGATGGACCTTGTTGGACCCCAGAGGTTCTCCAGCGCTGTGGGATTGGTGACCATTGTGGAATGCTGTCCTGTCCTCCTGGGGCCACCACTTTTAGGTATAGTATATCTCCCTACTAATGTGGGTCTATTACAAAACAAGCATGTAAGATGGGAATGCTGACAGAAAGCAAACATTAGTGAGCTATTTGGGTAAGAATAAATCTTTCTCATTTATGTACCCTTGATGCTGGGACAATGCTTGGCACAGCATAATTGCTCAAATATAGAATCTAATTAAATGGAACCATCAAGGCAAAAGGGGGATCAAATATTGTTACAAATGTCAGTGTTTTTTCTTTTTTTTTGAGATGGAGTCTTGCTCTGTTGCCCAGGCTGGAGTGCAGTGGCACCATCTCAGCTCACTGCAACCTCCGCCTCCCAGGTTCAAGCGATTCCCCTGCCTCAGCCTCCCGGTAGCTGGGATTACAGATGCATGCCACCATGCCTGGCCAATTTTTATATCTTTAATAGAGACAGGGTTTCGCCATGTTGGCCAGGCTGGTCTCTAACTCCTGACCTCAAACGATCCACTTGTCTCAGCCTCCCAAAGTGCTGGGTAACAGGTGTGAGCCACTGTGCCTGGCCTAAAATATGTTTTTTTCTGATCGCAAAACTGATGTGCTTAGTGTAGAAAAGCATGTAGAAAAACAACCCAATCTTTAAAGCGCTAGTGATTATTTCATTTTAAAAATGAAGTATATTTCACATAAGTTTTTTTTTTTTTTTTTTTTTTTTTTAAGACAGTCTTGGTCTTGTTGCCCAGGCTGGAGTGCAATGGCGCGATCTCGGCTCACTGCAACCTCTGCCTCCTGGGTTCAAGCAATTCTCCTGCCTCAGCCTCCCAAGTAGCTGTGATTACAGGCGCCCACCACCATGCCCAGCTAATTTTTGTATTTTTAGTAGAGACGGTTTCACCATGTTGGCCAGGCTCGTCTTGAACTCCTAACCTCAGGTGGTCCACCCGCCTTGGCCTCCCAAAGTGCTGGGATTACAGGCATGAGCCACCATGCCTGATCCATAAATTTTTTAAAAACACACAAAAAGCAAAAAAAAAAAAAAAAAGTTTATTTCAGTAGCAGTAGTATAATAATAGCTACCATGTAAGCTCACAGTGTACCAGAGACTGTCCTTATCATTTTGTATCTCCTGTTGTATCTCACAAGTCCATATGAGGTAGGACCGTTTTAAGTCCCCATTTTGTAAGTGAACAGAGGCTTCAAAAGGTGAAATAACTTGGCTAAAATCATACAGCTAGAAAATTAATTACAACTTGGGAACTATTCCTGAAGGTTATTGAATACTTTATCTTTCAAATTAATAGCTCAATACATAACACATAGTGAAAAAATAATTTGACCCTTCTTCTGGATGTGACTCATACTTTAGGAACTTTGATTTGGGGAGTGAGTGAGTATATAACAGAAGATCCATAGCTGCCTTTTGAGATCACTGTCTTCTTCCATCTCATACCCAGTGAGTTACTAAGTTCTATGAGTTTTTATGCTCTAAATCTTGTTCTCATCTGCCCATTTTTCTCCATCACAACTACTACCCTTATCCAAAGCTCCTGTCTCCTGTTTGGGCTGCTCCTAACTGTAACCTCCTAACTGGTCTACCTGTATCAGTTCTAGCTGTTCTTCAGTCTCCTTGAAGTCTCCAGTTCAGAACTCTTCAAGATTTCTTAAAACTCTCCAGTTGCTTCCCATTACTTTCAGGGTGAAAAGCAAATTCCCTAATGTGGCTTGCAAGGCACTGCATGGGCTGGCCCCAGCTGTCCTTCCAGCCTCATTTCTACCACTGGCCTCCTGCTCTCTGTGCCCCAGCAACCTGGCCCTTCTTTCCCCTCACACACCATGCTCTCTCCTACCATTGCGCCTTTGCACTACAGTTCTCTGCCTGGATCTAATTCCCATCTCCTTTCTCCTAGATAATTCCTATCCTGCAAATCCCAGCTAAGTTGACACTTTAAGGAAAGCTTTCTTGACCCCACTTCTTTCAAACTCTCCTGGTAGTACTTGTCACAGTTTGTGTAGTTACTTGATTAACATCTCTTGTCCACTGAACTGTGGATCCTCTGTTCACCCTTATCCTCAGGGCTTAGCTGAGCCAGTGCCTGGTATATGATAAAGGCTCAATAAATATTGTTGAATGAATGATGCCCTGAGTTAGAAAGCCATATGGAATCATATTTAAATTGGTTGTATTAAGTCCTGTTTAAGCATAGAGTAGAATTTTCCCAGAGATACCAGTTCAATGAGATGCTAATAAATTTTACAGTAATGAAAGTTACATGACCAAAATAAAATTTGTAAACATCAAATTAAATAGGGTTCTTTACTACCAGACTTCACAAAGCCTTTATGAGAAAATAATATGCCATTTATCAATTCATTTGACTTTTGAAACATTAAAGCAGTATCCTTGTAGCACATGCTTAAGGGTGCAGACTTCCGAGTCAGACTTTCTAGGTTTAAAGCCAAGTCATTTCACTTATTAGTTTTGTGACCATGGACAAATTAGCTAACATCTCTGTAATTTAGTTTTTAAATCTGTCCAGTGAGGATGATAATAGAATCTGCCTGTTATAAAGATTAAGCACTTAGAATGGGTGTAAGATATTGCTTTTAAATTTTTAGCACTGGACAAGTGTTTACAGGAATACTCTTTGGGAAATGCTGAGAGAGAAAGAGCATTGGCCTGGGTAAATGGGACAGCACTATGGCCTTGGACAAGACTCCCAAGCCTCTTTTAGCAACACTTATTTCTATAGTGTATTAAGAGAATTGACTCTAGGTGATCACTACGTCTCTTCCATTTCCAGTTTGCCAAGAGTTAACTATTTTCAAGTTACTAAAAATAACAGAATATGCAAAGGCCACTTAAAATCCATGATGCATTATAAACAGAGGATCAGCTAATTTTCAGCAATTCCTTATACTAATTCATCATTTTGGGACTCTTTAAAGATTGGATTGACATCTTTCTGAATGGATCCTTAAGCTTTGCTTGGGGGAAAAAAAAACTGTTTACTCTTAGAAACAACTGTTTGTGTTGTTTTACATATTTAGGTCGGCTCAATGACATGTATGGAGACTACAAATACACATACTGGGCATGTGGCGTCGTCCTAATTATTTCAGGTATCTATCTCTTCATTGGCATGGGCATCAATTATCGACTTTTGGCAAAAGAACAGAAAGCAAACGAGCAGAAAAAGGAAAGTAAAGAGGAAGAGACCAGTATAGATGTTGCTGGGAAGCCAAATGAAGTTACCAAAGCAGCAGAATCTCCGGACCAGAAAGACACAGATGGAGGGCCCAAGGAGGAGGAAAGTCCAGTCTGAATCCATGGGGCTGAAGGGTAAATTGAGCAGTTCATGACCCAGGATATCTGAAAATATTCTACTGGCCTGTAATCTACCAGTGGTGCTCAATGCAAATAGTAGACATTTGTGTGGAAATCATACCAGTTGTTCATTGATGGGATTTTTGTTTGACTCCTTACCAATAGCCTGAATTTGAGGAGGGAATGATTGGTAGCAAAGGATGGGGGAAAGAAGTAGGTTCTGTTTTGTTTTGTTTTAATCTTAGCTTTTAATAGTGTCATAAAGATTATAATATGTGCCTTAAGTTTTAGTCTTTAGAACTCTAGAGAGCCTTAACTTCTTAAACCATTTTTGCTGAATTCATCTATTTCGAGTGTTGTGTTAAAAGGAAAAATAACAACTAACTTGTTTGAGGCAAATCTAAAATTTAAAATTAATCTTGCTTCATTGTTACATGTAATATATTTCAGACATTTTCACTGGAAGATTTATGAACAGAAATATTGGTTGAAAGTTAGAGATTTTACAAAATGCTGACAAAAATATTTTCCTAGCATCAGTAGATTTCTGGCATATGTTTCTGCTAGCTATATATTTAGGAAATTCAAAGCATAAAACTTTGGCAACATCTTGGCTGTTCTAGACACAGTGTACTTGTCAACCCCTCTCAGGTACCTTTTCTTGGGATGCTTATTAGAAGCCAAGTAAAGTGCTTAAGGTTTGTTTTCATTAAATTAGCTATTTCTGCTCCCCTGTTCAAAGATGCATTTTGAGTGTTTATAGATCACTGCCCTTTTTGAAATCACCTGGTATTATTTTTCTTACTGGAAAAGTTAGTATTAAAATCTACAGAACTACATATTTGTGCCTCCTTGGTAAATACAACACATCTAATTAAATGTAGACAGATATTTCAAACATCAGCTGAATTCACTTAAGTTTTTCCAAAACCTCAGTTAAACTGTGAAGCTATTGGAATTTTTTTTTCCTGGAATTTTTCCCCTTTGATTCACAGTGGTCCCATTTATATCTGCTTCTAGCTTAGTGCTATGTGTGAGATATGTGTGTGTTTGGTGTTTTTGTTTTTTTGTTTTTTTTTTTTTAAGGTTTGCAAATTAAAAAGGGCCAGAAAAATTTGGCACCAGGCAAACGAATAAAGATAGGATTGGGAAAGAAGTTGCTAAGTGTGCTTAGTTTTAATAAGTAATTCCTTCTCTTTTTTCAGAGAAGGCCTTACAGAAAATTGTTGTGCTTAGAATTGCTGGATGCATTTTTACCCTCCACACAAACCTAAAAATTTTGTGACCCCTTTCACTTACCTGAAAAGTAGAGAAATGGATTCAGTATAAGGATAAGGAGGGAAGGTGGACCAGAATGAAAACTGTAAATATTTTTTTAACCTAATATCACTTAAATCGAGGCAGAAAGATACAGACATTCAATGAATTATATTCAATGCATTTAAAATACCACTGTAATTGACAGAGTAAAAGTATAGATACAAAACCTTGTGTAAGAGGCTGACTTTTCCAAATAAACATTTTTTAAGAAAACATTTCTTCTCCCAAATGTCTATTTTCTTGAGGAAAATATTGCTGTGTCTTCATTTTCATTACCAGGTTTCATTTTGGGCCTTGCTAAATTGATTGAATTAAATCCTCCAGCTTTTGAACCTTGATATTTGTGTATATGATTTATTTTCATTTGAATTTCTCCTTTCCTCTTCTTTGCTGTAAGGCAAGGAGGAGGGGAATTTTAAAACCATCTTATTTGAACTGAGAGCATCCAGAGCAGTTAACCTTAAGGAAACAATGAAAAACTCCCTTTGTATGCCTGGGCATCATGGCAGATAGAGGAAGAGTGTTAGAGGAGAAAACTGCTGCTGAGAGTATTGGCAGGCTTGGCCTCAGTTTGGACTCTGTAATTTTCTTTGGACCCAAGTCTGTAACCTCTGCGTACTTCTTCTCTCTTACCTTCTATAAAAATGAGGATTACTGTTGGTGAGGGAATAAGGAATGTAAGTAAAGGAAATCTGAAAAAATAAAAGTAAAGCAAGTATAAATAACTTTTTCCTCATCTTTATTGTTGAAGTCATATCCACATAGCACTTTCCGTTTAATCTCTGTTCAATAGTTGAATCTTGTTAGTGGAGTGAGGGTTTTGTGATGCAGATTAACCACCACTTATCACAAGGGTTCTGAAGTTGCTGTATTCAGAAGCAAAAGTTAGTACCACATGCTGGGCACAGTGGCTCAGGCCTGTAATCCCAACACTTTGGGAGGCTGAGGTGGGCAGATCACTTGAGATCAGGAGTTCAAGACCAGCCCGACCAACATGGTGAAACCTCAGCTCTACTAAAAATATAAAAATTAGCCGGGTGTGGTAGTGGACGCCTGTAGTCCCAGCTACTCGGGAGGCTGAGGCAGGAGAATCGCTTGAACCCAGGAGGTGGAGGTTTCAGTGAGCTGAGATCGCGCCAGTGCACTCCAGCCTGGCAACAGAGCAAGACTCCGTCTCAAAAAAAAAAAAAAAAAAAAAAAAAGACTACCGGATACAGTGTAAACATAACTCATATACAATGAGAAACTAAAAAAAGATGTGTGACTTGCTTTATTGCCATGGTCTTGAACTGCACCTATAGTATCTTTAAGGTATGCCTATAACCGGCTCAAAGCTGGAACTAAATGTTTTATTACCCGTACAACCCTGACATTTTGCCGCTGAATATATAGGCTTAAGGGATTTATTCAGAATCAATTTTGGTAACAGAGCCCACACTAAAGCTCAACATAGGCCTACTCTGAGTCTCTCTTTATTAACAATCAGCTTATCATCTCTGTGATGCAGGTCAACACTGGAAGCAACTGGGCTTTCTGATCTAGTCTGTTGTCCTTTACTCCATTTGAAGATTGACTGCATTTGAAGTTTTATTTCAGTTAACATGGTTTCAGTGGCTGCTTTGGGAAAGTAGATGTACGCATAAAGCACCTGCTTATCTTTTCTTTTTCTCTATAACACAGAGAGAATATAGACAGTTCGTAGGTAGTTGCAGTGCCTGAAAAGGCACGGGGCTGTTCAGGGGTCACGCTCTGAAATAGGCTCCTAAGTCAAAGCAGGAAAAGTCTTCAAGAAACTGAGAGGCTGAACAACTGCAGATCATGGTAACATAAATCATATCATATTACCATGTTATACCCAAATCTATAAACTGTCTTAACTAGCCAACATGAATGCATAGTTTGTACAAAACTATGTATCGTATTAAGGAAAGGATGATGGTAAAATAAAAAGAAAAAAATGGTTAAAAACCATTTAATATTTCTGTATGAACAAATGGCTTATTGTATTAAATCTCAGATTGATAAACTGGATATTGGTTGCATGTTTGTATGAAAAAGCTAAATGTCTGGGTTTTACCCTCCCTAGGAAATGGTTCACAGCATAATAAGTCTAATCATCAGTGCAGGTATGCCCCTCACCACCATCCCCTCACACACACTTTTGCTTAGAAAGATGAGGAAAAGGTTAACAGTAAAGCCTCCCAAAGTGCTGGGATTACAGGCATGAGCCACCGTGCCCCGCCATCATGGTTTGTTTTAATAATCAAGTCAGGCATTGCTTAGAAGACATGAAGAAAGAGGTTAATGATAGACTTTTGTAACTGTGACCATTCTTTCAGTACATGATGGGAAATGACAACTCAAGTTTGCCTGGCTTGCCTAAATGTGAGCAATTGAGCCAAGATGCTTCAGACTTTAAAAGAATCTGGGCGGGGAGGGGTGGCAGTTTACATACATTGTTACCTGAAATGTGTTCCAGCTTTAGGGTTTTAGATTCAGTCACTCTTTTTTCCTCCATTCAGTCTGGGTCATTGTGGCAAAGTCATTCAAATGTAAGCAGTTGGAAGCTGTAGAGCGAAGAGTATCTTTCTCCTCAGCTGAAGAGCATCAGTATATTTACTTTTTGCTTTTACTCTGACTTGCCCAGAGGAGATGTATAGCAAAAGGAATCACATCCTACTGGTTGGTTAACAAGGGAGGCTGCCTAGGTTCAAATTGAGGATCAGACAAATTACTTAGCCTCCCTAAGCATCAGGGTTTTTTTTCTAATAAAAGGTGTTAATAATAATTAGTACCCACCGCTAGGGTTGTCAAGAAGGTTAATAAGTGTATGCACTTGACTATTTAAAAAGTTCATGCTTAGGGGTAAAAAGGCTATGAGAATTCCTGAAGTGGACTCTTACTTGCAGTGGATGGTTTTGGAGTGACTCTTAAGAATATTAGCTAAACAATTAAATACTCCTTTTTGATCAGCTTCTCCTTTTTGTCTTCCCAATGTATTGGTCTTTTTTTGGTAAATGAACGGATGAAACTAACACTTCACCAAATGGTTCATATATACCGGCTTTTCACGTAAGATGGATTTGAATATCAAAGTCCTTAGTCTTTCTACTCTAATACCACAGTCCCCTCCATAGGGAAAAGATGCCGTACTAGTAGCAGATAAACTTTTTTCCCCTCAATAACTAATGATTCTATAAGAGAAGAAATAAAACTAGTAAATAATCTTGGCTAAAGTCCTTTATCCCTAGCAATGTATTTAAATGCAAATGGAAAGGTTGATGAAATATCTATTTTCCCTACTACATCATGACAGTTTAAATGATAAATTATTACCTATTGGTGGCTGAGTAAATTGGTATAACATTTTGGGAAGGCAATATTGTAAGATGTATCAAGCACGAGGAACTCGTTTTTCCTAAAAATTTCAGATTTTGAAATTTTTCTAAGAAAGTTTTTGCCTGTCTTTGAAATTGTCAATTTCTTTGAAAAATTCTTACGTTGGGTATCAGTGTTTTTTTTTGTTTTTTGTTTTTGTTTTTGTTTTGTTTTGTTTTGTTTTGTTTTGTTTGGAGACAGGGTCTCACTCTGTTGCCCAGGCTGGAATGAGGTGGCACTATCAGTCACTGCTCACTGCAGCCTCAACCTTTCAGGGTCAAGCAATCCACCCACTTCAGCCTCCCAAGTAGCTGGGATTAACTATAACTTTTTTGTGTGTGTGAGATGGTGTCTTGCTCTGTCACCCAGGCTGGAGTGCAGTGGCGCAATCTCAGCTCTCTGCCTCCCGGGTTCAAGCAATTGTCCTTTCTCAGCCTCCTGAGTACCTGGGATTACAGGCACATGCCACCACACCCAGCTAATTTTGTATTTTTTTAGTAGAGAAAGGATTTCACCATGTTGGCCAGGCTGATCTCGAACTCCTGACCTCATAACTATAACTTTTATAGAGACTGGATCTTACTGTGTTGCTTAGGCTGGTCTCCAACTCTTGAATTCAAGCAATCCTCCTGCCTGGGCCTCCCAAAGTGTTGGGATTGCAGACATGAGCCACTGCACCTGGCCTTAATAAGTAGTTAGATGGATATGGTTATGAAGTCCCTTTGATACAAAAACGGCATAATATTAAGTGAAAAAACACAAACTAGGCCTGATGTGGTGGCTCACGCCTGTAATTCCAGCTCTTTGGGAGGCCAAGGCAGGCAGATCACCTGAGGTCAGGAGTTCCAGACCAGCCTGACCAACATGGAGAAACCCTGTCTCTATAAAAATACAAAATTAGCCGGGTGTGGTGGTGCATGCCTGTAATCCCAGCTACTCAGAGGGCTGGGGCAGGAGAATCGCTTGAACCCGGGAGGTGGAGGTTGTGGTAAGCCAAGATCATGCCATTGCACTCCAGCCTGGGCAACAAGAGTGAAACTCTGTCTCAAAAAAAAAAAAAAACCTAGTATGATATGTGTAGATATATATGCCTAATACATACATACACAAGCACAGGGAAAAAGAAAATGCACATATATACCAATCATAATTTTGTTAGTGTGGTAAAATTAGGTGACTGTTTTCTATGTTTTTTCCATATTCAGAATTTTCTTAATACGATGGTTACTTTTATACTAAAAGAAAACAACATACCATATACTACTGGTTTACAGAAAGAAAAAACTATGCATGTGATCTAGAAGAGTTCTAGCAAGAGACACTTGATTCCTAAGAAAATCAAGCTAATTGTTATAAGCACATTACTTTTTCTGCTTCTCCAAGAGTTGCATTCTGGTGAAAGAGAGGTGAGTGTGACATGGAACTCAAGAGCACAATAGTCTTGCATCACTATTTTGCTGGTGCTGGACCAAAGCTGTGAAGTGTAGAGTCCACAGGCCACCAGTGCTGGCCACCTGTGCCTTCTTCTTGCAGGCAGTGCTCTTGGAGACAGCATTCCTGTGGTTCCTTTCTAATCATCATTCAGCTGCAAGTATTTACCTCAGGAAGCCAGAGTGTTCAGCTCTCAGCCGCTCACCCACATCACAGTGTTGTGTTGTTCTTGAGCGTTATCTTATTGAGATCAGCATCAGAAAAAAGAAAATACAAGGCCAGCCATGGTGGCTCTTGTCTGTAATCCCAGCACTTTGGGAGGCCAAGGCGGGCGGATCACCCGAGATCGGGAGTTCGAGACCAGCCTGACCAACATTCAGAAACCCCATCTCTACTAAAAATACAAAATTAGTCAGGCATGGTGGCGCATGCCTATAATCCCAGCTACTAGGGAGGCTGAGGCAGGAGAATCGCTTGAACCCAGGAGGCAGAGGTTGTGGTGAGATCACGCCATTCCACTCCAGCCTGGGCAACAAGAGTGAAACTCCATCGCAAAAAAAAAAAAAGAAAAGAAAAAGAAAAAATATAGTGATAGACAAAAAGAGGTGGAATTTGCTTGTCCACGTGGCTATCGTTTGTTCATTCACCAACAGATATTTATTGGACACTTAGTATATCCCAGGCATTGTTCCAGACTTTGAGAATCCAGCAGTGAATAAAACAAATGATATGTTTTCACAAGTATCTTACATTCTAGTAGGGAAAAATAGATGATGAACAGTAAGTTATTAAGAAAACAGTAGTTTTCAGAATAGAGCAATGGATATAAAATCAGCCTTCATTCATTCACCCTAACTATTTTTTGTAGCATGTATGTTTTGTGCCTGGCTCCATTAGCTGGATAGAGGGCATAATGCAGTGAACAAAATATAGTTCCTAGCACCCACAGCTTCTAGTGTAGTGGGGAAGATATGTAGTAACTTCTGTGGTGTGGTAACACATGGCAAAACCTAATCCAATCTTGGGAGAGCATAAAAAATCAAAAATTATGTTTTTGAGCAAGTTAATCTATCTGATCTTTGATAAACATGATAAAATTATTTTGAGGATTACATGTGAAAGTACACAGCACACCATTGAGCACATAGTAACATTAATATATTAAGTGCATAGTCATTGTAAAAATCTGAATCTCCTTGAACATTCTGCAATGCAGTGTAGCAAGTATCAGTTAGGTCATCAACCAGAACAACAATGAATAAAGAACAGCTAGTGATTGTATAGCTCATCCAATTTTACAAAGGCCTTTCAAATATATTCTATCATCTGATCCTGCAAAATCCTAGGGAAGTGAGTATAATTAAAGATACTGACTCTTTATCTGGGCCTTCATCTTGGCGGGTTATCCTCCCCTGCTGTCAGGGAGCACAAAGCGGGACTGCAGACAGCTTAACTGCTAGAGCTGAAGGTTGTGCTGGATGGAAGCTTTGGAATCATACAAGAATGCAAGAGACCAAATCCTGGGTGAACCTGAGGGGGAATAATGGCTAAACCAATCCCTGAGTTCTGCACCAAAATGTGTAAAATGGTTCCTGTCCCCACAAATTTACAATCTGATTCTGTCCCTTGGCTTCAAAATGCATAATGTGATGTTTTTTTCACTTGTGGATTTCCTTTCCTAATATGCTTTACTGATTCCAGAATTAAAACTTTGCATTTCCTGAGCTTACTCTGGCCAGATCCCAAGAGGAAGTGGCCAGAAGCCATTAAGAGGGCCAGGAGGGGAACTGGACCGGGATTAAAAGTCACCTGGTGTGCTGACAATCTGTATGTGCGTAATTGTCAACAGAAGGTTTAAATGGTTATAGTCTTTGTGATTTATCTTTCTTTTCCTTTCTCAACACCCTTTTTTGTCTCCCGCTTCTAACCACCTTGAGGCCAAAAAAGAAAAAAAAAAAAGGCCTGGGTACTTTGGTCAGGCTCTATTTGTATATGCTTTTTAGAATGGGTGTTGTACAAACTTGATATCAATGCTTTTCGCTTTAAATTTCAAGTACTATCTCAGTTCTTACATGCTAAGAATGAGTAACCAGGCCTGCAGTAGGTTTTCTGAGCTAGGTACTTTGATGGGGCTCTCCCTGTGCACTAGCCCCTCCTTCCCACCCTTTCCTACCCCCGACATGCCACAGTTGCCAAATCCTGTAGATTCAGCTAGCTTACTGTTTCTCCTTTCCATCCCCTCCTCTTCGTTTTTCTTGCTATTGGCTTAGTTTCCAACAGCTTCCCTCTTTTCTCACTCACCACTTCGGATCGAGCCTCAACAGTGCTGCCAAAATAATTTTTCTAGAAGGGCCAAATTTCTCCATGTTTTGTTTTGTTTTAACAACAATTTAAAAAAAGCCTATACCTCTTTTATAACTACAAACAAAAGCAATAAAGATAAAAATAATACAACTCAATCTAATCATGTCTTTTTTTTCTGCTTAAAATACTGTAGTTTGAGGATAAAGTCCAAACTCCTTGGCTTCTGGCCTCACAGAGCTCTCCGTGATTTCCTTCCTCTGTGAAGGAAACTCCTGAAGTTTCCTTCAGCCTTATCTCTTACCACTCCTCAGCCCACACCCTGCTCTCCAGGCCAACTGCATTTCTTAGGGCTGACCTGTACCTGAAAGCCCCGCCCTTCTTTTCCCTCTGCACCAACACCTTATCCTCCGAAATTTGGAAGCCTTACCTGATCCCACAATTTCATTTCAATTGCCCTCTTGACTGAAGTGCAGTTACAATGCAAGTCTTTCAAATCTCAGGTCTCAAATCTCAGGCCACTTACTAGCTCTGGGTCCTTAGGAAAGTTACTTAATCTCTAGGCCTTGGTTTCCAGATCTGTAAAATGGAACTAATAATAGAACTTAACTTACAGGGTCGCCATGATGATTAAATCTATAAAACCCTTAGCATAGTGCCTGACATGGAATAAATGCTCACTGTGTATTAATTTTGCTTACTCTTTCACAGATACCACTATTAAAGAATAGTTTTCAAAATGATAAAAGCATAACTCACACAGAGAATGAACATACATTTATTTAAATCATGAATTAAGGAGGAAACTAGTAGGATTTTATAACTGTTTAAAATGGAATTTTACTTATAAAACTGCCTTTGCCAAATTATGACTGAGACAGCCAAAGAGATCTAACTTAACAGACTCCATCTTGCTTCTAACCTCCAAGCTGTCCTTGTTCATTCCTGGGTATAGGCCGAACTAACTTTGGGAGAAGCTTAGTTTATAGTTTAAACAAAGACAGCTCTTTCCCAAAGCAGACCTCCTTTTTGCCTGGGGACTAGATTGCCTTTGTAGGACTAACATTAGCCACAAGATTAGAAATTGTGGTTTAGGAGTCATGCAGCTGGAGGCTACAAGATTCTGACCCTTCCTAAACTGCTCCTAAGATCAGTGCTTGAGATATTTTGCAGACTCGGCACTTGATGGATCATCTGGCACCACCCAATTGAAAAACTGGCTCAACTGATCTTGTAGCCCCCACCCAGGAAGTGACTCAGTGCAAGAAGACAGCTCCGACTCCCTACGATTTCATCTCTGACAAATCAGCACTCCTGGCTCACTGGCTTTCCCCCACCCACCAAGTTATCGTTAAAAATTCTGCTCCCTGAATACTTGGGGAGACTGATTTGAGTAATAATAAAACTCTGGTCTCCAACACAGCTGGCTCTGTGTAAATTACTCTTTCTCTATTGCAATTCCTCTGTCTTGATGAATGCTCTGTCTAGGCAGAGGGCAAGGTGAACCCCTTGGGCGGTTTGTTCTGTACTGGACAAAATGTATTTAGTTGCATTGCCATGAACAGAGTTGTTTGCATCCTGCATCCAGCTCTAGACAGAAAACATCTACACCATCATCAGGCCTCCCCATTAACCTTCATTTCTACAGAGTTATAAAACAGTCCAGCACTTTTGTAGGGTAGAATTGTAACACACATCATTCCATTGAAAGACACCCAGTCATTACTTGCCCATTTAAAAGTCTTTCACAATTTTTCCTAGCACTGCAGTGCATTGTACATGTTAGTTTGCTCTTCTAAATCCCTACGAAACTGTGAACTTCTTGAGATGAGAGGGAACCACACACAAAGTATGCCATGTGATTTTAGGGCCTGGGGAAGCTTCTGCAGGAAGTGGCATTTCAACCAGGTAGAGAAAAATAGTGCTGCATTTCTCCTGGAGAAAAGCATCCAGAGAAAGCTATGTAGGAACCATGGTAGAACTGACAGCCAAGCATTGTTAAACACAGACTGTGTGCCAGGCCCTGGGCTAGGTTAAGATAAAAAGCTGAATAAAGCCTGGTCTGTATTTTTAAGAAGCTTTAAATCTGTTGGTGGCATGAAAAGGAAATCAGTGCTTACAACATAGCATGATGAGGACCCTAAAAGTCCACAGGCCAAATTTCGGAGACTGAAGTGAACAAAGGCAGAGTGTTTCCCAAGCCCAAGTCTGATGAAGGGCAGAAAACAGAGGAGATCCCAGTGGGCCTGTGGGCTACTGAATAGGAAAAGCAAATTATTTTTCTCTATACTCACACTGAACATAGAACACTCCTGTGATCAAATGTGTAGGGATTTTTCTCCACATCAAGCAATTCTCCAATTTTCTGCAGACACCGAGAGTCTTACAACTAAACTCAATTCTGATACTATCTACCTAGGTATAGTGTCAGATCACACAGATTAAGGACTCAGTTCCAGGCCAGGCGTGGTGGCTCACGCCTGTAATCCAATCACTTTGGAAGGCCAAGGTGGGTGGATCATCTGAGCTCAGGAGTTCCAGACCAGCCTGGGCAACATGGTGAAACCCCATCTCTACTAAAAATACAAAAAATTAGCCGGGCATGGTGGCGCACGCCTGTAATCTCAAATACTTGGGAGGCTGAGGCAGGAGAGTTGCTTGAACCCAGGAGGTGGAGGTTGCAGTGAGCCAAGATTGCGCCACTCCACTCAAGCCTAGGTGACAAAGTGAGACCCTGTCTCAAAAAAAAAAAAAAAAAGACTCAGTTCCACACGTTCACACTCCAACTGCAAATAGTAGACCTTCATGTTACTCACAACTTCTGTCCAACTTAGCTACAAATTAGAGGTTTTACAAATTAGACCCTTTCTTGGGTTCAATCACTTGCTAGAGTGGCTCACAGAATTAAGGGAAATGCTTTACTTACATTTACCCATTTATTGTAAAGGTGTAAAATAAAATGTATGGGAAGCCATTGTTTTGGACTGAGCTCCTGCACTAGGCCCCAACAAAACAAATTAAAATGGAGTCACTTATGCTAAGTGTCATGCAATCAAGTTGAAACTTTAAGGAAGCAAGAAAATTCCCCATTAGACCAATTTTTCCTAAAAACAGAAGATTCATAGCAACCAGTCTGAAGAGGCCCAGTCAACCTGAACCAGCATGTTAAGGAAGTCTCCTCCTTTAACCCTTACAAGGAAAGTAACCTGAAGTAACCTGATGTTAACAATCTGCTTTTGGTATTATTGTTTCCTCACTCCTGCTCTAGCTATCTTATAAAAACCAACTGTTAGGCTGGGCATGGTGGCTCACACCTGTAATCCCAGCATTTTAGGAAGCCGAGGCGGGCAGATCATGAGGTCAAGAGATTGAGAGACCATCCTGGCCAACATGGTGAAACCCCATCTCTACTAAAAATACAAAAATTAGCTGGGCATGGTGGCACGTGCCTGTAGTCCCAGCTACTCAGGAGGCTGAGGCAGGAGAATCACTTGAACCCGGGAGGTGGAGGTTGCAGTGAGCCAAGATCATACCACTAACACTCCAGCCTGGTGACAGAGCAAGACTCCATCTCAAAAAAAAAAAAAAAAAAAACAAAAACAAAAACTGGTTTGCCATCCTAGCAGAGCACTTACCTATTTTTAGATGAGATGCTGTTTGATTTATGAATTGCTAATAAAAACCAACTCGATCTTTAGACTAAATTTATTGAAATTTTCTAACAGTTCTGGTGAACATGAAAGGACTTGAAGAAGGCTGATGACCCTGAGGCCACTGAAGGATGCAGATAAGGTGCTCCTTACTCCTTTAGAGTCCCCTGACTTCCTCACAGTGCTCCCAATGTCATGAGTAAGTTCCTACCAGGGCCAACTCTTTGTATTTGAGCTCCTGATTATTTTGGCTTTTGGGTGCCAAAGGTTGTGTTGTAGCAGAGTAAATGATCTTTGGGACTTTTGGTGATTGTTGCATCGCTACCAAAGAATCACACTTTTAAAGATAACTGACAGTGATTGCAGCAAATGGCAGTTACTGCAGGGGGTGTTAGACACTATTTTTCAGAAATTCACAGGGATTTGGGTTATCTCCTCTTTGTTTCTTTTTCTTGCACACTAAGGTAGGGAAAGATCATTGGCTATGTTGGCTAAGGAATCTTGGTGCCAAACCACAACTTAATTGACAGGTATGGGAAGGGCACCCAAAAGCTGTTAGATCACCTATCACCTAAATATGTAACTACTGAAAGGATAAGCTGGCCAGGCATTGTGGCTCACATCTGTAATCCCAGCACTTCGGGAGGGTGATGTGGGTGAATCACCTGAGGTCAGGAGTTGGGGACCAGCCTGACCAACATGGAGAAACCCCGTCCCTACTAAAAATACAAAATTAGCTGGGTGTGGTGGCGCATGCCTGTAATCCCAGCTACTTGGGAGGCTGAGGCAGGAGAATCCCTTGAACCCAGGAGGCAGACGTTGTGGTGAGCCGAGATCGCGCCATTGCACTCCGTCCTGGGCAACAAGAGCAAAACTCAGTCTCAAAAAAAAAAAAAGAAAGAAAGAAAGAAAGAAAGAAAAAGAAAGGATAAGGTTTAGTTTGACGCTAGGTTACCCATGAGCCTTAAGAAAATTTCCTTGCAAAAAGAAACACTGAAAACATCACACGACCCAACCTCTTGACATTTCCCTCTTAGGCTTTTATCTCAGCTCTCATATTGAGAAAATAGGCATCTCATCTGAGAAACCCAATATGCTAAACAACTTAGGACTCCACCTTCCAGTATGCCTGCGTTTTACTTTTTATTTTTATTTATTTATTTTTTTGAGAGGAGTCTTGCTCTGTCACTCAGGCTGGAGTGTAATGGCACAATCTCAGCTCACGGCAACCTCCGCCTCCTGGGTTCAAGCGATTCTCCTGCCTCAGCCTCCCGAGTAGCTGGGATTATAGGAATTCGCCACCATGCCCAGCTAATTTTGTATTTTTAGTAGAGACGGGGTTTCTCCATGTTGGTCAGGCTTGTCTTGAACTTTCGACCTCAGGTGATCTGCCTGCCTCAGCCTCCCAAAGTGCTGGGATTACAGGCTTGAGCCACCACACCCGTGCCTGCCTTTTTATGTACAAAAATTTTCATCTTGGAAGCTGTAAATTCTAACAAAAATGGTGATTTTTTTTTTCAGAGTCTCATTCTGTCACCCAAGCTGGAGTGCAGTAGCATGATAATGGCTCACTGCAGCCTTGACTTCCAAGACTTAAGTGATTCCTTCCACCTCAGCCTTTTGAGTAGCTAGGACCACAAGTGCACATCACCACACCTGGCTAATTTAAAAACATTTTTGTAGAGATGGAGTCCCACTGCATTGCTCGGGCTGGTCTCGAATTCCTGGGCTCAAGCAATCCTCCTGCCTCAGCCTCCCAGAGTGCTGGGATTATAGGCATGAACAACTGTGCCTGGCCAAAAAGTGGTGAAATTTTATCAAAGACAATTTAGAATTACAGGGGACATTATAGAGAACATTCCAGATGGACAAGATTATCCATCTAAGAAGCACATTTGAAAGTAAGGGCTCTCAAATTAGACAAACAGATGAGATGCCTATTTTCGATACACAGAAGCCTCTAACCAGATTTTAGGTTTCAAAAAATTGCTTCTCTAAAGGTCTCCTTTAAAAAGGCAAATGAAAAGCTTTAAGCAACAAACTGATAAGAAAAATCGAATCTGCTAACCTGTTTACTTAGTGACCATCCCACCCTGATGGTTTAAAAGAAAGCCAGAAAAACTGTTTATAAAAGTTAAGCCCTCAAGTCAGTCAAGTTTGCTTCTTTAACCACCTTTATGCCCTAGTCAAATTATTAAGCTCAGAGCTATGTATGCTGAGCCCAGACACAGAAAATGCTTTGTCTGCCTTATTTGTCAATGAGCTCCACCCTGAACTCAATAATCTGGTTAAAAGCAAAAGCTAAATTGGAAAGTTCCTAACTAAATTAGTAAACTCAACACTTCAGGATCTTTGTTAAGAAGCTTGGTTTTGGCCGGGAGGATGGAGTTCAGCGGGCAGCGGAGCTGTCTCAGTCTTTGCCGCCGCGCCGGCGAGCGCCGCCCGGGAGGCAGCGGCTGGAGGAGCGGACGGGCCCCGCGGGGCCCGAGGGCAAGGAGCAGCCGCCTGCCTTGGCCTCCCAAAGTGCCGAGATTGCAGCCTCTGCCCGGCTGCCACCCCGTCTGGGAAGTGAGGAGTGTCTCTGCCTGGCCGCCCATCGTCTGGGATGTGAGGAGCCCCTCTGCCTGGCTGCCCAGTCTGGAAAGTGAGGAGCGTCTCCGCCCGGCCGCCATCCCATCTAGGAAGTGAGGAGCGCCTCTTCCCAGCCGCCATCACATCTAGGAAGTGAGGAGCGTCTCTGCCCGGCCGCCCATCGTCTGAGATGTGGGGAGCGCCTCTGCCCCGCCGCCCCATCTGGGATGTGAGGAGCGCCTCTGCCCGGCCGAGACCCCGTCTGGGAGGTGAGGAGCGTCTCTGCCCGGCCGCCCCGTCTGAGAAGTGAGGAGACCCTCTGCCTGGCAACCACCCCGTCTGAGAAGTGAGGAGCCCCTCCGCCCGGCAGCTGCCCCGTCTGAGAAGTGAGGAGCCTCTCCGCCCGGCAGCCACCCCATCTGGGAAGTGAGGAGCGTCTCCGCCCGGCAGCCACCCCGTCCGGGAGGGAGGTGGGGGGGGTCAGCCCCCCGCCCGGCCAGCCGCCCCATCCGGGAGGGAGGTAGGGGGTCAGCCCCCCCGCCCGGCCAGCCGTGCCATCCGGGAGGGAGGTGGGGGGGTCAGCCCCCCGCCTGGCCAGCCGCCCCGTCCGGGAGGTGAGGGGCGCCTCTGCCCGGCCGCCCCTACTGGGAAGTGAGGAGCCCCTCAGCCCGGCCAGCCACCCCGTCCGGGAGGGAGGTGGGGGGGTCAGCCCCCCGCCTGGCCAGCCGCCCCGTCCGGGAGGGAGGTGGGGGGGTCAGCCCCCCGCCTGGCCAGCCGCCCCGTCCGGGAGGGAGGTGGGGGGGTCAGCCCTCCGCCCGGCCAGCCGCCCCGTCAGGGAGGTGAGGGGCGCCTCTGCCCGGCCGCCCCTACTGGGAAGTGAGGAGCCCCTCTGCCCGGCCAGCCGCCCCGTCCAGGAGGGAGGTTGGGGGGTCAGCCCCCCGCCCGGCCAGCCGCCCCGTCCGGGAGGGAGGTGGGGGGGGTCAGCCCCCCTGCCCGGCCAGCCGCCCCGTCCGGGAGGTGAGGGGCGCCTCTGCCCAGCCGCCCCTACTGGGAAGTGAGGAGCCCCTCTGCCTGGCCACCACCCCGTCTGGGAGGTGTGCCCAACAGCTCATTGAGAACGGGCCAGGATGACAATGGCAGCTTTGTGGAATAGAAAGGCGGGAAAGGTGGGGAAAAGATTGAGAAATCGGATGGTTGCCGTGTCTGTGTAGAAAGAAGTAGACATGGGAGACTTTTCATTTTGTTCTGCACTAAGAAAAATTCCTCTGCCTTGGGATCCTGTTGATCTGTGACCTTACCCCCAACCCTGTGCTCTCTGAAACGTGCTGTGTCCACTCAGGGTTAAATGGATTAAGGGCGGTGCAAGATGTGCTTTGTTAAACAGATGCTTGAAGGCAGCATGCTCGTTAAGAGTCATCACCAATCCCTAATCTCAAGTAATCAGGGACACAAACACTGCAGAAGGCCGCAGGGTCCTCTGCCTAGGAAAACCAGAGACCTTTGTTCACTTGTTTATCTGCTGACCTTCCCTCCACTATTGTCCCATGACCCTGCCAAATCCCCCTCTGTGAGAAACACCCAAGAATTATCAATAAATAAATTAAAAAAAAAAAATGTAAAAAAAAAAAAAAAAAAAAAAGAAAAGACAAAATAAAATGAAATAGAATGAAAAAAAAAAAAAGAAGCTTGGTTTTTCTTTTTAAAAAAGGAGGAGAAACTATTTGGAAACTGGCAACCAAAAAATATTGTCTTTTCCACAAATTTTATTTTTAAAATATGCTTTAGCCGTGTGAGCAAGTAGCCTTAACTTGTCCGATTTTTGTCAGAAGCACAATTTGAATAAAAATATAAGTGGAGATAAGCCAATTGTATTACTGATTCGTGACTAAAATTTTAAAATAAAAGCTATAAGATCTTCGTATCCATCTTAATGTATATTTAGTTATGTATGATTTGTATATTTGATATTTTTTCTCCCTCCAGATGGTATTTCTAAACTAATTTATAAAATCCCCTAAAGGAGTTCTATTCAAACTTGAGCTGAGTTAAATGAGCACTAATATAAATGAAATATCCCTAAAACTCTCAGAAATTTAGGAAATAGCCCAACTGCCTTTTAATTCATATGATATGGGGTAATCTTTGGTAAGTAAAGCTAGTTTTTAAATGGTTGATAAAATAAAAATGAAACTGTTTTAAGAACTGTTTGTTTTTGCCTAGATTTCCTAGTCAAACAAGTTTATATTGTCTCTGATAGATATTTAAGACCATAAGACTATAAATTCAACCTATAAGTGAAATGCACTGTAAAAATAATGGCTTGATGGCAGGTCAATCATGAAAAGTAAAATTTTTTTTTAAAATACAAGGAAGAATCATGTTTTTCAGTTTCTTTGCTTCTGTGATATTTTTAGTACTTTTCTATTTGTCAACAACCATAAAATAACTTCAGATAATAGCCAGCACAGCCTGGCTCAGTGGCTCATGCCTGTAATCCCAGCACTGTGGGAGGCCGAGGTGGGTGGATCACCTGAGGTCAGGAGTTTGAGACCAGCCTGGCAAATGTGGTGAAACCCTGTCTCTACTAAAAATACAAAAATTAGCTTGAACTTGGGAGCGGAGGCTGCAATGAGCCGACATAGTACCACTGTACTCCATCTTGGGTGAGACAGTGATACTCCTCTGTCTCAAAAAAAAAAAAATTGTAGAAGTGGTTTCCTGCCCAGATCCTGACTGACAGTAGGTTTGAGGACACAGGCCAAGAGAAGCAGTACCACAGGCTGTGCTTCTGATCCAGCGAGGTGCCCATTGCTGCTCCCAATGGGGCTAGAGACTCACCATTGTTCCTGCGCAGCTAAGTGCCTAGGTTCGTCCTGATGGAGCTGAACACTAGTTGCTGGGTTCCACAGTTCTCTTCCGTGACTCACGACTTCTAATAGAGCTGTAACACTCACTACATGGCCCAAGGTTCCATTCCTTGGAATCTGGGAGGCCAAGAACTCCAGGTCAGAGAAGAAAAGGCTTGCCGCCATCTTGGGAGCAGCCCGCCACCATCTTGGGAGCTCTAAGAACAAGGACCCACCAGTAACACACCCACTTTGGCCTCCCAGAGTGCTGGGATTACAAGCATGAGCCACCGCACTTAGCCCACAGGTTGTTTTAGAATGAAGAAATTGATAAAGGCAAAAACTGAATAGACAGAAAGTTGAAAAGAGCAAGAGAGCAAAAGTGAGAATCTGATGTGTCAAATCAGCTGAAATTGAATGAATTTATTCTAGGAGTGTGTCCGAAATTGGTGGGTTCTTGGTCTCACTGACTTCAAGAATGAAGCCACGGACCCTCACGGTGAGTGTTACAGTTCTTAAAGATGGTGTGTCCGGAGTTTGTTCCTTCTGATGTTCAGATGTGTTCGGAGTTTCTTTCTTCCGGTGGGTTCATGGTCTCGCTGGCTTCAGGAGTGAAGTTAAAGACCTTCGCAGTGAGTGTTACAGCTCATAAAGGCAGTCCAGATCAAGAGTGAGCAGCAGCAAGATTTATTGCAAAGAGCAAAAGTACAAAGCTTCCACAGTACAGAAGGTGACCCGAGCGAGTTGCCACTGCTGGTTTGGGCAGCCTGCTTTTATTCCCTTATCTGGCCCCACCCACATCCTGCTGATTGGTCCGTTTTGACAGGGTGCTGATTGGTGAGTTTACAATCCCTGAGCTAGACACAGAGTGCTGACTGGTGTATTTACAATCCTCTAGCTAGACGTAAAAGTTCTCCAAGTCCCCACTAGATTAGCTAGACACAGAGCACTGATTGGTGCGTTTACAAACCTTGAGCTAGACACAGGGTGCAGAGTGTGTTTACAAACCTTGAGCTAGACATAGAGTGCTGATTGGTGCATTTACAATCCTTTAGCTAGACATAAAAGTTCTCCAAGTCCCCACCAGATTAGCTAGATACAGAGTGCTGATTGGTGCATTTACAAATCTTGAGCTAGACACAGAGCACTGACTGGTGTCTAAAGGATTTACAATCCTTTAGCTAGACACAAAATTTCTCCAAGTCCCCACCAGATTAGCTAGATACAGAGTGCTGATTGGTGCATCCACAAACCCCGAGATAGACACAGAGTGCTAATTGGTGCATATACAATCCTCCAGCTGGACATAAAAGTTCTCCAGCTGGCTTTGCCTAGTAGATCCCCCCGCCAGGGCCGCAGGCCGAGGTGCCCGCCAGTCCTGCACCACAGACCTGCACTCCTCAGCCCTTGGGCTGTCGATGGGAAGGGGCGCCGCAGCGCAGCGGCGCAGGTCCCGAGCCCTGCCCCACAAGGAGGTGGCTGAGACCCGGCAAGAATTTGAGGCGGCGCGGGCAGGCTGGCAGTGCTGGGGGACCCGGCGCCTCTTCCACAGCTGCTTGCCTGGGTGCTAAGCCCCTCACTGCCGGGGCCGGCGGGCCAGTCTGAGTGCAGGGCCTGCCGAGCCCACACCCACGAAGAACTCGCGCTGGCCCGCGAGCGCCACACGCAGCCCCGGTTCCTGCCCGTGCCTCTCCCTCCACACCTCCCCGCAAGCAGAGGGAGCCGGCTCCAGCCTCGGCCAGCTCAGAGAGGGGCTCCCACGGTGCGGCAGCGGGCTGAAGGGCTCCTCAAGCGTGGCCAGAGTGGGCGCTGAGGCTGAGGAGGCGCCAAGAGCCAGCAAGGACTGCCAGCATGCTGTCACCTCTCGGGAGTTTTTAAAAATGAATCTTAATGTCAAAGTTACACTGATGCAAAACTAGAATTTGATCTTTTTTTTGAGACCGTCTCACTCTGTCACCCAGGCTGGAGTGCAGTGGTGTGAACACGGCTCATTGCAGTCTGGACTTCTGGGCTCATGTGATCCTCCCACCTCAGCCCCCAAAGTAGCTGAGACTACAGGCACATGCCACCATGCTAAAACTGCCCTTTGCAAGATTACGACTGAGACGGTGAAAGAGATCTAACTAACCGACTACATCTTGCTTCCAATCTTTAAGCTGTTGTTGTTCCTTCATGGGCATAGGCTAAACTAACTTTGGAAGAAACATATAGTTTACAGTTTAAAACAAAACAGCCCTTTCTCAAAACAAACCTCTTTCTTGCCTGGGACTAGACCGCCCTTGTAGGACTAACAAGTTAGCCACAAGATTAGAAATTATGGCTTAGGAGTCTTGCAGCTGGAGGCTACAAGATTCTGACCCTCCCTAAACTGCTCCTAAGATCAGTGCTTGAGATATTTTGCAGACCCTGCACTTGACTGATAAACTGGCACCACGGAGTAGATAAACTGGCTCAACTGATCTTGCAGCCCCCACCCAGAAAATGACTCTTAGCACAAGAGGATAGCTTCAACTTCCCATGATTTCAGCTGTGACTCAACCAATCAACACTCTCAACTCACTGGCCTTCCCCCACCCACCAAATTATCCTCAAAAACTCTGATCACCAAATGCTCCAGGAGGCTGATTTGAATAATAATAAAACTCCAGTCTCTAGCACAGCTGCCTCTGCATGAATTACCCTTTCTCTATTGCAATTCCCCTGTTTTGATAAATTAGCTATATCTAAGCAACCGGCAAGGTGAACCCATCAGGCCATTAAAATGCCTGCCTAATTTTTGTATTTTTTGTAGAGACGAGGTTTCGCCAAGTTTGGCTGGCTGGTCTCGAACCCCTGAGCTCTGGCAATCTGCCAGCCAGGGTCTTCCAAAGTGCTAAGATTACAGTACCACCACACCCAGACACATTTGGCCTCTTCTTTTAAAACAATAGGGTTTCCTTGGAGTAGATAAGAGACTGAAAGGGATTATCTTCGAAGTGATCTGTGTGAGGGGGAAAAAAAAGCTTCTGTGTTTTATCAAGAAAATTTCATGTGCTTCATGTTGTCTTGTATTAGGTCTTTTTTTTTTTTTTTTTTTTTTTAATTGGAGATGGAGTTTCACTCTTCTTGCCCAGGATGGAGTGCAATGGTGCAATCTCGGCTCACTGCAACCTCTGCCTCCCAGGTTCAAGCAATTCTCCTGCCTCAGCTGCCTGAGTAGCTGGGATTACAGGCATGTGCCACCTTGCCTGACTAATTTTCTATTTGTAGTAGAGATGGGGTTTCTCCATGTTGGTCAGGCTGATCTTGAACTCTGGACCTCAGGTGATCTGCCCACCTTGGCCTCCCAAAGTGCTGGGGTTACAGTCGTGAGCTACCGTGCCCAGCCTGTGTTAGGTCTTTTGATTATTTAAGAACTTAGTCTTCTCAATATTAAAACTGCTAATTTTTTTAAAACTAATTTTCTGTACTTGCCTTTGAAATGTTTAGTCACTTTGGCATTTCTTCATAATTATCTGTGATCCTGTTAAATCAAGTGTTGTTTTGTTTTGTTTTTGGAGACAGAACCTCGCTGTTGCCCAGGCTGGAGTGCAGTGGCATGATCTTGGCTCATTGCAACCTCTGCCTCCCAGGTTCTAGCGATTCTCCCACCTCAGCTGGGACTACAGGTGCACACCAACATGCTTGGCTAATTTTTTGTATTTTAGTAAAGATGGGGTTTCACCATGTTGCCCAGTCTGGTCTCGAACTGCTGAGCTCAGGCAGTTCGCCCACCTTGGCCTCCCAAAGTACTAGGATTACAGGTGTGAACCACCGTGCCTGGCCTAAATCAAGTGTTTTCAACCTTTGATATTTTCAACAAACTTCCCAAAATCAAATTCTAAATTGTTTTTTTCTTTTGTTTTTGATATGGCTTCTCACTCTGTTGCCCAGGTTGGAGTGCAGTGCCATGATCTCAGCTCACTGTAACCTCAGTCTCCTGGGTTCAAGTGATTCTCCTGCCTCAGCCTTCCGAGTAGCTGGGATTACAGGCACACAGCACCATGCCCAGCTAATTTTTGTATTTTTAGTACAGAATGGAGTTTCTCCATGTTGGCCAGGCTGGTCTTGAACTTCTGAGCTCAAGCAATCAGCCAGCCTAGGCCTCCCAAAGTTCTGGGATTACAGGCATGAGCCACTGTGCCTGGCTAAATTGTTTTTTTCTTCACTTTAACTTTGGGATTTTCCAGACAGGTTTCTTGAATGTATCAAAATAATTTGTATAAAAAGAGAGATATTAAACTGATTAGGCTTATTTTAGATGTTAAATTATATGAGGAGAATTGTCAAATGATAAGTGCTGCTAAAACCTTATATTTGTAATTGATATGAGTATTCCAGAAATTATATGAAATTTCTAAAAATCTAACATGTCCTGGTATAATAGTATCAGTCATAATTTTGATTATTATGTTAAAATGTTGCATGTCACATAAATAATGAAATTTCTTTTTCTTTTCTTTTCTTTTTTTTTGAGACAGCATTTCACTCTTGTTGCCCAGGCTGGAGTGCAATGGTGTGATCTCGGCTCACCACAACCTCCACCTCCCAGTTTCAAGTGATTCTCTTGCCTCGGCCTCCTGAGTAGCTGAGATTACAGGCGCCCGCCACCACGCCCGGCTAATTTTGTATTTTTAGTAGAGACGGGGTTTCTCCATGTTAATCAGGCTAGTCTTGAATTACCGACGTCAGGTGATCTGCCACCTTGGCCTCCCAAAGTGCTGGGATTACAGGCATGAGCCACCATGCCCAGCCAATAATGAATTTTCTATGTCAATTGTATTATAATAAACTCATATCAGATTTTTAATGATGGCCATTTTAAGTCTTGTTATCCTCAGACAGTTAACTATTTTACTCTGACACTTTCCTGAAAGCTTTTGCAAACAATTATAATCCTAAAATGTTTCATCTTCAAGGAGATTCATGGATCAATTCTAAGGAAATTGATGGGTTCATGAAACTGCTAACCCAATACTAGGCAGGACAAGAATTAATTACATAGACTGAATAAACTGACAAGGATAATGTTTGTGCCTTTTTGTTTAAAACATTTCTGGTTCTTTAATATTTGTTTTCCAGGCCGGGCGCGGTAACTCGTGCCTGTAATCCCAGTACTTTGGGAGGCAGAGGGGGGGTGTATCACCTGAGGTCAGGACTTCTGAGACCAGCCTGACGAACATGGTGAAACCCCGTCTCTACTAAAGATACAACAATTAGCTGAGCATGGTGGTGGGCGCCTGTAATCCCAGCTACTTGGGAGGCTGTGGTAGGAGAATCACTTGAACCCGGGAGGTGGAGGTTGCAGTGAGCCGAGATTATGCTAATGCACTCCAGCCTGGGTGACAGAGCAAGACTCTGTCTCAAAAAAAAAAAAAAATAAGTGAATAAAATAGAATACTCTCTTCCTTTCTCCGCCGTCATGGTGTGTGCTTGACTCCACTTCTCGCCATGTCTTCTCACAAGACCTTCAGGATTAAGCCATTCCTGGCCAAGAAACAAAAGCAAAATTGTCCCATTCCCCAGTGGATTCAGATGAAAACTGGTAATAAACTCAGGTACAACTCCAAAAGGAGACATTGGAGAAGAACCAAGCTGGATCTATAAGGAATTGCATATAAGACGGCACACATATTGATGCTGTCTGAAGGTCACAATCACGTTACCATATCAAGCTGAAAATGTCACCACTATCTAGACAGTTCGAAATGTTTTCCTCTCTGAATCTGTTATGAACGTGTTGGTTGACTGGGTTCAGTAATAAATATGAGGCCTTTCATTTCAAATAAATAAATAAAATAAAATAAATTTGTTTTCTTTAAGATTTTTTTTTCTTTTTTCTTAAGCTATCTGTAGCTTATAGAAATTTGGTAAAGTATACTTTTGTGAACAAAAATTATAACATTTACTTTTTTTCCCTACCTGATCCCTCCAGAATTATGAAACTATTAGTGAGTATCCTTATGTTTATGGCAATATAATTGTTTGCATAAGTTCAGTAAGAACCTGTTTTCCTGTAGCAAACATAATGGAAACACTGGTTAAATTAACCAAGGCTTTAACTGGAATGTTATATTTTGAGATACAACTAGGCAGCTTTAAGGAACTAAGGCTGGCATTACGGAGCCAATAAAGCACCCGTTGGAACAAAACTGGCCTGGCTTAAAAAGGTTTCTAGTCAGCCGGGCGCAGTGGCTCATGCCTGTAATCCTAGCACTTTGGGAGGCCAAGGTGGGTGGATCACCTGAGGCGAAACCCCGTCTGTCCTAAAAACACAAAAATTAGCCGGGTGTGATGGCGCACACCTGTAATCCCAGCTACTCAGGTGGCTGAGGCAGGAGAATCACTTGAACCCAGGAGGTGGAGGTTGCAGTGAGCCGAGATTGTGCCACTGTACTCCAGCCTGGGTAAGAGAATGAGAATCTGTCTCAGAAAAAAAAAAAAGATTTCTAGTCTTAAGAGCTCTGCAAGTCAAAGCTGGAAGACTTGATACAGGCTTCAGAGAAATTATCATAACAGCTTCTATATGAACAACCTTCATGCCTGTTGCTGTATGAACTACTCAGAAAGTTCACTGGAACACCTGGTGCAAACTGCGAACCAGGAAAATCTGTCAGACTGCCAGTGCCTGACCCCTTTCCAAATGAAAATGCTTTGAGAACATGTGGAGGTTAAAGCAGCTCCATCTTGGATGCTAATTTGCCACTTTGACTTCTGATTAACCCCAGTTATGGGAATGTCATTGAGATTTCTACTTTGTGTAATGTTAGCATGCACTTAACATAAATCCTGCCCTCAGGCAATTTATAGGCTATGATGCACATAGTGTGCTTGCCTTTCCCTAAGGAATCAACTTCAATTGTCCCACACATTCCTCCTGAAGCACATATGCCCTTTCCCTATGGTGTATAAGCCCTGGGTCTGGAGAGTAATATTGACAGTGCAGGGATCCACCATCTTGTGGCTGCCCAAGTCATGACTTCTGTTTGTGAATTCCTATTAAATGTTTATTTCTAAGAAACTGGATTTGTCACCCTCTTTTTTCAGCCTCTGAGCTCTCTTTCTTTTTAAAAATAGGGATGGGGGTCTTGCTATGTTGCCCAGGCTGGTCTCAAACTCCTGGGTTCAAGTGATCCTTCTGCCTCGGCCTCTCAAAGGGCTGGAATTACAGGTGTGAGCCACTGCAACTGGCCAGCCTGTCAGCTCTCTCGGTATTTGTGGGTAGGATTGTATAGACCTGCTTATCATGGAACAGACCAACATACAGAAATCTTCTTTACTGCCCTGTAGACTCAGAGACTGAGTTAATAGTTTGTTCTAGCCATTAACTTTTTGTTTTCTTTTGTTTATTTTCATTGGTTTGGTTCATGGGGACCTTGACTAAGAAACACTCCAAACTTTTGGTATATTGTCCTGACAGTCATTATGGTGGCCTCCCTGTTGTGCTGTATTCTCTCAAGCTCTTAAATGCACGTTTGCAGCCATCAACGATGTACCAGATGGTCTCCCAGTGATTAGAGCAACAAGAAGGATATGAACCACAAAAGGAATATTTCTTCCACAAGCTTGACATTGTGACTAGACAGCCTGGCTCTCCTAGGCAGCCTCCCTGCCCCTTATCCCATCTAGGGCAGCTTAGCTTCTGGAACCTTCCCCAGGAAGCTGAGCAGTTTGTGCTGCTCAGGAAGGGGCAGACACCTTGGGACCCTGCCTCAGGACCTGCTTGCATGGGAGTCAGCCCAGCCCCCTGCCAGAAGGCTCTCTGTGCCTCCTCCCACATCGGGCACGCAGCAACACATATTCTCAGAGGCAGCAAGTATGGTGGGTGCTGGGGTCAGAAAGCCCTGGGTTCAAAGCCTGGTTCTACCACTGACTGGCTGTGAGGCTCTGGGAAGATTACTTAACTCCTCTGGGCCTTAGTTTCTTCCTCTGTAAAATAAGGATAATAATTGTATGAGTCTGGCCAGGCGCGGTGGCTCATGCCTGTAATCCCAGCACTTTGGGAGGCCGAGGTGGGCGGATCACAAGGTCAGGAGATTGAGCCCATCCTGGCCAACATGGTGAAACCCCGTCTCTACTAAAAATACAAAAATTAGCCGGGCATGGTGGTGTGTGCCTGTAGTCCCAGCTACTCAGTAGGCTGAGGCAGGAGAATCACTTGAACCCAGGAGGCGGAGGCTGCAGTGAACCGAGATTGTGCCACTGCACTCCAGCCTGGGTGACAGAGTAAGACTCTGTATCAAAAAAAAAAAAAAAAAAAAAAATTGTATGAGTCAGCAGAGTTCAGTGCAGGACATAGGAACCACTGGAGGTACTTTGAGCAGAAAGTGATTTGAGACAAAGGTTGGGTGATTACAGGGTGCTTGGAGTGTCTGGATGGGGAGAGGAGAGGAAGTAAGGCTGAGTCCAGAGGGTCTGCCACCTCTACCTGAGCAGGAAGCAAGGTATGGCACCTGGAGATTTCCATTGGCACTGCAGAGTTCTGGGTTACACTGGCATGGCTGTGGTCCAGGGAGCAGATGGGGCCTCCACAGCTGTTGCCACCAACTGTCCCCGTATTCCCCGCAGGTGGTAACTGGACACTGGATGCTGCTGCAGGAAAAAGCGTGCATCTGTATGGCCCTGCTTGCCAGAAAGAACCAGCCAAAGCAGCAGGAAGGCGGACTCTGCCTCTTCCACCTTCCAAATCTCATGTGAGGGCCTAAATGTTGGATCCCCGTATGTACCCATTGCTTTCAAAGAAGTCAGGCTGGGAAACGCGGTTTTCACCTATCTGCCTCCAAAGGACAGGAGATTGGTGGGAATGGATCCTGGGTGCTATGCAGCCACATGAGTACTAAGCACACTATGACTGACAGCATCCTGAATGCTTCCCACCACATGATAGTGCCTGCTGAATAAATGTGGGCTATGGTTGATATTATAGCCATTATTGCTACATGCCTGCTATATGGCTGCACTGTGCTAGGCCCTAGGAGAGATCACGGCAAACAAGATGGGTTCCTATCCTGTAGAAATATATAGACTCAAGAGGGAGCATAAAGTAAATTGGTGAATGAAAAAAAAAAACTTCTTCATAAAAGCCAGGAGAGCATAGGGAGCTGTGGGAGCCTGGGGTGGGTGGGCACCCAGGCCCAATCTTGGATGGCAAAGGTGGAGAGGTCAGTGGATGGAGGCTTTCCGGTAGAAGGGAAGTATAGTATGA